>NW_025791760.1:0-300000 GCF_000001405.40 Homo sapiens | reverse complement strand
TTTTCACATTTGGCAGACATTGAAGAATAAAAATTATAATTTATATTGATAAAAAGTGAAATAAGTAAAATTTGCTGTTTAGTGAAAACTTTGTTTAGCAACTTAAATGAAGCTGCAGAAAGTGTGAATTGGTTAATAGATATAAAGATATGTCATGAGGGCTTCACAGATGGACAAACAGAGGTAAACTAGGAGAGTGAGTGACACATCGAGGATGAGAGTATCATGTATGTGCTTTATAAACAGCATCATGTGTGATTGGCTGTAGCACAAAGTAGAGCTAACTAGAGAAGATGAGGAGAGAACATATTCAAGGGTATAATGTTTGATAATTTTTTCAGAGTAAACAAATGAATTCAGGAAGCCAACCAATCCCCATTTTGGATGTGTAAAATATAACTTTACTTTGTATTGAATGTGCAAAACAATATATTTTGGCTGATTTTTAGTAATTTTCTTCTTTGGTGGCTGATTCATGATGATGTGTTTAAGTTTGAAACCACTACTGAAGATGAAGAATCTCTTAAAAGAAGCCAAAATAAACTGTTTCATTTTGAGGGAACACATAATAGAATGACAACAGACTGCTCCACAATCATAAATGTAAGAATAAGACAGTGGACTAATATTTGTAAAGTGTCAAAAAATGTAACTGCCAATACGGAGATGAATGTGGATTAGAAATTTTTTTATATAAGAGGATAAAAGGATGATCTTGTCACGTAAGTATAATAAAAAAAAAAGGAGGCTTTATACCCTACTAAGGGCTTCTAAAACAGTACCTATGAGATCTACTTGAAAGGTAATTCCAACACCTCTGCCACATTTGAATCTGGCTTTATTTATTGCTTAGTCTCTTAACAGTGTTTCCTTTATGTATCTTTTCTGTTTCTATATATGTCTGGTAAGTTTTACTCAAAAAGTGAACTGTGTAGAGTAGACTAATATAGAAAGCAAAACCAACATGTGTTCCCTTTTACTAGGCTGAATGTGTGTGTTTTGAGGGAGAAGGTTGAATCAATCTAGTCAGGAGTTGATTTGGTTTTGGGTCTTGTTCCTCTTAGAGTTAATTTCAGTGCACCATAGGTTTCCTGCTCATCTAGCATTACTTTGTGTTTCGGATTGGACTGGTTCAGCAGCTTTTCTCAGTATCTGCTGTATCCTCACCTTTAAGTTTCCCTTCAAATTCCGTTCAGTCCCCCAGAAGACACTGCTTTGACCTGTTACTCAACAATTGTTAGCCTAGTTGGGAGTGGGGATGAGGATGGAGAAGCATACTCTGTCATTCTGATGAAGCTCAGTCACAGGTTGACACTGTTTCTGGGTCTTCATGGCTGGAACCTTCTTAATGATCCTGTCCAAACTTCAGGTGTACATCTAAATCCTCCACATATTTTTTTCCTCTTTTTTGTTTTCCCATTTCCAAAGTTCAATTAGTTTTACCAGTGTCCCAAGGGCAATGATATTCCTTATCTTTTCCTTTGTAGTTTTAGGTTTTGTTACACGGGAGAGACGGGGAGGTAAATACAGGTCTTTAAATGTGATATTCACTGAATCTCTTCACAGACTGTAAAACAAATGTATGTGGCACATATACACCATGGAATACTATGCAGCCATAAAAAAGGATGAGTTCATGTCCTTTGCAGGGACATGGATGAAGCTGTAAACCATCATTCTCAGCAAACTAACACAAGAACAGAAAACAAAACACCTCATGTTCTCACTCATAAGTGAGAGTTGAACAATGAGATCACATGGACACAGGGAGGGGAACATCACACACCAGGGCCTGTCAGGGGGTGGGGGGACAGGGGAGGGATAGCACTGGGTTAAATACCTAATGTAGATGATGGGTTGATGGGTGCAGCAAACCACCATGGCACGTGTATACCTAAGTAAAAAACCTGAACATTCTGCACGTGTACCCCAGAACTTAAAGTATAATAATAAAAAAAGTTTTATGTCTTCATGATGATGTTAACTTACCATAAATTAAATTATTTATATATATATGCATTTGAAAAATTAGGCATAACATCAAATTCATCTATGTCAAACTCCTTATTTTACATGTTAAAATATTTTTTAAAAATATTTAATTCTCTTATTCATGAAAAATAATTACAGTTTCTCTCCTTGAATGCAATGCTTCCTGTATCTTATCCTGGTTAATTTTTAAGTTTCCTAACGATCACCTTCCAAAATATTCAATATTCTAACTTCTAATATTAATTAATGGAGTTTGAAATTTATCTAAATAAAACACTGTAATATAACATTTGTGTGTTTCAATTCTTCTTCTTAAACTTCTCTTTGAGATTCATTAATTTGTTACATTTCATTGTTATTATCTTTGTTTTATAGGATTCTTTTGTATGATGAGATCACAATTTATTTAGCAATTCTACTATTGATGAATATTTATTATGTCTCCAATTTGGAGCTACTATAAAAATTGATGCAATGATCAACATTGTGTTTATCTTGAAATACACATAGGTAATCTGTGGAACATATTTTAGAATTAGAATATCTAGCGCATAAGGAATACTCATAGTCAGTTTGCCAAAAGCTGTTTCAGTTTATATCCCTCCAGCCATGAATAACTTTCATTGATTCTTTATCTTTCACAACACACAATTTTATGTGTCTTTAAATTTTACTAATTTTTATGGAGGCCTGCAGTTCAATTTACGGATTAATTTTTACTATTCTGAGGACTAATAAAAGTAATCCCTTTTTCATATTTGGCCAGTTATTAGTTATTTATGGCTCCAATTTTATGAAGTGCCTGTTCAAATATTTTACCCAATTTTATATTGGGTTCACTTTCTTTTATTTATTACAATCCTTAATCACATGTATTATATTTTATTGCATATATGTCGGGATAAATATTTTTCTCCACTCGGTTTGCATTTTAATTCTTGGATGGTATATTTTGAAACACAGAATCATTTTTGATATAAACTAACTAAATTTTCCTTCTTAATTGTTACTTTTTTGTCCTGGTTAGGAAATCTTTCTCTTTGAGAATATTTTATTGTGTTCTCATCACCTTCAGACCATGAATCCATGTGGAAATGAACTGTGTATGGTTTGAGGTAGGGGTGAGCATTTATGTCCATTTGAATATTTAATTGATCCAGCATTGTCCTGATCACCTTGTAAATTTCACTGTAGAACAGCACTCTAATAAGGCATGAGCATTTGTATGTAAGATGAGATTTACAAAGATAAGCACAGCATAGGAGGTCAAATAAGATTACCTCAAAGTATAGATTCATAAATAAAACACATGGATAAGTATAATATTGTTAGATGAAGAGAAAGAGAATATTTCCAAGTTACCACTGAGTCTTTTTACTCCAAGTTTTTTCATGAAGCACAAGATCCCTATTTTCTTCCATTGATTTTAACTTCATTTAGACACCTCTGTCATCTCTGATTTCACTTTGTGACATTCAGAAATAATGAAAAACCAGAGAATATATTCTCTGCCATGCATCATGGGTAATGATTTTCCAAAAATGATTAAACAAAGAACCAATACACATGGTTATAGTGTTTTCACCATATTTAATAGAAACCCTATTAATGAGTTGTGATGACATTAGAAGGCAACTAAAGAAGTTAAATGTAACTTGTTTGTCCTCTTTGACAAGGCACAAAAAAGAGGGCTTCCTGGGATAAAGGGGTTCCCACAGCATGTGGACACATTTCTGATTTGTCTCTGGTCAGAAGTGACTACAGCAAAAGATAGGCCTGAGAAGAGGTGAGAAGGCACAATTATGGATGGTGTATATAAGGGAACTTTGATCAACATCAACAATGCTCATGGTTCTACCTTCACAATCCAGGAATAATCCTACTCGGCTGCTAGGTCTTGGAACATATAGCACCACATGTGGGGTGTGGTAAAGAGCCTGCAGTGAACGTCCTCCTTAACACATCCAAGAAGAAAGAGTCCCTCCTCTCCATCTATCTTGTCATTCTGTCTCTTCTCTTTCCAATAATTGTTACAGACACCAAAAGCCCAATTCCAAGAGTCCCCCACATGAACCTCCCAATAGTATTTGCCAGATGTGAAAGTCTGAGCGCCCCATACGAGAAAACATTCCGATTTTGCAGTGATACGGGGATCATCTTGAGGGTCACATCCAACATTCAGGCTTCTCAAATCTCCATACAGGAAGATATGACTTTGGCTCTTTCAGGCTGAAGGGAAAAATCAACTACAAAAAATAAATAAAAATTTATAGACACATGTAAATAAGAGAAATTAGAATTCTTTAGGGAAAAGTTGTTGGATATTAGACACAATATCACAAAAAATGTGTACACCCCCTTCAACCTTGGGAGTAATATCATACTCTCCTTCCCTGGATATTAGAAAACAATATTGTCAGGGGTGAACACTTCCTGTGATAATGGGAGCAATATTTTCTCTTTCACAGGCCATTAGGAACAATATCACGGGGTGTTTACACACCCCGTGATATTGGAGGTAATTTCATGCTCTAACTCCTGGAATATTACCAACAATATCAAACAGGGGTGGTGTACACCCCCTGTGATATTGGGAATAATATCATTCTCTCCACTCCTGGATATTAAGAACAATATCACGGCAGGGGTGGTACACCGTCAGTGATATCGGGAATAACGTCATCCTCTCCTTCCCTGGAAATTAGGAACAATATCACAGGGGGGTGTACATCTTCTGTGATATTGGAAGCAATATTAACCCCCCCGGATATTAGAAAAAATATCACACATGATGTACACCCACTGTGATATTAGGAAGAATATTACTGGCTGTACACCCACTCTGACTTTAGGAGAAATAGCTCCTTAAAATGTTACAAGTAATATCACAGGGTATGCAGCAATATCTCCCTAGGTTATTACAAATACTATCACAGGGTGTCCACCCACTGTGATAACAGGAGTAACACCTTCCAAGGATATTACAAATAATATCACAGACTGTACACCCACTATGAAATAAGGAGGATATCTCCCTAGGATATTATGAATAACATCACAGAATGTACACCCATGGTGTGCACCCCCTGTGACATTAGGAGTAATATCTACCCAGGATATAACCAATAACAGCACAGTGTGAACATACGTGATGTACACCCACTGTGATGTTATGAGAACTACTCCCTAGGATATTACGAATAACATCACAGAGTGTACACACATGGTATACACCCACTGTGGCACTAGGAATAATAACTTTCTAAGATATTACGAATAACATCACAGAATACAAACACATGGTGTACGCCCACTGTACCGTTAGGCGTAATTTCTCTCTAGGATATTACAAGTAACATCTCAGTGTGTACACACATGGTGTACACCCACTGGGACATTTAGAGTAATATCTCCCTAGTATATTACGAATAACATCACAGAGTGTTCACACGCGGTGTACAGGCACTGTAACATTAGAAATAATATCTCCCTAGGATATTATGAATAATATCATAGGGTGTATAGCCAGTGAGATATTAGAGGTAATATCACTCTAGGATATTACGAATAATACCACAGAGTGTACATCCACTGAGATATTGGGAGCAATATCTCTCTAGGATATTACGAATAATATCACAGAGTGTAAACCCAGTGTGACATTAGCAGAAATATCTCTCTGGGATATTACAAATTATATCACAGAGTGTACACACAGGGTGTACACCCACTTTAATATTAGGAGTAATATCTTCCTAGGACATTATGAATAATATCACCGAGTGTACACCCACTGTAATATTAGGAGTCATATCTCCCTAGGTTATTACAAATAATATCACAGGATGTACACCCACTGTGATATTAGGAGTAATATCTACCTAGTATATAACAAGTAATATCACAGGGTGTACACCCACTATGATATTGGGAGAAATATCTCTCTAGGATATTATGAAAAATATCACAGAGTATACACCCACTGTGATATTAGGAGAAATATCTGGGATATTACGAATTATATCACAGAGTGTATACACATGGTCTACACCCACACTGATATTAGGAGTAATAACTTCCTAGGACATTACAAATAATATCACAGAGTGTACACCCACTGTAATATTAGGAGTCATATCTCCCTAATTTATTACAAATAATATCACAGGGTGTACACCCACTGTGATATTAGGAGTAATATCTTCCTAGGGTATTACCAATAATTTCACAATGTATACACACATGGTGTACACTCACTGTGATATTAGGAGTAATATCTACCTAGTATATAACAAATAACATCACAGGGTATACACCCACTTTGATATTAGCTGTAATATTTTTCTAAGTTGTTACAAATAATACCACATGATGTACAAACATGGTGTACACTCACTGTGATAGCAGGAGTCATATCTCCATAATATATTATGAATAATATCACAGGGTGTACACCCACTGTATTATTAGGAGTAGTTTCTCTGTAGGATATTACAATTAATATCACAGGGTGTACACCCTGTGAAATTATTGGTAATACCCTAGGAAGTTATTACTCCTAATATCACAGTGGGTGTACACCCTGTGATATTATTTGTAATAAATTAGGGAGATATGACTCCTAATATTACAGTGAGTGTACACTCTGTGATATTATTTGTAATGTCCTAGGAAGTTATTACTCCTAATATCAGTGTGGGTGTAGACCTTGTGTATACACTCTGTGATATAATTCGTAATATCCCAGATATTTCTCCACTGTGATATTAGGAGCAATATCTTTCTAGGATATTACAAATAATATCACAAGGTGTATGCCCACTCTGATGTCAGGAGCAACATCTCCCTAGGATATCAAAACTAATATCACAGGGTGTACAATCTCTGCCTTCCAGGTTCTAAGGGATTCTCCTGCTTCAGCCTCCTGAGTAGCTAGGGTTACCCGCCACCACGCCCAGCTAATTTTCTTTTGTTTTCACTAGAGATGGGGTTTCATCATGTTGGCCAGGCTGGTCTGGAACTCCTGACCTCAGGTGATCCATCAGACTCGGCCTCCCAAAGTGCTGGGATTACAGATGTGATCCATCGCACTCGGCCAAGAGTTATATATTCAATTAATTTGGAAACACAGCTCCCATATTTGAGTGTGTATGTACTTTTATGAAGAAATGATGTCAGAAAACCTAAGGATGGCAATAAATATGAAAAGTAACTAGCATGCTAAAAGGTCTTCCGATTAAGAAGTATAAGGTTCGATTTCATTTTTAGATAATGCAGTCCTAGCTCTTCTATCGTCCTTTTAAATACTCTACATCAAAGGAATTTGTGTCAGAATAAAATAAAGTGTATTTCACTGCTGCTTAATTTTTTTCAATTAGACTGAGATCTTTTTCTTAAAGAGAGAAGAATATTTTTATTGCATGTTATTGTTTCTGAAAAGAGTAGGCCGTATTTTACTGAGATCACGGATGTGTTAAGTATTACATTTTGGTCTTCTAACATTCTTCAGTGGATTTTCTCTAAAGTAGTATGTACAGAAAGAGTTGAATAGCAAAAAAGTAAATCATGTAATAATTCTGAGATTTTTGGGTTTGTCACACCTGAGAAATATTGCTGACAGTGTATGGTCCTCAAGTGTGAAAATGTTCCTTGTGAATTGCTTGCATCCAAAATATACACACAGCGTTAAGGGCTGGTTTTTATCTTTTATTTTTCCAATCCTCTTTTCTTCTTAAGGTGTCCAAGACACACAGAGCCATGGAATCTCACAGGTATCTCAGAATTCCTCCTCCTGGGACTCTCAGAGGATCCAGAACTGCAGCCCGTCCTCCCTGGGCTGTCCCTGTCCATGTACCTGGTCACGGTGCTGAGGAACCTGCTCATCATCCTGGCTGTCAGCTCTGACTCCCACCTCCACACCCCCATGTGCTTCTTCCTCTCCAACCTGTGCTGGGCTGACATCGGTTTCACCTCGGCCATGGTTCCCAAGATGATTGTGGACATGCAGTCGCATAGCAGAGTCATCTCTTATGCGGGCTGCCTGACACAGATGTCTTTCTTTGTCCTTTTTGCATGTATAGAAGACATGCTCCTGACAGTGATGGCCTATGACCAATTTGTGGCCATCTGTCACCCCCTGCACTACCCAGTCATCATGAATCCTCACCTTGGTGTCTTCTTAGTTTTGGTGTCCTTTTTCCTCAGCCTGTTGGATTCCCAGCTGCACAGTTGGATTGTGTTACAATTCACCTTCTTCAAGAATGTGGAAATCTCCAATTTTGTCTGTGACCCATCTCAACTTCTCAACCTTGCCTGTTCTGACAGTGTCATCAATAGCATATTCATATATTTAGATAGTATTATGTTTGGTTTTCTTCCCATTTCAGGGATCCTTTTGTCTTACGCTAACAATGTCCCCTCCATTCTAAGAATTTCATCATCAGATAGGAAGTCTAAAGCCTTCTCCACCTGTGGCTCTCACCTGGCAGTTGTTTGCTTATTTTATGGAACAGGCATTGGCGTGTACCTGACTTCAGCTGTGTCACCACCCCCCAGGAATGGTGTGGTGGCATCAGTGATGTACGCTGTGGTCACCCCCATGCTGAACCCTTTCATCTACAGCCTGAGAAATAGGGACATTCAAAGTGCCCTGTGGAGGCTGCGCAGCAGAACAGTCGAATCTCATGATCTGTTATCTCAAGATCTGCTCCATCCTTTTTCTTGTGTGGGTGAGAAAGGTCAACCACATTAAATCTCTACATCTGCAAATCCTGCCCCTTAGTCACATTATTGTTGTTGCTTGATGGCTTTTATTCATTTCCACATTTCCTATGTGAATATTCCTTTCTTCATTTTGCCTTTAACTGGAATGGGTGAGTATTCTGGGATCTTTTGTGTAGCATAAACCTCATGCTGTATCCTCTATACCTAGGTGGCCTCCTTTAGTTTCTGACCAATAACCCTGTCATCCAGGTGGAATCACAACAATTTTTTTATATACAGGAAGTCCTCACTTCATTTTGGAATTCCCTGAACATTGACTTTATGGAAACAATGTACAGCAGGTCCTCCAACAACATTGTTGGGTTCAATTGTTATGATGTTGATGAGGAATAAGTGGTTTCACTATACATAATTTTGCTTAAAGGTGAAGTTTCCAAGAGACTTTCAAAGATGATAAGTGAGGACATACTGTACATCAAATTCATATCCTCTTCCAGAGTTCATGAGGAATTTCTTTATAAACTGCTTCTAGAGAATCTATTTAGGCAGGTTGTATGTAGAGATCCATGTCACCGGTCCTCAATCTTGTCTTTGAATCAAATCACCTGGGGAGGTTCCAAATGAATGATGAGGCCTGGGTCTCATTACCTGAGATTCTGATTTACTTGCACCTGTGTAGGTATATGGATTTTTTTTTTTTTTTTTTTTTTTTTTTTAAAGCACCAGAGGTGATTCCAGTGATGAAGTTTTTGGAGGCATCAAGCTCCAATAAGTAAGAAAAGAAGTTAATTGTAATATGATTTCTTCAAATATTATCTTCAAATGCGTTGTCCTTCAACACCATACAAAGTTTTATTATGCTGTTTTTTCTTACCATTTAGCATTTTCTTTTCTTTTCTTTTCTTTTCTTTTTTTTTTTTTTTTTGAGTCAGAGTTTCACTCTTGTTGCCCAGGCTGGGGTGCAATGGCACGATCTGGGCTCACTGCAACCTCTGCCTCCCGTATTCAAGTGATTCTCCTGTCTCAGCCTTCCAAGAAGCTGGGATTACAGGCATGCGCTACCATACCCGGCTAATTTTTTTTTTTTTTTTTTTTTTGTATTTTTAGTAGAGACAGTGTTTCTCCATATTCGTCAGGCTGGTCTTGAACTCCCGACCTCAGGTGATCAGCCCGCTTCGGCCTCCCAAAGTGCTGGGATTACAGGCGTGAGCGACCGCACCCAGCCACCACTTAGCATTTTCATTTTACATTTGTTGAAGTTATAGATCTATACACACATTGATTGCTGCTTTATTGTACACTTGCATATACATAAAATGGGAAATAGAAAAGAATAAAATGGGCACAGTATCCCTATAGTTTCACATTCTGAGACATTTTAAAAATATTTGCTGTTTAGAAATTTGTTTCAGTTAAGAAACTGTGGTATACACACACAATGAAGTATTATTCAGCCTCAAAAGGAATAAAATCCTCTCCACTGTGGAAAAAACGGATGAGATTGCAGGTCTGTATATTAAGAGAAATAAGCCAGGCACAGAATGACAAATATTACATGTCCTCACTTATATGTAGGAACAAAACAGAAAATCTTGGCCAGGTGTGGTGGCTCAGGCCTGTAATCCCAGCACTTTGGGAGGCCGAGTCGCACGGATCACTTTAGGCCAGGAGTGCGAGACCCACCTGGCCAACATGGTGAAACCCCATCTCTACTAAAAACACAAAAAATTAGCTGGGCATGGTGACACGTGCCTGTAGTCTCAGCTACTTGGAAGGCTGAGGCCCAAGAAGCGCTTGAACTTGGGAGGCGGAGGTTGCAGTGAGCCCGGATTGTGCCTGTATACTCCAACCTGGGCAACAGAAAGAGACTCCATCACACACCTACACACAAAAGGAATCTCAGGAAGGTGGAGAGTATAAAGGTGGTTAGCAGATGCTGGGAAGAAAAGGGGTGGGATGGGGAGTGAAGAGAAGTGGATAATTGGGTCCCAAAATACAGAAAGATGGAGTAAGTGAGTTCTAGTGTTTGATAGTACAGTATGAAAATTTTAGTTCACAAGAATTTCTTGCATATTTCCAGATGCTTTGATAAGAAGCTTCCTAACTTTCTCATTATGCTAGTTTTTAAGCTATTCTTTCTGCTCTTGAAATCATGCTGGTTTTTTGTTTTTGGTTTTTTTGCTTTGAGATGGAGTTTCGCTCTTGTTGCCCAGGCTGGAGTGTAATGGTGCAATCTTGGCTCACCGCAACCTCTGCCTCCTGGGTTCAAGCGATTCTCCTGCCTTCAACTCCTGAGTAGCTGGGATTATGGGCATGTGCCATCATACCCAGCTAATGTATTTTTAGTAGACATGGGGGTTTCTCCCTGTCGGTCAGGCTGGTCTTGAACTCCTGGCCTCGGGTGATCTGCCCGCCTCTGCCTCCCAAACTGTTCAGATTACAGGAGTGAGCAACCTAATATCACGGGGGATGTACAACTTCTGAGATATTGGGAATGATATCATCCTCTCGCCTCTGGAAGTTAGGGACAATATCACAGGGGTAGCGTACACCCTCTGAGATATTGGGACTAATATCATCCTCCTGCCTCCTGGATATTAAAAACCATATCACAAGGGGCGAGTACACAAACTTCGATATTGGTATTCATACCATCCTCTCCCTCTTTGGATATTCGGTGCAATATTTCAGGTGGGGTATACACCACCTACAATATTGGAAGTAATATTATTTTCTTCCCCCCACCTCCCCGGATATTAGAAACAATATCACAGGGGCCGTGAACAACCCCTGCGATATTTGGAGTAATATCATCGTCTCCCCTCATGAATATTAAGAACAGTATCGGTGGCGGTGGGGGGGGGGGGGTGTACACACCCTTTGGTATTTGATATCATCCTCTTTCCCCCTGGATATTAGGAACAATATCAGAAAGGATGTACAGACCCTGTGACATTTGCTGTCATATAATTGTCTCTCCCCTAGATATTAGGAATAATGTAACAGGGGATGTGAACACCCCTGCGATATTGGGAGAAATATCATCCTCTCCCCCCTTGGATATTAGGAACAATATCACAGGGGGTGTACTGCCTCTGCGATATGGGGAGTAAAATTATCCTCTCTTCTGGATATTAGGAAGGGTATCAGAGGGGGAGGGTGTGCATTTCCTGCGATATTCAATGTAATCTTATCCTCTCCCTCCCAGGGTAGTAAGAACAATATTACAGGAGGGGTGTACACCCTCTGTGATATTGAGAGTCATATCATCTTGTTTCTCTCTGGATATTAGGAACAATATCACAGGGTTGTGTACACCCCCTGCGATATTGGGAGTAATATCATACTCTCTCACTGTGGATATTAGGAAGAGTATCACAGGGCTGTGTACACCCCCTGCGGTATTGGTAGTAATATCATTCTCTCTCCCTCTGGATAGTAGGAAGAGTTTCACAGGGGTGTGTACACCCCCTGCGATATTGGAAGTAATATCATCCTGTCGCCCTGAGGAGAGAAGCCATTTCTCTGACTGTCTCCTGTCTCTGAAGAGGTGGAGGAAGTAAAAGTTGAAAAACAACAGGAATGAAGTCAGTGGCAACAGCAGCCGGTGCCACTGATAAGCCGGCCTGAGGTGAAAAAATTACTCCCCCACCCCCTCACCACTCTAAGCACATGTGCTCTCAATCCATCACGACCCTTTCACGTGGAACCCCTTAGAGTTGTAAGCCCTGAAAAGGGCCAGGAACTCTGTCTTCCTTCCAGGAGCTCGGCTCTTAAGACGCGAGTCTGCCGACGCTCCAGGCCGAAAAAAACACCCTCTTCCTTTTTGAATTTGGTGTCTGAGTGGTTTTGTCCATGTCTTGTCCAGACCATTTCTTGGTTCCCGGAATGGGAATCGAACCCGGGCCGCGGCTGTGAGACCGCAGAATTCTAACCACTAGACTACAAGGGGAACTTACAACTTCATGCTAAGTAGATTACCCAACTTTAATAGTGGGTTGGCCATCAGAAGGAAGCCTGGACAGGTCCCTTGTTTCTAAGGTGTGGCACAAGGTAACTGGTAAAGGATACCTAGACCAGTTCCCATACATAGACACTTGGTGACAGCTGGTGCTAGACCCCCCAAAGTGGCTAAGAGGGCAGGCAGCAGCAATACTAGGAGCAACGGGACAGATAGCTAAGGAAGGATCCCGCTCCACGCGCCCAGGGAAATCAACTCCTGAGGTTCTCTTCGACCCAACATCAGAAGATCCATTGCAGGAGATGGCACCAGTGATCCCAATGGTGCCCTCCCCTTACCAGGGAAAGAGGCTCCCCACTCTTGAGCCCACAGTGCTTGCACCTTCCCAAGGCAAGCATATCCTTAGGCCACCCAGAGCAGACAAGAGAGGAGGTGGAGACCTACAGAGTCTGCAGATAAGTATTTCTTTTATTTTTCATTCTTTGTTTATACAAATTGTGAACTTCTGGAGGGAAAGTCCTAGATATTATACAGTTTTATGTACAGCATGATATCTAAAATTTAATTGGAAATCTTTCTTGTAGAATATGAGAAGTGCTATGTTGTCTGGAACTTCAGGTTGCAGCCTTGGTTATCTGCAAAGTTTTCAAAGTGCTCAATAGCCTTTTTTATTTTCCTAATATTCCACTAAAGTTATTACTTTATAGTGGTATTTTGAATTGACACAATCTATTTTGTTGTTTGAATGTTCTTTTTATAGCATCTTGTTATTTTTGATATTTTGTTATTACTTGTGTTACTTTGTGAAACTATGTGAACTTTTTATTTGTTTATGTATTTATTTATTTATTTTTGAGACAGAGTCTTGCTCTGTCACCAAGGCTGGAGTGCAGCGGTGCACTCAAGGCTCACTGCAGTCTCGACCTCCAGAGCTCAAGTCACCCTCTCACCTCAGCTTCCAGAGGAGCTGGGACTACAGGCATGTACAACTATGCCTGGCTAATTTTTTTTTTTAATAGAGTAGTCTCTCTTATGTTTCCCAGGCTGGTCTTGAACTCCTGAGCTCAAGCAATCTTCCAGCTTCGGTCTCCAAAAATGTTGGAATTGCAGGCATGAGTCACTGTGCTTGGCCTTATATAAATTCTTAGTTTTCCTAGTTCCTTTTTTTTTTTTTTTTTTTTGTAGAGCTGGGGATCTCACTTTGTTGCCCAGGCTAGTCTTGAACTCTGTAGCTCAAACCACTCTCTTGCCTTGGCTTCCCAAAGTGCTGGGATTACAGGAGTAAGCATGCCTGGCCCCAGATTCCATCATCTAAGTAATGGAACAGCAAGCATAAAACGACCTAATGAGTTTTGAAGAAAAAAATAAAATAGAAAGTGTAAAACCATTTGCATATTAGTTTCCTGGGGCTGCTGTGATAAACTATCACAAATAAAACAATAATTCACTCTCTCACTGTTCTCAAAGTCTGAAGTTTAAAATCAAGATGTTGACAGAATTGGTTCCCTCTGAGGATTCTGAGGGGAAATCCACCTCCTGCCTCTCTGCTAGCTCTGCTGGCTGACGGCCACCTTTGGCTTTCATCAGCTTGTGGCAGCATAGCTCCAGTGAACTCTGTCTCTGCCTCTGTCGCCACATGGCTATGTGTCTCAGACCTTCCTTTAATTTCTTCTATCCAGTCATTGGAATTAGGTCCCATCCTAAATCCAGATTGATCTCATTGGGAAATCATCAAGTTAATTACATCTGCAAAGATCCTATTTTCAAAAGGTCATATTCACAGGTATCAGAGGTTAGGACTTAGAAATATATTTTCAGGGGCCACCCTTTAACTGACTACAGTTTGAAAAAATTTCTGGCTCATAAAAGGGCCACATAACAACAAAAACTCAACTGTATTTTCATTTCTACTGCTTATACACATCATCCTAACTTTTAGAATTGGAAAGACAGAGTTTTTTCCTTCCTAGACTGGATTCTGAATATTCCACATCTTTTTTTCTAATGTCAATTTTATGTAATTTCCCCGTTTTCTGAGTTAGAATACATCTTATATTTATTTTTTATAATCATCACTTACAAAATATTCAGAAGTTTAAGACTACTTTTCATTCCTGAACCATTTGAGGGTAAATTTTGATCTGGAACACAATGTATGGAATTATTTAGTTCTTCATTTCTTTTTTTTTCTTTTTTTACTTTTCTATGTGAATGTTACTTTTTTTCTTAGTTATTCTTTGTTTTACATTATTAAGTTTGTTTTTATTTTAGTTTTCTTAGGACACTGATGAAATAACTTTGATTTTTGACATTAAAATTAAATAATTTTCAAATTAATCCTCAAATTTTTTCACAATTTATTTTAATGCTTTATTCTTTTGTAAGTTTTAATTCATAGCTGTATTTCTTATGGAAGAATTTTATAAAAGTATTTTTCACATAATAAAGTTTAATATATGAGCTATTATTCATTCTCTCCTCTTTTCCAAATATGGACTTTGATTATGCTCCAATACTTTAGAACACTTTAATTGATGTTTGGAGACTTTTGTTACTTATGTGATTTTATCTCTATTATGTGTCACTCTTCTAGTAAATTTTTAATGTCATTCAAAGGCTACGCCTTTCTTTCCTGAAAATTAAAAATAGTTCTCAAAAATATTCTTCTCAGATATTCAGAATCTCATTCACAGGACTTCACCTTCCACTGTCATCTTAAGGCTGTCCTCTTTCCCTTCTAATGCATATTTTCCCCCAAAGGCCCTATGTTACACTCCTTATTTATTCTCCATTCAAGATGTAGTTTTATTTATTTATTTATTTATTTTTGAGACAGTCCCACTCAGTTGTCGCACAGACTAGAGTGCAGCGGCATGATCTCTGCTCACTGCAATCCTTGCCTCCCGAGTTCAAATGATTCTCCTGTCTCAGCCTCCTGAGTAATAGGGATTACAGGTGTGCTCCAGTGTGCCCTGTGAATTTTTGTATTTTAAATAGAGACAAAGTTTCACTGTGTTGGCCAGGCTGGTCTCGAACTTCTGACCTCAAGTGATCCACCTGCCTAGGCCTCCCAAAGTGCCGTGATTACAGGTGTGAGCCACCACACCCAGCAAAGATGTGGTTTTATTTAATATTATATTTATTCATAATGCAATTTTACTTATGTGATACTTTGTCTTAGGATAGAAGATTATCCTAAAAAGACTAGTGAAAGAGTTATGAGAATTTAGAGAGTGATCTGAGGAAACATGTACAAGAGGCATGACTTTGAACAAAAAATAATTGTTAAAACAAATAGTAGTCACCAGATCTGCTATGTTTTCAAGTTCTAGTAAATGTCAGGTATTTTGCAGGGACTTTCTGGAGGAAGAAAAACTTTTACTGAGGCTTAAATGTGAGGAATAGTTAACCAAATAAAATGAAAAATGTTTTAAAATTCTCATTAAATCCTTGTTATTTAAAAGGAGAAGCAGAGCGGTTCACTAGAAAGAATTCATTCTCATGCACAGATCTTGAAGAATCTATAAAATTAGTTTTTTATTACAGGTTCAAGATCCCCCATATAAAGACAATAGCTGGACGTATGTCTGGAGGAGCTCTTGGGCTTGTTTTATTGTATCTTGAACTTCTCAACTGTACCTTTAGCCATGAACATCTGGCTGCACTTAGAAAGTGGTCGTACTAAGGTCACTATAGAATGAATGTTCTTTCCCTTTTAGCCATTTCTCCTTCCACTTTAACTTTTTACTCTCTGTCTCCAGGACCTTTCTGTTATATTAAGCTTCTTGAGTGAAGGGCCTGGTGTTTTGTCTTATTCAGCTCTATTTAAGATAGGTTCATGTGAAATCTGGCACAATGCAGGCTTGGGTGGGATGTGGAGATACTGATATTAAAAATGGAGCATATGAAAGGCAAACATAAATTTCAATTACAGAATAGGCAATTTTCCATTTATATTGTTAACCGTAAATTAATTATACAAGGGACATGGCAAATAGGGTGAAATTCCTCTCATTAATCTGAAGGAAAGCAACTTTTCTTTTTTCTGCTCAGAAATACAGAATCACACATACTGCAAGTGTCCGTGTCCTCTGCCATCTGTGCTTTGTTCTATTCAGGCCCTAAATGGGTTTGATAATGCACATCCCACACTGGGAAGGGAAGCTTACTTTACAGAGATCAATTCAAGCTGATACATAAAATTAACCATCACACTTAATTATGCTACTATGAGGAATTGAGTTAACGAGTTACCAACTATTAAGCCCTTGTCACATTTCAAAAATAAAACCAATTGACTTTGCTGTATTGAAAATATGACTAAAGTTCATGCAATTCTTTCAACCATTCTTATATCAGTATATAATTATGTATTGCTTCAGTTGTACTCATTAAATGTGATACCTCTTATTTTTCATATTTTGTGGTCAAAATTTGTATTGTTTCTTCCCGCAGGGTAATAAAACCTGAGAGGGGCTCAGAAGAAGATATTAGATATTTAATTAAAGCCCAAAGACTTATCTCACTCTCTTCCCTAAAGTATTGAAAGGAAATGAAGATAAGGGAAAAGAACGAAAGAGAAAAATCTCTCACAGAACTGTCCCAGACACAGAGAATGGACTGGATTAATATTTGCTCTCTTTCACTTTGCAGAAAATTGGGGGAAAAATTAGTGTTAAATATACAAGCAGTCATCCACGTGCTAGAATGTGCTATTATGAAAGACAAAAAAAGCCAGGTGTCCCTTTTTAACAGTGATGCTTGAGCTGAATTTTCAAGGAGCTAGTAAGCTAAAATGGTGAAATAAGATTGTAGAGTTATTTGTTTTTTTGTATTTCACACATTTATTAATTGGCTCACATTCATTGGGCATTCTTTTTCTTTAAGTACCATTTTTTTCCCAAATTGGCCTTCTCAATCTCCTTTGTTGCTTTCTCTTTCTCACATTTTGTACCTTCTCTTCTTAGTCTACACACCTTTCCAGCTTGAACTCATAATGTGTCACATTTTTTATCTATCATTGTTATGTTAATGAGTCTTAAACTGATACCCCAATCTATGTATATCTACAGAACTTCAGATCACAAAGTAATTGTCTCATTGACATCTCCATCACATTTTCTTCCGGAAAAATTTAGGAGTGTCAAAAACTCAGAATTCATCCTACTTGTAAATCCTGCTCCTTCCTTGAGAATGCTTGCCCTTGGCAACAATTTACAAATCACCCTATTGTCCGAATATTATCTCAATGATGTTCCCTGCCTCTACTCCATTAGCACAGTGAATGTGACACAGCCTCTCAACATGATGTCATAAATACGAGCTCCGTGAAGGGTGTCATGCAGCCTCCAAAGCTCAATGAATTTTAATAAATTTTCTTGATAGTTAAATTTTCATCAGCTTTTCTGGTTGTTAATCACAAAATAAGCAGAGAAGGCAGTTTAGTGAAAGATAAATTTTATTCAAAAATTGATTTATAAATATTTTGATAAGAGAAATCAAAATATTTTTAAGACAGATTTTCAAAAGTTTTACTTATATATGTAATTTTATATTTCCATTATGTATTTTATATCTATATAGTGCAGACTCTAAAATGTGTTTCCACGTTTTTTTAAACAAATTTTTATTAAGGCTTATTTTGAGTTTTTGCTTAATAAAAATAAGGAAAGTAATGCAGAAGGCATATGGGACATTAAAAAATTAGTGAATCTTGTATTGCCTTAGGATCTTGTAGACAGTTTCAGTAGTATGATAGGTGTAAATATATGCTTTCATTTTCTTATAGAATCTGGGGATTTAAGTATTCTTATATGAATTCTAGATGGCTGACGGGTTGAATTTATTTGGAAAATGCTGTTGCATAGTATGTCCCTGTTTCTCTTCTTAACATTAAGTTTACAAAATTAATTTTAAAGATCTGATTCTTTTTTACTTCCAAATCAGAAGATACTGTAAGTGACATTTGCCACTAAGTGATAGGCCTATAGCTCAGGCTAGATTGTGAGATGTTCAAATTCAACTGGAGCTTTGCTAGTGATTTTAAATAAAATGTTTTAAAATGTATTCAGCACCTACTTTTTTTTTTTTTTTTTTGAGATGGAGTCTCGCTCTGTCGCCCAGGCTGAAGCGCAGAAGTGCCGTGGCATGATCTCGGCTCACTGCAACCTCTGTCTCCCGGGTTCACGCCATTCTCCTGCCTCAGCCTCTGGAGTAGCTGGGACTACAGGCGACCGCCACCAAGGCCGGCTAATTTTTTGTATTTTTTTAGTAGAGAGAGGGTTTCACCGTGTTAGCCAGGATGGTCTCCATATCCTGACCTCGTGATCCGCCCGCCTCGGCTTCCCAAAGTGCTGGGATTACAGGCGTGAGCCACCGCGCCGGGCCTACTCTTTTTTAAGACTAGCCCTCCTTGTGTAGGATACAGAGATGAATGGTACAGTTCTCGACTTCATGACACTCAAGTTAAAGGTGGTATTATTTGGTTTAAAAAGCACAAATACTGACAAATACAGAATAAACTTCTGAGTTTGCTATTACAATAAAATATTATTGGTTAAAATAATGATCTCTTTGCTTTTCTGTTCCTCATCTATACATTCATGAACTGGGAAACAAATTACAGTGAGATTAGATATACGTAAAAGTTAGACAATGCTGATAAAGTACCTATTGCACAGTAGATTCACAGAAAATGTCAGGTTAATTTTCACCTTCATCTTCTCCTTTCTTTTATCATCCATATTTCTCCTTTATTTAATTCAAACAAAAACATTTAATGTATATTATAAAACAAGATATATTACATTGAATAAATAAAAATACAATCAATGACATTTCTCTGCAATGCACATAAAAACCTATAACCTTGCTAGAATTTGGTCTCAACTTTGACTCAAAGTACCAGAATTTTTTTTAAAAAAATAGTGTTTTTGATTGTGTGTGTGTATACATACATACATATATATATATGCAAACACTATATATTTGTACATAATGATAGGAGATCCTTGAATGCAAAGGCAACTAATAGAAAGTGCAGTAAAACTTTTAAAATGTAAAAATATTTTTGATCTGGTCTTCTGTTTCACACAGCTCATGAAAACCACTAAACCCACTGAGATACAGTTTAGAGGCATCCTTTGTTTACACAATTCTAAAATTTTCACCTGGCAATTCAGAAAAGATATAGAGGTGCAGTATAATTTCGCACTATTTCCAAGCCTCTAAGTAAAAACAGAGAAAAACTAGGATAACAGAATCAAAATTCATGAACAATAGATATTGTACAAGTTTTGCCTTGTGCATTATGAAACTCTTGCTTTATGCATATATACTTAGGATTTTTATCTACTTTCAGAAAATTAAACTGTGATAAGTATGTAATATTTTCTCAGTCCTTAATGATATCTCTTTTCCCTAAGTCTACCTTATCTAAAGTTAATGTAGCTACTGCAGCATTCTTTAGGTTAGCCTTTGTCTGGTATGTATTCATCCTTTCCCTTTCAGGCTAAGTCTTCCTTTATTGATTTTCTGGTTTTCTTTCTTTTTTTTTTTTTTTTTTTGCGTAGATCCAAGTGTCTTTCTTTCTGGCCTCATATGCTTTTGTCTAAAGAACTTCTATGTATATTTCTTGTAGATATTATATCTTCTGGCACTAAATCCTCTCAGGTTATCTTTGTATAGTACTTATAACATTGCTTTCAGTTGAGAAGTCCCTCGTTCTCAATTTTTTGGAATAGTTTCAGTAGTATTGGCACCAGTTCTTTTGTATGTCTGGTAGAATTTGGCTGTGAATCCATCTGGTCTATGATAGTTTCTTTTTTTTTTTTTGGTTGCTAGGTTTTTTTTATTACTGATTTATTTTTGGAACTTGTTATTGGTCTGTTTATTTTTTTACTTCTTGGTGTGTTGATATTTTTACTTTCTTCCTGGTTCATTTATGACAGGTTGTGTCTTTCCAGGAATTTGTCCATTTCTTCTAGATTTTCTGTTTTTTGTGAATAGAGGTATTCATAGAAGTCTGTAAGAATCTTTTGTATTTCTGTGATATTGGTTGTAATGTCATCATTGACATTTCTTATTGTGCTTATTTGTATCTTTTCTTCTTTTTTTAATCTCTCTAGTGGTCTATCAATCTTGATTATTCCTTCAAACAGCCAACTTTTAGTGTCATTAATCTTTTGTATGAATTTTGCATCTCAATTTCATCCAGTTCTTCTCTGATATTAGTTATTTCTTTTCTTCTACTAGCTTTGCTGTTGGTTTGGGTTTTCTCTATATATATCTTTTTTTTTGCTTTTTGTTTTTTAGTTTCTCTGAGTGCATTGTTAAATTATTAATTTGAGATTCTTCTGACTTCTTGAGGAAGACATATAGTGCTATAAAATTTCCTCTTAACACTGTGTTAGTGGCATCTCAAAGATTTTGGTAAGTTGTGTCTCTATTTTTATTAATTTCAAAGAACTTTTGATATCTGCCTTAATTTTATGGTTCACATAAGAATTATTTAGGAGCAAGTTTATTATTTTCCATGTATTTGTATAGTTTTTAGAGATCTATATATTTTTATTGCACTGTGTTACAAGAGTGTGCTTGGTATGATTTCAATTTTCTTGAGTTTATTGAGACTTGCTTTATGATCAAGCATGTGGTTCATCTTAGAATACGTTTGCATGCAGATGAAAAGAATATATATTCTGTGGTTGTTGGGTGAAGTATTTTGTAGATGTCTATTAGGTTCTATTGGTCAAGTGTTGAATTAAATTCCAGCCTTTCTTTAGTCTTCCACAGTGATGGTCAGTCTAATGCAGTCAGGGAGGTGTTGAGGTCTCCCACTATTATTGTGTGTCTGTCTCAGATGTCTCTAATTTGTGCTAGATTTTTCTCACCAGTAAAGCAATACCCTTTTAAGTACTCCACCAGATACCCCCTGCAGTGTGAGAATTTCCCACTGTGGATTACGGGAACATCAACCTCTTCTATCAACTTTTTCCCACTCCTCTGTATGAGGAGAACATCAACTGGCCTTGTGTGAACTGCCCGTATTCTCTCTGCTCCTTTGGGCTGGTTCTTTTCTTGGTCTCCTTGAATATGTTCCTCACAGGCATTGACTGATCTGCACTCAGTGGCTGAATCCAGCTATGGACATCTCTACAGATCTCTGGTTCTGTCTCTCTGTGCAGCTCTACCCTCAACCAGTACTCAGTCATGGAAACTGCAGTCACCTTGATCTTTCCAAATGTCCAAGTCTGTCTCTTCAACTTAGAGAGACCTATTGACTCCATGTACATTCCTTCTACAGCACTAAGTGCTGACATTCAGAAGTCTTCAGTTAGTACACTGGGGCTATCATTAGGCTTCCTTTGTCTGTTTTTTTCTCTCTCAGGGTTCAATCTCTTGTGACCCCTATTGTGACTCCAATGTCTGAAAATTGTTCTTTCTTATTATATTTTTGTCCTTTGGTTTTTGTTTTACATATGATAGCAGAGTAAATCCTAGTTCTGTCACTTCATCTTTGCACAAAACAAGTCTGTGGGGAATTTTTAAATTACGGATTCATTTTTTTTCTAAACATAGACCAGCTATTCATTTTATCAACTTTTATCTTCCATCTGTTTTGGTAGCATGTATCTTTCAATGAATTGATCCATTTTGTGTCAGCTGTTAAAGTTATCAATATTGGCCTTTGCCAGATTTTTTTCCTGAATAAATTATGTAAGCCAGTAGCTATTGGTTTGGGGGTTCCCATAAGAGTTTCTAGAGATGAGGCCTGTAGCACTGTTAAGAGTGTGGACCACACTAAAGGTTAGGTGTGGGATGAATGCCCCTCATCACTGTCCTGTGGGAGGCAGTACCAGGCGGAAAGGTAAGCCCTTGTGGGTTGCTGCTATGTGCGAAACTGAGCCAGGCAACCTTTCTGAAATTGGGTCCTCCTCCTAATTGCTAGTCCAGTGTTTCAAATGTCTCCAACCAAAACTGCCAGACACTGCTCAGTCCTATTGGACAAAAGTTTTCTCTCTTTTTTTTTTTTTTTTTTTTTGAGACAGGGTCTCACTGGAGTACAGTGGTGCAATTTCAGCTCACTGCAACCTCTGCCTCCCAGGTTCAAGTGATCTTTCCAACTCAGATTCCTGAATTGCTGGGACCACAGGCATGTGTCACCATGCCCAGCTAAATTATATTTTTATTTTTTATAGAGATGGAGTTTTGCTAGGTTGCCCAGGCTGGTCTCAAATCTCAGCTTCTCAAAGTGCTGGGACTACAGGCACAAGCCACAAGACCTGGTCTGGTTTCCTGATTCCTTTAGGCACTGTCCATCCCTGTGTTTCCTGAGTGCTGTCTAATGCCATAAAAACCTCGAATCACTGGTCTTCATCCCCACTGCACCCCAAGTACCCAAAGCCTTTGTCTCCAGGTATTATGCCTTTGAAGAAAAAAAACCATAGCCTTCAAACTTCTTTAGTGCCAGCCACCTTCCCTCTCTACTGTCACTGCCAGTCACTCATTTATCCTGTATGATGGACAGAGGAACCCTTGGCCTTGGCCCTGAGCATAGCCAAGCACTGGGCTATGGTGAGTGACTGGGACTTCAGGAAGGTCCAATCCGTGGTGCAGTGGATATCCCAGAGAAAATACTGTAGTCAAAGCCTCTGAAGCCAGTACAGGAGGAAAGTTTTTTAAATAAGTAATTGGAAAGTGAGGTGGATAGAAGCTAATTACTTCAGTCTAGCCATTGTAGTTTGCTGAATTTTTGTCTAGAGCAAAAATAGCTTTGAAGCACTGTGCACATGCTCTGCTTGACTACTGCTCTCTTGAAAGAACCCGTGACCATGTGGCTCATAGCAGAATTTCCACTGGAACTAACAGCATCACTCTGTCTCCAGACCCTGATGTTCCAGGGCCCTCTACTCTTGTCTTATGCTCCTGCTCTGTGAAAAGTTGAAGAAAGCATTCACCCTGTTTTCCCAAACCCTACCCCCTAGAACGCCATTTCTGTGAAGCCACACAACATCTGTTTCCCAACATCTGCAAAACCCAGAAGAAGAGAGGGAGCTCCAACTGTCTGGGAGCACTATTGGTCTATGTGATTTATTGTGTTTATCTAAAGTGTTGTTGACATTTATTATTTTTATTTTATTTAACAAATTCAAAAGTGCTATGGAATATGTTCACATTATAAAGAAAAACAAGTTAGCAATGGCCTGTGTCCTCTACATGTTAAAAGATAAAATACTGCCTTTCACTCCCAGGCCCAATGTGTGCCTCTTTCTTTGCCCACTGTGCTCCTTCCCAGAGCAACAGCTGCTAGGCAGTTTATTGAAAGCCACATGCTTGCTTACCTTATCACTTCCTACCTGTGCTTCTGGCCCTCAATAATATAGTGTATATTTCTGCAGTTTTGCTTATTTTGAAACTATAGAAATATCATAATCTGTATATTCTTCTGTAATTTTATTTTTCCCTCAAGCTTGTGTTCCTCCTTTTTTCAGATTTGCAACATGTTCTGTTTTCTCCTACGTAAGCCCATATTATTGTCTAGCTCCTGTGCTATCAGTTTTCATCACCACAGGCACATTTTTGAAATTGCTGTTCATAACTTTTGGTATCCCCAAGGGATCATTGTACTGTTCAGTGTAAAATACTTGCAATACCCAATTACATGCTCTTTAATTCCTAGAATTTATCTCACAAACAAAATTTTACCTGAAATACCTGTGGACATTTAACATCTGTTTGTCTCTCTGAAATCAGCTTTATTTTCAGTCTATTGAGAAATTTTGCCTGAACACCTTAAGGGTTACCAAATTTCTCAAAATCCCTGTATGTGCCTTCGACTTACCACTTGTTGAACTTTTTTTGAATATTTTTTAGAGTTCTGATACATTAGAGTCTAGAAATAATAAGAAGAATGTGACCCTACATTAAAAAGTTTTATTATCTTTACATTTTTACTATTGTTCTACTCATTTACAGAATGTCATAAACCATGATAATTTCAGATCACATTCTTAATGGGCAGAAATTTTGAAAAGATTAACAAAACAGATAGACAAGATTATAGCACGTCTGTGTTGAAAAGGTTCTGATGGAAATAACAGTCTCATACTTATCATCCACTCTTTGGTTATTCTATACTCCTCATTTAGGTTTTTTTATTTCATTGGATTTTTTGTCCATAAATATGTCATTTCATTTAATAGCTTCTTCTGTGGGGTAAAATAACTATGAATGTGAGTATCAGAAAACAAGCATTATGGATTTCAGACCTTAACTGATGGACAGGGGTCAGAAATACTGAATGAAAGTACTTTAGGGAGAGTAGAAGGATCATGTTTGCCTGCTTACTCTCTATAATAGTCTATTTAAGATTATTTCAGACTGTAGACCATGTGTAATATAATCATTTACAGGAGAAAACAAATAATGATTCTATATAGCATCTTCATAAGCATCTTCTATGAACACTTCTTTTTTGCTAATTCCAGTATACTATATATTTGTTTAAGGTACTAAATTTTTCCAATGTAAAAGCCTCTTTTTCCATAAGTTTTCTTAGCCAGTGGTTCTCTGAAAATTTAGACTGTATCTTGATGTTAGCAAAGTTATGTATAAGTAAAACTTTAATCAATTGACTTTATCACTCTCCCATTGGTATTCAAAACTCATAAATGCAAGTACATTTATGTATTTTATTCACGGATTTATCTTCCATGCTTAGAATACTGCATGGTACAAATTAGGCATTCAGTAGAAAATGGAGTGCTCATCATTATGAACCTCATCTTCCTTTTAATCTCTTTACCTCTGCCACCCTGAGATTTAATCTTATTATTTCATCTAATTGTCATAACCCTCCCCTCTTGAGTACATCTCCAACATTACCCTATGAGAAAGTGGTGTAGCCTTTGATCAAAATTTAAATCAGCTAACCAAGAAACCATTGCTTTCTAAACAACTACGGTAATTTAATCGAAAATTATATTTGGGTATATTTACTGTTCTAGGCACCATCAACTTTAAAATATGATGTTTAATACATTATCCTTATAACCAGGTGAAAGTTTCAATAAGAATAAACAAATTGATAAAACATAGCCATATGGAGAATGCCAATGATCTCTATTCTGTCTCTCACTCATGATCTAGAAAATGCCTTCCTTGCAACCCATTGATAAAAATGCATGAGTACATTGTATATACAAGACATATTAACAAAATCAAATTTCTCCTTTGATATCTGTTGTCATTTTAAACAGGTCCCCACCCAAAATCAGCTTCTAAGTACATTATAAAAAAAAAACATGCAGCAAACAAACATATGAAAAAAATGCTCAACATCACTAATCATTAGGGAAATGCAAATCAAAACCACAATGAGATGCCATCTCACACCAATGAGAATGGCCATTATTAAAAAGTCAAAAATAACAGATGCTGACAAGAGCATGAAGAAAGGGAAACACTTATATACTGCTGAAGGAAGTATAAATTAGTTCAGCCTTTATAGAAAGTAGTGTACATTTTTCAAAATACTTAAAACATAATTGCCATTAGACTCAGAAATTCTATTATTGGGTATATACCCAAAGGAATACAATTTGTTCTAACATAAAGACACCCACACACCTCTGTTTACTACAGCACTATTTTCAATAGCAAAGGCATGGAATCAACCTAAATGCCCATAAACAGTAGACTGGATAAAGAAAATGTGGTACATATACAACATGAAATACAATAAAGCCATAAAAAATGATATCATGTCTTTTGCAGCAACATGAATAAAGCTGGAGATCGTCATCATAAGCAAACTAATGCAGGAACAGAGGACCAAATACCATATGTTCTCACTTATAAGTGGGAACTAAACAATGAGAACAAATGGACACAAAAAGAGTAGAAGACATGAGGGCCTACTTGAAGCTGGAGTGTGGAAGGAAGAAGACAAAAACGAGCAAACAAACAAACAAAATTATTGTGTACTATATTTATTACCTGGGTGACTAAATAATCTGTACACCAAATCCCCATGACACACACTTTACCTGTACAGCAAGGCTACCACCGACCTCTAAACCTGAAATAACATTTTCTTAAAAGAATTATAGTAAACTTTGTAAAATTGAATCATGTTTCAACCAGCCTCTTTATATATAAATATAATAAGCTGTTGAATCTGTCATATCTTTATCATCTACATCCCTGCATTGAAACACACCAATAATTAAATAATTGAACACAGCAATATACTTCAAGTCCTTTAAAACTGGTAAGAACCAGTTTCTATTGTGAAATAAAAAGTAATGATCATGTAATAAACATTTATTTTACAAAAGTAGATATTGTGGTCCTCATTTCTACAGGAGGTTAGCACAAATGGCACTCTCATTCCTGAGGATTTCTGATAATTACCAGCATCACTTTTTTGCAGGCCTAAAGATTTCCTGACTTTTTTAGAATTGGTCCATCATCAGAAGCTTCTGAAGAGAAAAAATTACCACAATCAGAAAGAATATTTTCCTAATTATTTCATGCATTATTTACTTGTGTATTGAGAATAGTTTCTCTTTTATGTATATATGAATGCACCACTTTTACTACACTTGATTGTAGCCAACAGACTCAGAAGCAAAACCACCTATAAAGTAGTATGTAATACATGTGAGGCCTATTTATAGAATAAAATGTTACTAAATAATTTATAGGATGTACAAAAGAGAATTATAAGATAACTGGCAAATGCTGTTGAGTCCTTACCGTACATATGAACAACCAAAAATATATAAAACAATAGACAAAAAATCATTATATTAATTCAAAAATACATAGTGAAATGACATGACAAAATAATTTATAAATAGGATATAGAAATTGAGTCATTTTTACCAACTAAGTGAACATTATTTCGTAAAAACAATCTCAGTTTGCTGATGTGTAAATTAAATTATGTTTGTTCAGCTTCACATAGTAGAAACTTCGCTTCTGTAAATTGTGAACTCACCTGAGGAACATACCTATGGTCTTACCAATGCTTGCTGTAGAAGTAACATGACATCAGTTTAGGGATCAGGACCTCATAGTGTAGCAGTGTTAGCTCTCACAAGTCTCTGCAGCCAAGTGAAGACTGACTATTATAGAGAAGAGTAAGCCTGGTTCCTTGAGTGTCTTTTTATTGAAACTTTGAAGGCCACAACCATGTCTTTCAAGTTATGGCATTTCAGGAGTCTTCAGATCGGTGTAACAATGGATAATTAGGTTTCTTCAAAAGATTGATTTACCTTGGCAAATCTTAAAAAAATCTTCAAATATCATCTCATTAAGAATCATAAATTTTTCAACAATAAACTTCCAAATGATGACTTTTTATCTAAAAGAATTTTTTAAATTTTAAAAAAAAAATATTTTATCAGTTAATAATTTTAGCCAATATCTTGGAATCTTTGGAAATATTTTGCCTGATGTTGGCTTTACATACATATTGTAACTGTAGAAAACATTTTATTTCTTGTATCGATTTATTTTTGTATTTTAATGCAAAAACTCAATGTAAGAACAACTTTGATGCCCACTTCAGAAGGGAGATTTTCCTTACCTCTCACACTCCAGATAAGGCAGCCTAAAATTTTTCTCTTAACAGTGGGATACATAAATGTAGGGAAAAGAAAGAGAGATCAGACTGTTACTGTGTCTATGTAGAAAGGAAAGACATAAGAGACTCCATTTGGAAAAAGACCTGTACTTTAAATAATTGCTTTGCTGAGATGTTGTTAATTTGCAGCTTTGCCCCAGCCACTTTGACCCAACCTGGAGCTCACAAAAACATGTGTTGTATGAAATCAAGGTTTAAGGGATCTAGGGCTGTGCAGGACGTGCCTTGTTAACAAAATGTTTACAAGCAGTATACTTGGTAAAAGTCATCGCCATTCTCTAGTCTCAATAAACCAGGGGCACAATGCACTGCGGAAAGCCGCAGGGACCTCTGCCCTTGAAAGCTGGGTATTGTCCAAGGTTTCTCCCTATGTGATAGTCTGAAATATGGCCTCGTGGGATGAGAAAGACCTGACCATCCCCCAGCCCAACACCCGTAAAGGGTCTGTGCTGACGTGGATTAGTAAAAGAGGAAAGCCTCTTGCAGTTGAGATAGAGGAAGGCCACTGTCTCCTGCCTGCCCCTGGGAACTGAATGTCTCGGTATAAAACCTGATTGTACATTTGTTTAATTCTGAGATAAGAGAAAAACCGCCCTATGGTGGGAGGCGAGACATGTTTGCAGCAATGCTGCCTTGTTATTCTTTACTCTGCTGAGATGTTTGGGTGGAGAGAAACATAAATCTGGCCTATGTGCACATCCAGTCATAGTACCTTCCCTTAAACTTAATTATGATGTAGATTCTATTGCTCACATGTTTTTGTCCTTATTATCACCCTGCCCTCCTGCTACATTCCTTTTTGCTGAAATAATGAAGATAATAATCAATAATAACTGAGGGAACTCAGAGACCGGTGCCGGTGCAGGTCCTTGGTATGCTGAGCACCGGTCCCCTGGACCCACTGTTGTTTCTATATAGTTTGTCTCTGTGTCTTATTTCTTTTCTCAGTCTCTCGTCCCACCCGACTAGAAATACCCACAGGTGTGGAGGGGCAGGCCACCCCTTCACATAATTCTCTGCATGGCATTCCCCAACCCCTCTCAGGGATATAAGAGAGAAACACTACGAAGCATCAGTCCAGAGAACCCCTGTATCAGACCAGAGGAAGGAAGTTGTATTCAGGTAAATCAAAATTTATTTCTACTTGAGAAAATAATTAGGATGGAGAACTTTCCACCACAAGCACATTAAGTCCAGTACTTATGGAGTATGAAGGGATGCTACCCTAAAACTTTGAGAAACCCCCTTCTGATTACAATTGAACTGGATATCTTTCAAACAATCTGAGAGACCCAATCTATGGACTTTGAAGAAGCAGCTCAAATCTGTGCACAGAAGTTTTTAGAAAAGTGCCTTGGTTTCACAAAGAATAGTGTGGGTCAGTGGAATGAGACAATAACACTGAAGAGCTGGAGGTGCAAAATGCTAAGAAGAGTGAAGGAAAAGGAGGGAGCCTCACCTTCTAGGATGCCTCACTTTGTACATAGGTAAAGCTGGACTATTCCACCACAAGGTGTCTATCACGTTGCTGTGTTTCTCTGAGATCTGGGAGTTTTCCAGAATGGAGCCATTCAGAGACAGGACAGGAGGTTTCACTCTGGGGGCAGAAGGCTGAGACTTAGGAGGAATAATCTCTATGGGAAAGATGCAGCTGAGCAGATAGTTGGATGCAGGTGCATAGTGGAAGAAGAGAGAGGAATAAACTTTTAAAAGCTGCAAGTCCCAGAAATCTCCTGACTCTCCAACACCAGTGAATACAGTCATCCAAATGGGGGAGAAGAAGCCAAGGGAAACCTGGAAGAAGGAAATTGGAGATGAGAAGTTGCAAGGGGAAGCTCTTACTGCTCACTAGACAGAGCAAACTCTTAGCCTCAGAAATAAGGAGCAAAGGGAGAAAGTCTGGCTCTTGCTCTGGGACCAACACAGTAGAGAATTATGCAATAACTCCTCCAGACCCCTCTAACATTGCTGGAAGGGACGTCTGTGAGGTTTTCTTGCTCCTATAGTTTCTCTAGAGATTCTAAATTCCAAATTCCATGTCTGAACCAGGAGCTTTCCAGTTTTCTCTGTATATATATATATTTTTTTTTACCAGAGCAGATAAACATACATTACCCCATGCATGCTAAGGTCTTGAAACCGTGTTTTTAAAATTTATGAAATGAATCATGCAAGAATATATAGAGAGAAATGTAAATAAAACAAGCTTGCAAAAGTTTCAGCATTAATCATTATGTCAGCGTGCTCTCTGACCTGCTTTTTGATAGTCATTGCCTATTGTGCTAGAGTCATGTAGACCCTAGATTATAGTTCCTCTTAATTGTCCTATTCTGCAGACTGGTGAAACTACAGACTCTGCTTGTCTGAAAGAGCCCATAAGCAATGGACTCACCAAATAATCCAGTCTCCACATCCTAAGGAGTCCATCCCTCTTGCTCCAAATAATCAACAACCCTAATTTTCCAGCTTTTCACATTTCACAATCTCCTTAAAAATCCCAGCCCAGAACTCTTTGAAGAGATGGATTTGAGGGTCTCCTCCAATCTCCGCATTCAGCACCCTGTGATCATTAAACTTGTTCTCCCTTGCATCTCTGCTATCTCAGTGTGATTGATGTTACTTTACAGCAGCCTTTTACTGTGCAACCTGTTGGTCCTATATCAGTCTGACAATTCTAAATTCCAGCCCAGCCTTAAACGTTGTAATGAAGGTATATAATATTTATCAAACAAGGAAGATAAAAGATATTTATTGACAGTTTGTTAGCTAGAGTTACACATTTTAAACATTTAGATATTTGTAGGTGAGTCTCAGTTTATTTTCTTGCACTGGCTTCATAAGTATGAGAAGGTGTCTGTGAAAAACATTAGATGCTGGTGAGGCTGTGGAGAAATAGAAAAACTTTTACACTGTTGGTGGGAATGTAAATTAGTTCAACCATGTCGAAGACAGTGTGGTGATTCTTCAAGGATATAGAACCAGAAACACCATTTGACCCAGCAATCCCATTACTGGGTATATACCCAAAGGAATATAAACTATTTACTATAAAGACACATGCACGTGTATGTTTATTGCAGCACTGTTTACAATAGCAAAGAAATGGATCCAACCCAAATGGCCATCAATGAAAGACTGGATAAAGAAAATGTGGTACATATACACCATGGAATATTATGCTGCTATAAAAAAGAATGAGATCATGTCTTTTGCAGGAACATGGATGAGGCTGGAAGCCATCACCCTCAGCAAACTAACACAAGAACAAAAAACCAACCAAACACTGCATGTCCTCATTCATAAATGGGAGTTGAACAATGAGAACACAGGGACACAGGGAGGGGAACAACACACTCTGGGTCCTGTCAGAGCATGAGGGACAAGGGGAGGGAGAGCATTAGGACAAATAGCAAATGCATGTGGAGCTAAAAACTTAGATGATGGGTTGATAGGTGCAGCAAACCACCATGGCACATGTATACCTATGTAAAAAACCTGCACATTTTGCACATGTATCCCAGAAATTAAATTAAAATTTTTTCACAAGTGGAAAAAAAAAGCATCTCTTGACCAAGAGACAGGTCTTCTAGGGAGGAATTCAAATTTTCAATCTCTCATCACATTGTGTACCTATAAGTGCCACTTCTTCTTGGGCTGAATTTTAACTCATTGTTGGAGAGTCACATTCAGAATGCCATTCTATCATAGGACTTACATGTGACATGAATGTGTTTACTCCATGTTCTATCCAAATAAAGTCTCCCACTTCTCTTAATTGTTGTGCATCTATATGCATATTCAGTTAGAAATTCATGGAAACCTGTCCAGTAAGCTAAGCTGTTGTTGTCCTGCCTTCTGGTATTGAGTTTCTTGCCTCAAAATGGTTTGTGTCAAAGCCAGGGGCTACAAATTTGCCTATGTGAAGAGGTTAATGAAAATCACATCTGCTGCCTAATATGTGGGAAAGTAGGGCATTCTATTATTCTTACTCTCCCAAATCCCTTAGTTCCCTTTCAATTAAAATTAAAGTTTTCTAGTGCTGTAAAAACATATCTAAAAAAAAAAAACAATTCTTGCTGAAAGGTTAATGGTTAAAAGGATGAGCTGGGTTCAATAACTGAAAACATTTTTTGACACCTAACTTTTTCCAGGCTATTAACTGTTCCCATGTCAGCTTCTTTGATTATTACTTTTTTCTTCATTTTAATATTTAGTTTGCAAATGGTTTTTAAATTGCATTGCAACAAAAAAAGGCAAAATAGCAGAAATATAATAAAGAATATTTTTGTAAAACTAATTTATTTTTCAACTCTACCAAAATTGCCTAATTAAAATGAAAAATAGGCATTAAATTTGTGGTTGGAAGACATGAACAAGAAATGTGTTCCAATTTGTGACAATTTTTTTTTTCAGAAAGTGTTGAACCTACATGAAGATTTCAGCAAAGAATTAACTAAAATAATAACACTAAGCCATTTACTGCAAGTAAGTACAGTTACAAAGATTCAGAAATGCAGGAGATCAATATTAGCCTAAAGCTACATGCCAATGCCTACATCATTCAGCTCATTTCATCTCATCATGTAGGTAATGTATCATCTCACATCATCATCAGCTGGATGTTTCATAGTCCCTTAAATTCAACATGTTCTGTTTTAGCTCATCATTTATTGTATATCTCAAATCCTGAGGCACACGGTCATCTCCTGGGACCCAATAAGACATTCTAAATTATTATTTGGGGTTATTTGGTTAATTAGTGAATTATCTTAGAGTGATAAAAAACAAAAAAGGAAATATTACTTCCTGTTTGCCTTCTCTGAGAATACCCTGTAGCTGTATTAAAGGAGCATTTATAGCTCACCCTGTATTCCCAGCATTTTGGGAGGCTGAAGTCAGATGATAATTTGAAGCCAGGAGTTAGAGACTAGACTAGGCAATATAGCCATATCCTGTCTTTAAGAAAAAAGTAAATAAAAAAATTAACTAGGTGCGATGGCATAAGCCTCTAATCATTACTTTGAAAGCTGAAGTGGGAGGATTACTTGAGCCCTGGAATTCAAGGCTGCAGTGAGCTAAGATTGTGCCACTGCACTCCAGAGGGAGAACTTTTCTCTAGAATTAATAAATAAATAAATACGTGTGCACTTAGAGGAATGCCTGTGCCTTGGAAGAAACTCAAGAAACAGTATTAATTGAATCTTAGTTAATTTCTAGCATACGTTTACCTTGAAAAGATTGATGATAGATATGCTTCATTCAGGCAGTGGTTTTTACAATCAAAGTGTGATGCTAATTTAATCAGTGATGAAAAGGTGTGTACTAAATATTGCATAAACCTAATCATCTCTGTTTCCACCTTTCTTAATACCTTAAATATCCCTGAAGAGGTGAGTATGGTCTTCAAAGATCCATATAAAAGGATGTAGAAGAGACAAGCTCATTTTTCTCCAGAGGAGAAAAACAGCACTTAGAGTTACCTGCATTCAGGTGACCTCTGAAAGTCAACTCTGCAGTGGATGAGCTCCTGATCTTGAGGAGTATTTAACAGAATTTTTTTTGGAAGAATAACTGCAGGAAACATTCATAGAATTCTGGGATGAGTGCAACTTATATGGAGAAAATTATTTCTCCCTTCCTTTACCAAATAATAAATTACAGTGATAAAAATATCTGTCTTAAACCTACTTAATTATATTATTTGTAACTCATATTATTACTATTCATTTTATGACACGAGGTTATTAATTGTTGTTATTTTGTGTATTCCATAAGTGTTCAATATATTTTTGAAAAATTTTAAATATCTAATGTTTGCTGCAATAGATTTGTATGCATCGTGAATATATGGAATTCACATTAAAACATATGTGTGTGCACTGCATGTACTAATATTGGTACACTGAATTAAGTAAAAAGAGACAATTACTGAATACTGTAAATGTTGTGCTTTCATAACGTTAAGCTTTTAGACATGATTTTAAATTACTAAGGCAATGATGAGATAAAATGGTGATACTAAAGGAAATGAGAAGGCTCTCCAAAATACCCTAGCTTAGAAATCAAAACACAATTGTTGAACAGATAAATGTATAAGGCATGATTTGATACATGATACGAGTTGTCATTTTAATTGAAGCTTATGTCAGAAGAAACTATGAAAAATTTCTGGAAACGGCTCAGATGACCTCTGAAAAATATTTGCAATTCTTAAATTTTCACTTTTGGCACTTAAATTCAGCAGTGTTTAGTAAAAGAGAGTAAGGTAAAGGACTTCAAACTGCCAAAGCAAAAATTACAGTTTATATTGGTCAGGGTTCTCCAGAGAGACAGAACAATAGGAGGTATACATATATATATATACACATATATACATATGTATACACATATATATGTATATATGTATATATATATATATACACACACACACACACACAAAGAGAGAGAGAGAGAATACTTACCATTGTGTTACAATTGCCTACAGTATACCATACAGGACATGCTGTACAGGTTTGTAGCCTAGGAACAATATGCTATACTGTATACCATAGGTGTGTAGTAGGCTATACCATCTAGGTTTTTGTAAGTATAATCTACGATGTTCAAACAATAACAAAACTGCTGAATGCATTTCTCCGATCATCTATCTGTCCTCACTCTACACATGACTATACAGGAGAGGAAGTCTACTAGGGGAATTGGTTCCCTTGATTATGGAGTCTGAGAAGTTGAATATAGCCTGCCATTAAGCTAGTGTCCTGGAGATACCAATATCGTGGCTGAGTTAGAATCAGCTTCAGCAGAGAGAGAGAGAGAAGAAATTGCCTTCTCTCTGCCCTTTTTCTTCAGTCTGAGCTCCCAGCTTGATTGGATGGTGTCCACCCACATTGAGGGCTGCTGTTCCCCGCTCAGCTCACCAACTCACATGTCTCTCTGGAAACACCTTCACAGACTCACCCAGAAATAATGTTTCACTAACTCTCCATGTATTACTTAATCCAGTCAAGTTGACACTTAAAATTAACCATAATACCATAGTAATGTAATTATACATGTTTCAGTTTTTAAAAAATTGACTATATGTCAGTTCAGAGTTTGAGTAGCCAAAGGAAGAAGTTAATGTAATCCGTAAGAAAAATAAACCCAATATCTTTCATTATGTATTTTCTCTACTAGTGAACCTAAACTGGTTTAATTGCTGTTTTTTGTTTATCTGGTTAATTGGTTTTCTTGCAGGGTTGATTTTTATTTTAAAGAGATGGGCTTCTGGGTCCCTCTCTAAAAACACATCATAGTGCCCTCTGTCCATCTTCTCATATTTTTTTAGCCAATGTAGGTTTTGTACTTCTCTTCCATAGTCATTCAGTAGTTACTTGAAACAGAAATAGGGACAACCTTGATTTATTCTAGACAACTTAAGACTAAAACCTGAGTTTCATATCGACATCTAGGGAATAGGTTCTTGAACAGATTTGCATTATGTTATGGGCCGGAACTACGAATAGAAGGGGTTGTGAGTCATCTAGTCAGTAATGTCTGCTATAAAGCCTGAAGGCTCTCCTTGTGTATGAATTTTTTTATTTTTGTTACAGAGGAAATAGTTTGTTCTGCTTTAATCAGCACTGTCGAGAAGAAAATATAGCTATCACATATCACCACATGTACATAGATTTTCACCAACCCAGACCACAAAATGACATGTTGCTCTTCCTTCTTCAGAAACATGAATTCTGGAATCTCGCAAGTCTTCCAGAGGGAACTCAGCTGCCCCATCTGCATGAACTACTTCATAGACCCAGTCACCATAGACTGTGGGCACAGCTTTTGCAGGCCCTGTTTCTACCTCAACTGGCAAGACATCCCAGTTGTTACTCAGTGCTTTGAATGCATAAAGACAACACAGCAGAGAAACCTCAAAACTAACATTTGACTGAAGAAGATGGCTTCCCTTGCCAGAAAAGCCAGTCTCTGGCTATTCCTGAGCTCTGAAGAGCAAATGTGTGGCACTCACAGGGAGACAAAGAAGATGTTCTGTGAAGTGGACAAGAGTCTGCTCTGTTTGCTCTGCTCCAGCTCTCAGGAGCACCGGGATCACAGACACTGTCCCATTGAGTGGGCTGCTGAGGAACACCGGGTAAGTGATGCCTCTGAAGATCTATTTCTCCAAAGGACACATGAAATTCCTGTGGGTCTATTTTCTTGGAGATTGGATGATGCCATCTCTGTGTCCCTTTAAACATCTCTGTTATGAGCTTCCTTGGCTTCAACCCTCTCAGATTTGACAAACATGAAGAGAAACAAAGGAAACACTATTTCCTATAGGCTGATTTGTGTCTCATTCTGGGCCCCTTCATATATCAGAGTGTGAATGATACTTTATTGTCTTCATTGGTGCTCCAATTCCTGGCTCTTTTGCAGGAGAAGCTCCTAAAGAAAATGCAGTCTTTATGGGGAAAAGCTTGTGAAAATCACAGAAACCTGAACATGAAAACCACCAGAACCAGATGCTAGAAGGTTAGCCTTGTAATACTCTACCTTCTCTAGGAACTTGCACTGGGCAAATGGGTGACTCTTAAAATAGGAACTTGATCTCAACCCATAATGTATCTGGAATTCAATAAAAAAGGAAAAAACAGTTGAGAAAAAAATAGCCTATTTTTTATGTAAGATATTGTGATTCTTTGATAGGATTTCTAACCAAACCACAGATGTTACCCAAGCATGCTCATCTGTTTCCATACAAACCTATAGCAATACACCAACAAACACAAGAAACTGGGCCATTTCACACTGCTCCCCATGGGCTGCCTGAATAAATCCTGGGCACAAGAGTTATTTGGCAGTCATGGAAATTTTAGGTGAAACTTCTGAAGCTGAGTCAGCATGAATTTGAATCCTGGTGGGCAAGTATATTTGAAATGTGAATCAAATTTCAGACAGAAGGAGCAACAATGCAAATTTAGGGAAAGCATGAAATTAAGCATCTGAACTAATTAATATTGAATAAATCATAATGCATAATGGGAAAAGTGAGAAAGGTAGACTTGTCTTGATGAAGACATAAATATGCAAGAAATATGGCAACTAGTATTTAATATAAGGAGCACTCTAAGGACTTGAGAAGAATTCTAGAAATGTTTTCTCTTTGTAGATGTTTCTCTTGAGGGTATGATATCTAATATTAATTCATTAATTCATTCTAATATGAATTCATTGAAAATATTTTATAAGTACCTAGTCTATGTCAAATATCAACTTAGAAAATTAAGTAGTAAAGAAGGAAGAAAACATACAAATCTTGCAATGGAAATGAGAGAAGCAAATGGCCATCATGCAGATATGTGAAATACACACATACACATATCACACAGATACACATATATATTCCTCATATATATCCATATATACATATATATGAAGAATATATGAGTATATATATGAGAAATATATATATGAGTATATATATGAGAAATATATATATGAAAAGAATTCTAGGTATAGAAAACAGCACGTGCAGTAATATTGCATTTGCATTTATTTGGGATGTTGAGGAACCACAAAGCAGCCCATGCTGCAGATTAGGGTGAGGTTGGAAGAGAATAAATGAAACCAATTAGACTATGTTATGCTGGGTGAAATGCATTGAGCTGACAACGCTAGTATGAGGTCATTTCATCATTTCTCATATAATGGGTTTACATAACTTGGCCCAATCCTCCAAAATAGAAATAATGGTTTTCTATCTAGTCAATATAGCTCAATAGTTTAATTCTTAAGCAAAAACTGTGTTTTCTTTGTATAAATGTGGGTTGGAAGAGAGAAATCCATTTTTATATAACTATCTTAGAAAACATTTTATCATTAATCAAGTAAACATAACTGAAACAACTATGTTGTTATTAACGCAGAAAAAAGGAGAGGAATAACATTTTGTGGAATCTGAGAACTGACAAGACTGAGGGCTAAAATATTGGATATTCAGGATGCTAAGAGGAATCAGTGAAATTCAAAAGAAGATGGATACAACATTTCTATTTTGACCAATTGTCACTGCAGGATTATGTGAGTTTAAGGATAGAAGTAATCAGAGCTGAATATCAGAAGATGCCTGCATTTCTCCATGAAGAAGAGCAACATCACTTGGACAGGCTGCAAAAGCAGGGCAAGGACATTTTTCAGCAACTCAATGACAGCAAAGCCAGAATGGAACATGCGAGGGAGATTTTAAGAGGAATGTATTAGGAGCTGAAGAAAATGTGCCATAAAGCAGATGTGGAGCTACTCCAGGTACAGACTGACCATGGGGTATCGGGATGTTGAACATTCACATGCATGGGTGTTTTTCCTCTCTCCTGAAATCCATCTCCCCCTTTACTTCCATGATTTGTTTCCAAAAACACATTTCTATAACTAATGCTGCTTTGATGGGAGGGTATAGCCTCTCCTAGTAATTCTACCAGACCTAAGGTCCCTCCTACTTTATCCACCAGCAACAAAACTTTGTGGGACGGTCAAGGTAACAGCCCCCCAAAATATTTACCATCAAAAGTCAATGGTATATTTAGGATTTTTGAAAGCAGATAAAATGAGAAGTGATTCGTTGGCATTTAGATTAATTTGGATGCATGGCACGATGGAGAAGTTGGAAAATCTAGGATCACACTAGTATTATTTTGGGGTCCACTCATTTTGGCAACAGGGCTTAGGGAAGATGACTGAGTAGCATTTCTATGGTTACAGCAGAGCGTAGACTCTGTGGGCCTCCTCTCCCTTCACTTATAAAGAGAATGTCTTCAAAACTTAGACTTTATCAGAACATCAATTCATGACAATATGATAGACTGGGATTTTCACAAGAAAAGAAAGAGAAAATGCTTTCCAGGAGGGACAATGGTAGGGAAATAATATCTTCAGAAACTGCCTCCAAATCTCACACTGAACTTAGTGGAAGATGCATCTTGTGGAAAACACTAAGCCTTTATCTTTTTATAGGCTTTTGGAGACATATTACACAGGTGAGAGTGTACCAATATTTTAGTAGATGTTTGTTCAGTTTCCACAAATATCAAGCAGGAACTTTGATATTGAAGGCATAATTGATTCAGCTATTGATACTACTTTATCCTGGTTGTACTTTATCCATCCCCCACCCCATGTAGTCATCTATTTTGTTACCATACTTAGTTATTTTATTAGGCAGTTCAATGAAAGTTCTGCAAAACCATAAAAACAAAAAATAAATAAATGAAAGAATAAAGAAAGTGAACATCTCTATTCCTAATTTCCTTTTTGTTGCTCAACAGCCTGCATATTTGAAGGAGAAAATGTTACATTTTCTACATGGCTACAAAGCCAACCAGGGGAAGCCAGAGAGAAAAGTGTTTGAAAGTATCTTAGCAGTGAAAAGTGTTGATGATTTCTTGTTTATATTTAAATATATAATTCTGAAAAACAGATGAAACAAACTGTCAGAATGTTAGAACTGTGTAGGCCTCCAGAGAACCTGAGCTATAAAAGGCAGATCCCCCTGCCTGGATCAAGTTTCAACACCCTGGCCTTGAAAAGGAAGCAACGAATACAGCAGCCTTCAAATAACCCCACTTTCCCAGACAGTGATTTCAGGGAAGCCTGGTGAGTTCTGGAACCAGAATTTCACTTTTGAATATTCTCCTAGCCTTAAGACTAATGATCCTTACTAATTTGGAGCAATAAGAAGAAAGATCAGATTGAATTCTCACTCAGATAGACTTTTCCATCATGCCTGAAAATCAGGAACTGTGAATAATAATGAATTTGAAAAACAAAATGATAATTTTGGAATTAGCGAATGTGTGGGTTAAAGGGATTCTCATGAAATGTCTTTTGAATAAATGTAGTGATTTTTATGTGTGTGTGTGTTCTTTCTTTTTCTGTGGATGTAGTAACTGCATCTTTCTCCTTGCAGGGGTGAGTCCCTGCTGCTGCAAGTGCCCAAGCCTGTGAGCTCAGTGCAGGGCCCATCACTGGACTGCTGGACAGTCTCAATGGATTCAGAGGTGAGTGTCAGCCCATTGGCAGAATTTCTACAATGAATTACTTCTTGTTAGAATCATGAGCATAATATTTTACCCTTCATCAAATCCGTTTTTCATTTCAGAAGGAAGTGAACAATATGACTATGCAACCCTTTTATATCTGTGTTTCTATTTATACTCCAGTTTATAACTTGAAGGGTAAAACATAGTGAAAAACAATTATGTTCTGGGCTCACATGTATTGAGTTATATATTGGGTAAAAGGAATGACATAAGAAATAAAAAATTGAGTAAGTGTACTAATGGTGAGATGGAAGTTTAATAATCCAATGTTACATAAAAATTGTACATTCCTTTACAGTATTTTATTTGAATTGTTAAAAACGGTTATCTGGGAAATAGAGTTCACCACAATTTGTTGGAGTATTTGTATTTACTTACAATAAATATATACTATTGATATAATGTAAAAATTTGACTTAATACTATGTAAAAATAGAAATGATAATTTCAGTTTAGTTACAACATGCAGAGTTATGTGTAAAATCTAAAATTCAGTTTCTGTCTAGAGCTAGCAGGGAAGTCCACAGAGTGACCGGTAAAAGATTTTGCAGAAATCTGCCTTAAGTTATCACTTATAATTTGGACATATGGACTTTTATCCAGTTATCTAGAGTAGTGCTTGAGTAAGTGAAACTCTTCCCATTCTTGCCAAAGTTATATCACTAGTATTTAAGAACAAGAAATATTTTAATAATAATGACCTTGATAGCTAAAGGGCAGTCAGGGCATATAATATCTCACTTTCACATTGGAAATTGGATTAAAACAGGCTGGTCTTATATTTGACTCTCAATTTTTGAGTTTCCAAATTTTCAATGTCTGTTTTTAGGGTTTTGTTTTTCCTGTAGAGAATATTAATCTTCCTTGTCCTTTATTAAATGTTATAATCAAAATTATCCTGTTCTTGTAACTTCAAATTCCTTGGTAAAGTAGATACTTGGTAGAACAATTTTTCCCTCAAGAATTTTAACTTTTATTATTTACACGTGTCCATACTTTTTTTAAAAAAATTTGCAGTTGATATTACTCCGCATCCTGAAAGAGCCAATAGTCATATCTTCCTGTATGGAGACTTAAGAAGCATGAATGTTGGATGTGACCCTCAAGATGGTCCCCGCATCATGGCAACATCTGAATGTTTTCCTGAGTAGAGCGCTCAGACTTTCACATCTGGCAAATATTATTGGGAGGTTCATGTGGGGGACTCTTGGAATTGGGCTTTTGGTGTCTGTAACAATTATTGGAAAGAGAAGAGACAGAATGACAAGATAGATGGAGAGGAGGGACTCTTTCTTCTTGGATGTGTTAAGGAGGACGTTCACTGCAGGCTCTTTACCACACCCCACATGTGGTGCTATATGTTCCAAGGCCTAGCAGCCGAGGAGGATTATTCCTGGATTGTGAAGGTAGAACCATGAGCATTGTTGATGTTGATCAAAGTTCCCTTATATACACCATCCATAATTGCTCCTTCTCACCTCTTCTCAGGCCTATCTTTCACTGTAGTCACCTCTGACCAGAGACAAATTGGTAATGTGTCCACATGCTGTGTAAACCCCTTTATCGCAGGAAGTCCTCCTTTTTGTGCCTCATCAAAGAGGACAAATAAGTTATATTTAATGTGTTTAGTTGCCTTCTAATGTCATCACAACTCATTAATACGGTTTCTATTAAATATGGTGAAAAAACTAAAACCATGTGTATTGGTTCTTTGTTTAATCATTTTTGGAAAATCATTACCCATGATGGATGGCATAGAATATATTCTCTGGTTTTTCATTATTTCTGAATGTCACAAAGTGAAATCAGAGATGACAGAGGTGTCTAAATGAAGATAAAATCAACGGAAGAAAGTAGGAATCTTGTGCTTCTTCAAAAAACTTGGAGTAAAAAGACTCAATGGTAACCTGGAAATATTTTCTTTCTCTTCATCTAACAATATTATACTTATTCATGTGTTTTATTTCTGAATCCATACCTTGAGGTAATCTTATTTGACCTCCTATGCTGTGCTTATCTTTGTAAATCTCATCTTATACACAAATGCTCATGCATTATTAAGAGTGCTGTTCTAAAGTGAAATTTACAAGGTGATCAGGACAATGCTGGATCAATTAAATATTCAAATGGAAATGACTGAATACTGACCCCTATCTCAAACCATACAGAGTTCATTTCCACATGGATTCATGTTGTGAAGGTGAAGGGAACATAATAAAATATTCTCATAGAGAAAGATTTCTTGACCTGGACAAAAAAGTAACAATTAAGAAGGAAAATTTAGTTAGTTTATATCAAAAATAATGACTTCTGTGTTTCAAAATATACCATCCAAGAATTAAAATGGAAACCAAGAGTGGAGAAAAATATTTATCTCAACTTATATGAAACAAAATGCAATACATGTGATTAATGAATGTCATAAATAAAAGAAAATGAACCCGATATAAAATTGGGTAAAATATTTGAACAGGCACTTCATAAAATTGGAGGCATAAATAACTGGCCAAATATGAAAAAGGGATTACTTTTATTAGTCCTCAGAATTATAAAAATTAATCCACAAGTTGAACTACAGGCCTTCATAAAAATTAGCAAAATTTAAATACACATAATAACCCCATCAACATGTGGGCAAAGGATATGAACAGACGCTTCTCAAAAGAAGACATTTATGCAGCCAAAAGACACATGAAAAAATGCTCATCATCACTGGCCATCAGAGAAACGCAAATCAAAACCACAATGAGATACCATCTCACGCCAGTTAGAATGGCGATCATTAAAAAGTCAGGAAACAACAGGTGCTGGAGAGGATGTGGAGAAATAGGAACACTTTTACACTGTTGGTGAGACTGTAAACTAGTTCAACCATCGTGGAAGTCAGTGTGGCGATTCCTCAGGGATCTAGAACTAGAAATATCATTTGACTTAGCCATCCCATTACTGGGTATATACCCAAAGGATTATAAATCATGCTGCTATAAAGACACATGCACACATATGTTTATTGCGGCACTATTCGCACTAGCGAAGACTTGGAACCAACCCAAATGTCCAACAATGATAGACTGGATTAACAGAATGTGGCACATATACACCATGGAATACTATGCAGCCATAAAAAAGGATGAGTTCATGTCCTTTGTAGGGACATGGATGAAGCTGGAAACCATCATTCTCAGCAAACTATCACAAGGGAAAAAAAACCAAACACCACATGTTCTCACTCATAGGTGGAAATTGAAAAATGAGAACACAAGGACACAGGAAGGGGAACATCACACACCGGGGCCTGTTGTGGGGTGGGGAAGTGGGGAGGGATGGCATTAGGAGATATACCTAATGTTAAATGACTAGTTAATGGGTGCAGCACACCAACATGGCACATGTATACATATGTAACAAAACTGCACGTTGTCATGTACCCTAAAACTAAAAGTATATAAAAAAAGAAAGAATCAATGAAAGTTATTCATGACTGGAGGGGTATAAACTGAAATACTTTTTGGCAAACTGACTATGAGCATTCCTTATTGGCTAGATACTCTAATTCTAAAATATATTCCACTGACTGCCTATGTATATTTTGAGATAAACATAATGTTGATCTTTGCATCAATTTTCATAGTAGCTCCAAATTGGAGACAAAATAAATATTCATCGACAGTAGAATTGCTAAATAAATTGTGATCTCATCATACAAAATAATTCTATAAAACAAAGAGAATAACACCAAAATGCAACAAATTAATGAATCCCAAGTTTAAGAAAGAAGTTTAAGAAAAAGAATTGAAACACACAAATGTTATATTACAGTGTTTTATTTATATAAATTGCAAACTCCATTAATTAGTATTAGAAGTTAGAATGTTGAATAATATTTTAGGAAGGTAATGGTTAGGAAACGTAAAAATAACCAGGATAAGATCCAGGCAGCATTGCAATGAAGGAGAGAAACTATGAGTTTTTTCATGAAGAAGAGAATGATATATGTATTGTTTAATATTGTAACATGTAAGAAAAGTTTGAAATAGATAAATTCAATTTTATGCCTAATTTTTCAAATGTGTAAATATATAATTTCTTTTATGATAAGTTAATATCAATCAACATTAAGACATAAACCATGCTTTTTTGTTATTATACTTTAAGTTCTGGGGTACATGAGCAGAATGTGCAGGGTTTTTACATAGGTATACATGTGCCATGGAGGTTTGCTGCACCTGTCAACCCGTCATTTACATTAGGTATTTATCCTAATGTTGTCCCTCCCCTGGCTCCCCACCCCCCGACAGGCCCCGGTGTGTGATATTCCCCTCCCTGTATCCATGTGTTCTCATTTTTCAACTCCCACTTGTGAGTGAGAACATGCAGTGTTTGATTTTCTGCTCTTGTGTTAGTTTGCTGAGAATGAGGGCTTCCAGCTTTATCCACGTACCTGCAAAAAAAATATGAACTCATCCTTTTTCATGGCTGCATATTATTCCATGGTGTATATGTGCCACATACATTTTTTTACAGTCTGTGAAGAGATTCACAGAATATTACATTTAAAGACCTGTAATTACCTCCTCATCTCTCCTGTGTAACACAATCTTAAACTACAAAGGAAAAGATAAGGAATGTCATTGCCCTTGGGACATTGGTAAAACTAATTGAACTTTGGAAACGGGAAAAGAAAAAAGAGGAAAAAAAAATATGTGGAGGATTTAGACCTACATCTGAAGGTGGGACAGGATCACTAAGAAGGTTCCAGCCAGGCGTGGTGGCTGACGCCTATAATCCCAGCACTTTGGGAGGCTGAGGCGGGCGAATCACCAGGTCTGGAGATCGAGACCATCTTGGCTTTAGTCTCTACTAAAAATATTAAAAAAAAAAAATTAACTGGTCATGGTGGCTGGTGCCTGTAGTTCCAGCTAACTTGGGAGGCTGAGACAGGAGAATGGCGTGAATCCGGGAGATGGAGCTTGCAGTAAGCAGAGATCATGCCACTGCACTCCAGCCTGGGCAACAGAGCGAGACTCCGTCAAAAAAAAAAAAAAAAAAAAAAAAGGATTCCAACCATGCAGACCCAGAAACAGTGTCAACCTATGACTGAGCTTCATCAGAGTGACAGAAAATGCTTCTCCATCCTCATCTCCACCCCCAACTAGGCTCACAATTGTTGAGTAACAGGTCAAAGCAGTGTCTTCTGGGGGACTGAACAGAATTTGGAAGGAAACTTAAATGTGAGGATACAGCAGATATTAAGAAATGCTGCTGAACCAGTCCAACCTGAAACACAAAGTAATGCTAGATGAGCGTGAAACTTATGGTGCCCTGGAAATAACTCTAAGAGGGAAAAGTCCCAAAACCAAATCAACTCCTGACTAGATTGATTCAACCTCCTCCCCCAAAACACACACATACAGCCTAGTAAAAGGGAACACATGTGGGTTTTGATTTCTACATTAGTCTACTCTACATAGTTCACTTTTTGGGTAAAACTTACCAGACATGTATAGAAACAGAAAAGATACATAAAGGAAACACTGTTAAGAGACTAAGCAATAAATAAAGCCAGATTCAATGTGGCAGAGGTGTTGGAATTATCTTTCAAGTAGATCTTATGCGTACTGTTCTAGAAGCCCTTAGTAGGATATAAAGTCCCTTTTTTATTATACTTATATGACAAGAGTCATTTTATCCTCTTATATAAAAGATATTTCCAATTCACATTCATCTCCATATTGGCAGTTACATTTTTGACACTTTACAAATATTAGTCCACCGTCTTATACTTACATTTATGATTTATGATTGTGGAGCAGTCTGTTGTCATTCTATTAAGTGTTCCCTCACAATGAAACAGTTTATTTTGGCTGCTTTTAAGAGATTCTTTATCTTTGGTGGTGGTTTCAAACTTAAAATATCATAATGAATCAGCCACCAAAGACAGAGAAATACTAAAAATCAGTCAAAATATATTGTTTTGCACATTCAAAACAAAGTAAATTTATGTTTTACACATCCAAAATGGGGATTGTTTGGCTTCCTGAATTCAATAATGTATTTGTTTACTCTGAAAAAATTATCAAACATTATATCCTTGAATATGTACTCTCCTCATCTTCTCTACTTAGCTCCCCTTTGTGCTACAGCCAATCACACATTATGCTGTTTATAAAGGACATACGTGATACTCTCATCCTCCATATGTCACTACTACTCTCCTAGTTTACCTCTATTTGTCCATCTGTGAAGCCCTCATGACATCTCTTTACATCTATTATCCAGTTCACATTTTCTGCAGCTTCATTTAAGTTGCTAAGCAAAGTTTTCACTAAACAGCAAATTTTACTTATTTCACTTTTTATTAATATAAATTATAATTTTTATTCTTCAATGACTGCCGAATGTGAAAAAATTCATGTATATGTTATATATATTTACATATGTATGTGTTATATAGACATACACAAAATTGCTATTGGTAACGGTGGTTTTCATAGGAGTCTATAGCTACTGGAGATTTCATTGTTCCTTAAAGATATTATATTTCCTTAAAAATATTTTCTTAAAGATATTCTATTTCTTAATTTATAATAAGGATAATTCTTATGCTTTTATTAAAAACATAAATTAATAGGCCGGGTGCAGTGGCTCACATCGGTAATTTCAGCTCTTTGAGATAATGAGGCAAAACGATCACTTGAGCCCAGCAGTTTAAGGCTGCAGTGAGCTGTGATTCCACCACCACACTCCAGCCTGGGCTACAGAGCCAGAAAATATATATATAATATATGAATTGACAGTAATACATTAATACATTAAAACCAGAGATCAAGTCTTAAAAGCAACAGCAAAGTGCATTTCCAGTCTAGTTCAGTGACTATTAGAATTAAAGCCAATTTCAGGCAAAACATTTCCAAAAACATAAGAAAAAAAAAAGAAAAAGGAGAAAAAATATTCCAGACTTCTGAAGACATTTATTAAAATCATAAATTGATGGTATCCTCTTTCCCATCCTTTGATGAGTAAAATATTCAAGTACTCCAAAAATTATCCACAAATTTGGTATTTGAGGGTTCATTTGTTGTAAACTCAGTGGTTCTTGATGAGAGGAAGTTTAAAGTGTGTTTATGGAGATTAGCCAAGGTGTCGAATCAATCATTTCCTCTCTTCTGGTGAAATCTAATCAAGAACCCTAACGGCTATCCCAAACTCCAAGAAATGTACAACCTTTTCAAAATGAGTGTGATTTTTCAGAGATTCAATATAAAGAGGTACAAGGAGCCAAGCTCATTCTTCTCTGGGACACACAGAGTGGCTTTGGAACTGGCTGTGAAGATGTCTGAAAGCTACTACCGCTATATGGTGAGGCCCTGATCCCTGATCAGACTTTATATTATTACTTCTACAGCAAGTATCAGTGAGACCATAAGTATATTTCTAGGGTGAGAACACAGCTAACAGAGGAGGAGTTCCTGCTAGTTTTCCAATCCAAAACAGACTGCCCTACGTTGAATTTTTCAACAAACTGAGCTTGTTTCTATGAAATGATGTCATTTGCTTAATTAGTAAAAATGTTTTTACTCTTATTTTGTTATCCTGTCTTCCTACATACTTGTGAACTACAGTGAAGATTAATTTTACTTGTATCATTTATGTATTCATTAGTTGTTCCTATGTATTCTAAGAACTCAGAAAATAGTTTTCAGATATCTTGCAATTTTATACTTGTATATCCTAAATTTTATGGAGAATATTTTATTCCATATGTTGTGTATAAATGTATTACCTTCAATTCTGAAGGTGGCACATAAATATATGCACAAGACAAAATATTCTATAATATACAATTTAGGTAATATGTTGAATAATTTGAGGGTAATATTGTGTTTTAGAATATACTAAATGCCTCTTTAGCATTTTTGGGTGAAATCTGATCAAATTTTGGGTGAAATCTGATCTGATGAAATTTCACCAAATGTTCAGTAAATAAATATTGCTTATTTATTTAGAAATTATTTTGCAGTGGTGGCTTGTGATTGAGGATTTTCGAAATACTTTAAAGGAGAAAATTATGACATCAAAATGAAATAATGAGAGTAAAATCTCAGTGAAATACAGTTTCCTAAACCAATCACTTTTTTCTTTTGTACTAAATCGATCTTTCCTAAACCAATCACAATGAGCATTAAGAATGGTTTTCAGAATATTCAGGACCCATCATCTATGGTGTAAATTGGTCCCAATTTCATACTCTTAAACCTCAAGCTTTTTGGAGTAAAGTCAAAACTCAACAAAATGGAGGTTTCTTTTCTCCTTTTCTTTCTTTTCTTTTCTCCTTCCTTCCTTCCTTCTTTTTCTTTCTTTTTGTGACAGGTATTGTTTTATTGCCCAGGCTGAAGAGCAGTGGCTCAATCTCAGTTGACTGCAACCTCAGGGTTCAAGCGATTCTTCTGCCCAGTCCCCTGAGTGACTGGGATTACAGGCGTGTGCCACTACTCATGGCTGGTTTTTGTATTTTTAGTAGAGATGGGGTTTCCCCATATTGGCCGGGCTGGTCTCCAACCTGATCTACCAGCCTTGGCATCCCAAAGTGCTGGGATTATAGGTGTGAGCCACCATTTCTGGCCTCTCTGAGGTTCATTTTTCTATACAAAAGAAAAGGGTAGGATGTAGTGCCCTGTGAGTTATGCATGCATCTGACAATTTTACCTACAGATCTGAGAGCTCTCTTTGTGCCTCAGGTTCTATTTTTGTCTTATGCAAAATAAAGCCTATTCTACTCTAGACAGAAGTGTATCATTGAGTCACAACCTGAGTCAAATTTTGCTTTGGTCTTTGTTTCTCAGGGCATAAGATGAAGAAGTTTGAATCATACCTTTCCTAATTTCCTTCCTTCAGGAAATTGGTCTCAGACATCACACAAGCCTTCCAGAAAGAAAGAATCCATCTGCCTCTTCTGTCTGAACTAATGTGTAGACCCCATTGCCACAGGCTGCAGCCCCAGCTTCTGTAGGCCCTGTCTCTGCCTTTCCTAGGAAGAAACCAAAATTCCTACCTGCTGCCCACATGCTGGGAACTGTCACAGCAGGAGGACTTCAAAACCAATATTCTTCTGAAGAATCTAGTGTCCGTTGCCAGAAAAGCCAGTCTCTGGCAATTCCTGAGCCCTAATGAACAAATGCGTGGGATCCACAGGGAGACAAAGAAGATATTTGGAGAGGTGGAAAAAGAGCCTGATTCATTTGCTGTGCTGGAACTCTCAGGAGCATGGGGTTCACACACACTGTGAGGGGCAGCTAAGGAACACTGGGTAAGTGATGGCTCTGAGAGCACTTTGAAAGCTGGAGGATGGCACAGGTAAAGAGATTAGGGGAAGATGAAGAGCATGATGATTAATCTGCTCTGTACTGGATGTCGTGTAGTGCCTAGGTATCAATGATAAAATAATAAATATAATCTGAGTGTGCTTTCCTTCCTGGAGCTTACATTTCACTGAGGGAGTGATGAAGTTAATAATCATTGTAATAATTTGACTACTTGATGCAGTGTTCAAGGCACTGTAAAGAGCTCAATATCAGAAGAGTTTCTGGCTATCCAAACTACAAGTTAAAAAGTCTTTTCTATAAGAAACCTATTTACCAACACTGGAAATAATAGAATAAAACACGTTAGAATTAGCAGGGCACGGTGTCAGTAGATTCCAATTCTGATGCAAGGTGCCACATTATCTGTAAATTAGCCCTGCCTATGATTTTCCTATTAAACTTGCTGCGTTACACGTTGTGGTTCTACAGTCCGAGATCTTCCCAAATCTCTTTCATATCTCATCCCTTGATTTCTTTATCACTGGGGGTCTGAAACCTAAAATGATTTGCTTCTCTGATGTTCACATTCATAGTTCTTTTACAGGAGAAGATTATGAAGCAAATGAGATGTTTGTGGGCAAAAATTCAAGAAAACCAAAGAAATTTAAATGAGGAAAGCAGGAAAACCAACCAGTGGATTGCAAGTATTAGGCCTTTTCCCTCAGAGTTAGCCTCAGACAGACATGCTAGAAATGTATCCACTTATCACTTGAATGGAAATCATCTTGGTAGATTTGAGGAAGATTTTTCTCATGGCTTCCAATCCTGAGGGTACAATGCAGCATTGATTAATGCTCAGGGAGAGTGGTCAAGCTATGGAGTAGGAAGACCTGGTACTAAAAACTAATTTAAAAACACAGAGATCATAACACTGCAAAAAATTATTTGTGAATCAACCATAAATTCCAATGGCTCTCATGTAGGCTTTCAGATATCAATGGATATATATTGAAGAAACGATCAATAATAACCTTTCTTCAGGTGTTTTAGGAAGTCATATAATGAATGAAAGTGGTTTGAGGAACGAATGAATTTGGCTTTCAGTATTATTAAGAAACAATACAAATAAATGAAAGGAAGACAGGAATGATCTATTTCATGGTTCTGTCAAGTGGGAAGACACGAGTTTATGTACTTAGCTTATTGGTAGAATACATGAGTCAGGCTAGGCTCAGTGGTTCATATCTGTAATCCCAATACTTTGGGAAGACCACTTGAGACCAGGAGTTTCAAACCAGCCTGGCCATCAACATAGTGAGACCCTGATCTTTATTATACAGAAAAGATGAAAGAGATAAAGAAAAGGAAATGAGTCAAAGTGAATAGAAGAGGTATAAGTGGAGGAGGATGAATTCAGAGTAAATATGTCATCTAGGAAATCTAGGTCCCTGCAGTGCTATGTGTAGCTATGGGCAGAGATGACTACAGCTGAGTAGAGGAAGCTGCATTCAGTTCCCCATGAGAAGTAAAACAACACTTAGAGAAACTTACAACCATGATGACAGAAAGATTTTACAGCAACTTAAGAAAAGCAAAAAGACAAAATGGTTCAGAAAAAAAAAACACCTAAGAAAAATCTATAAGGAGCTGATAAAAATGTGCCATAAACTAGATATGGAGCTGCTCCAGGAAAGAACCAATAATATGCCTAAAAAAATTTTGTAGTATTTGAAGTTCATACCTTACAACAAGCTTGCCCAACCCACGGTCCGTGCGGCCAAGGACGGCTTTGAATGTGGCCCAACACAAATTCCTAACCTTTCTTGAAACATGAAGAGATTTTTGTTTGTCATTTTATTAAAGCTCATCAGCTATAGTTAATCTTAGTGTATTTCATGTGTGGCCCAAGACAATTCTATTTCTAATGAGGCCCAGGGAAGCCAAAAGATTGCACACCCCTGGCTTAGGTGATATTATTTATTCAACACCATAGATATGTGTGTGTGGGGGGGGTATATATATATGTATATGTGTGTATACATACATATATGTACCATATATATCATATATGTATCTCCTGCTTCTAAGAGGGAGGAACTTTTCCAAATAGAAATAACATAGGTGAAATGTAATTCTTATCCTAACCATGAACAAGCAAGCTTTTTTGGAATCTTTGAGTGGATGTAATTTTATATTCCCCTTTATCAAACACTGACCACAGGGAATATTCCCCTCTAATAAGCTTCTTTTGTAGCTTTTTTCTGAAAAACTGGACAAATGTAATGTGGGAGTCAGACAGCATGTGTCACTAAGCTGAGAGCAGTGACATATGCAGGTGACATTCGCATGTCCTGGCAGCATTGTCCAGCAAAGTCTTCCTTTCTTTGGGGATGGACCCTCCCTCCTCACCTGGAGCAGCTCCACGTCAGGCATGAGGCACGTCTCCCACAGCTCTCTGTACATGTCTTTCATCCTTTCTAAATGTTGGGTCATTCTCACTTGACTGTCTTGTAGTTGTTGGAAAAGCTATTTGGCTTCGCTGTCCAGTGCCTGCAGATGAAGTTGCTTCTCCTCATCGAGAAATAGATGCATCTTTTGATATTGAATATTGATTATCACCTTACTTAATGACACATAGTTCTGCGGAGACATTTGGTTAAAAGGATTACATACTCTCACTCTCAACAGAAAACTTCAAATAATTATATGCTGGGTGTAATCAAGCAATCTATAAACTTTCTGCCTCACTCTTGCAAGGAGTCTTGAATATTTGTTATTTCTTTCTGTCCTTCTTTTTCAATGTTCCTATTCTCTCTCCCTCTTTAAATCAAAACCTATATAAAGACTTCTAGTTTCTCTTCCTGAGATGCTTCTTCACAGTTCTTACTGAGTCAACTATCTCCTCTATTAATCTCCCTTTTAGGATTTTTCCATGTCTGATTCGCCTAAATATTAAAAAACATTTAGCCATACACCATATTATGCAGATTGATTTTTCCTTTTACTGTATTTTTACTCTATATACTATTTTATATACTATTCTATTTCTTTCCTCTTCCTTACACCCAATCTTGGTGAAATGTCTCATCTCCAGTGTCTGAAAAGGTTTATACCAACCTTCAAATTTGAACTAGAATACATATCATACCATTTATCCAATAAACTAGAATTAATTTGGTTAGCTTGTGTGGGCTTCTCTATTTGCAATTCCTATTATATCAATTATATCAAACCCCCTCTCTACTAAAAATGCAAGAAAAAAACTAGCCAGCGACAGAGCCAGACTCCTTTCAAAAAAAATAAATAAATAAAGATAAAACTTCTGTTCTGAAGAAACTTAATCATCTATGTTAACACCCACCTACGCCCTGTGAAATGCAATCAATTGGAAGAAAGGGGTGTGGTCTTCAGAGATTTATAAACCGACACTTCAGGAGCCAAGCTCATTCTTCTCCAGAGCCCACAGAGTAGCTTTGCAACTGGCTTTGGGGACTTCCGAAAGCTACCAGCACTGCACTGTGAGACTCTCATCCCTGAGCTGAATTCATCTGATTCGACGGCAAGCTTTGGTGAGAACATAGATATATTTCTGAGGTAAGTACACAATTTCCAGAGTAGGAGCTACTATTAGGAGCTACAAACCAAAACAAAATTTGGGGACTTTAATTTATCTGCAAACTTAGATTATTTTTAGATGAAATGATCTCATTTTCTGAGTTTTAAAAACGGCTCCATTTCTTTTTTAAAATTATTTTAAACATAATCCATAGGTTTATGGATTAAACATGGGCCACCATGTTCAGCTATTTATTTATTTGTTTATTTATTTATTTTGAGATGGAATCACGCTCTATTGCCAGGCTGGAGTGCAGCGGCGCTCTTGGCTCACTGCAACCTCCGCCTTCCAGGTTCAAACGATTCTTCAGCCTCGGCCTCCAGAGTAGCTGGAAATATAGCCGCCTGCCACCACGCCCAGCTAATTTTTGTATTTTTTTTTAGTAGAGACGGGATTTCACTATGTTGGCCAGGATGGTCTCCATCTCTTGATCTTGTGATCCGTTCACCTCCGCCTCTGAAAGTGTTGGGATTACAGGCCTGAGCCACCGCGCCCGGCCTTTTTTTTTTAAATTTATATAAGTATTTTTAGAGACAGGATGATCTAGACACTTTGCCGTGTCACCAGTCTAGAGTTCCTGAGCTCAAAAAACCTGCCTGACGGCCTCCCAAAATGCTGGGATTACAGGCTTGAGTCACCTTCCCTGGCTTGGTTTTTATTTTTATTTGTATTTTAGCAAAACATACATTTAAAACGCTGACTTACTGTCTAGTGCCTAGTTTTTGTTTTTTTTTTTTAGAGGGGAGACAGAGTCTTGCTCTGTTACCCAGACTGGAGTGCTGTGGCACTATCTCGGCTCACTGCAAGCTCCGCCTGCCGGGTTCACGCCATTCTCCAGCCTCCGCCTCCAGAGTAGCTGGGACTACAGGCGTCCTCCACCACTCCCGGCTAATTTTTTGTATTTTTTAGTAGAGTTAGGGATTCACCATGTTAGCCAGGATGGTCTTGAGCTCGTGACATCGTGATCTGCCTGCCTCAGCCACCTCGGCCTCCCAAAGTGCTCGGATTACAGGCGTGAGCCACCGTGCCCGGCCTCTAGTGCCTGTTATTGCATGATACTTACTCTTTTCCTGACTGTGTGAAAGAGTAATGATAATGCTTCAATTATCATTATCTTTTTGTAAATTGAATTAATTGTCTTTTAAGGATGTTGTAATATTAACTAGTATATCCCCAAATTAACAGACTGTCCAGGAACAGTAAACATGCCAGAAAGTTTTTGTTGATTAAATTAACATAGTAGCCTAGAAAAACAATGATTCTTAGCTTTACCTTGGAGAGGTGCCTTACCTTGATTTGACTGTTTTTCCTTGGAGAGTAAAGGCTAGCTTTTTCTGATTTGGGTCAAAGTATGAGTTCTGCTCTAACATTTTCAAGCAATGTCCTTCTGGAAAAGTCATTATGGATGGTTGTTATAGTTAAATAAAATAATGAGAGTAGAAGAGCTTAGTTAGCTTTCCTTCTTTAAACCAATCACTGGCAATTAAGAGTGTTACTGATTTTCAGACCATTCAAGACTCAAACCTTGAGTTTACAGGTTGATGAAACCCTTGAAGCCCAAGCAATTTGGTGGATACTAACACCTCAAAAAATCCGACATTCTTCCATGCAAGAAAGTAGAGTTTGGAAAGCTGGTCATGTGTTGATTGGAGAACAGTCACTTTTTATAGAGGTTGATGTCTCTTTGTGCCTTAGTTTTCTGTTTTTCCTATTTCTGTCATTGCAGATTAAAGCCTATACTTCTTTAGAAAGAAAGGATATTATTCGATCACGATCTGATTCAAACTTTGCTTGGATCTTTGTCTCTCCAGGGTAGAAGATTAAATTCCTGTGGTTTTCTTTCCTTAGGAAAATGGACTCAGACTTCTCACATGCCTTCCAGAAGGAACTCACCTGCGTCATCTGTTTGAACTACCTGGTAGACCCTGTCACCATCTGCTGTGGGCACAGCTTCTGTAGGCCCTGTCTCTGCCTTTCGTGGGAGGAAGCCCAAAGTCCTGCAAACTGCCCTGCATGCAGGGAACCATCACCGAAAATGGACTTCAAAACCAATATTCTTCTGAAGAATTTAGTGACCATTGCCAGAAAAGCCAGTCTCTGGCAATTCCTGAGCTCTGAGAAACAAATATGTGGGACCCATAGGCAAACAAAGAAGATGTTCTGTGACATGGACAAGAGTCTCCTCTGCTTGCTGTGCTCCAACTCTCAGGAGCACGGGGCTCACAAACACCATCCCATCGAAGAGGCAGCTGAGGAACACCGGGTAAGAGATAGCTCTGTGATCACCTGAAAGCTGGAGGGTGGCAGAGTTAAAGATATTAGAAGGATGATGAGAATCATGGTGATTACTCCATTCTTTACTGAGTGCCAGGTGCTGTTCTAGGTACCAATGATGACATTTTGAATAAAATGTGCAACTCTACCTTCCTTCATGGAGCTTGCACCCAAAAAGAGACTGATTAAGTAAATGTCATTATTATTGACTCTACAGTTCAATGCTAATGACATTGAAAAGCTACCAAAACTACCAGTGCAAAGAAAGGTATTTTGGAAATATATTTAATATTACTGGACAAATGAGTATGGGAGTAGCACACTACAAAATCAGGGGCTAGCATAGTGGGTTCTGAAGCAGGATGTTTCCCTGAACTAATTTAGCTGGGTTACAGGAAATCTTCACTCTTCAGTTCCCTAAGCTGTTCTACATTCTGAAACCTCAAACTGAAAAATATCAATTAAGGATGAGCAATGAAAAATTTTGTTTTTTTCTCCTCTCACTAATGTATTTATATATTATCCCTTGCCTGTGTATACCACTCAGATTGTGGAATCTTTGGCATTTGACTTTCTGTTGTTCAACCTTGTAATTCTTTTGCAGGAGAAACTCTTAAAGCAAATGAGGATTTTATGGAAAAAGATTCAAGAAAATCAGAGAAATCTATATGAGGAGGGAAGAACAGCCTTCCTCTGGAGGGTAAGTATGAGACCGTGAGTCCTCCTGACCAGCTTGAGACAGGCATGCTGACAACATTTATATTAGCAACTTGAGTTGAAATTCTCATGCCAGATTTTGTCATGTGTTTATTCATAGGCTGGAAAACAACCAGACTGTTCAACATAACGATTGTTCAGGTTTTCTGTAAATGCTTTTCAGATAAGTAAAAAATAAATATAAATTCTGAAGGGCAAGTATGTGCTTAAAATTAATAAGTATTTCAGACAGAGTTTTCTGTATAAAATTAATTATGAAATGTTGATTAAATAGTATATAATTGAGAAATAAAGGCATTTATTGGTGAATATGATATTGTCCAGGGGGAAGAAATCGGGTGGGAACAGTAATTTAAGAAATGTGCCTGTGCTGGTGAAATCTGGTAGCAAAGGACCCACATGATGCCAGTCCGAGTAGGAGAAAATGCAACATGAGGAAAAGCTGAGGAGAAGGGATAAAAAATGACTGGGGCAGTGAGAGGATAAATATGTCATTATTGAGAGGAGAAACACAATGGAATGGGGATTAATGTTCTTAGAATGGCAGTGCAATACAGAGTCTATGGATTTGACAGAAGAAAGATAGGAGACAGAAAAGAGGTAGTCAGTTTGAGAGATGGGGGTTAAATTTTTTACTAAGATCCTTTTTGTGTGATGGCTTCTGATCCTGATTATAATATACTAAAAACATTTCTACTAAGAGTGATTGTTCAGGCTGTGAAGTACAGAGATTTGAAACAACAACCTAAGTGAATAACAAAGATTATGTGTATTATCCATGACAATGTAACAATCATAAATTTTAGTTGTTTTCTAATTGTATTTCCGATTTGATTTAAACATTTAAACCTAAAGGGCTTTTTTGCAGGTGTTTGGGAATTGATGAATTACATAAATTTTGAAGGAAGGTCTTGCTTAACTCATCATCCTGTTTGTAAAGGATGGAAAATAAAAGAAGGAATGAGGAGGATGAAGTTGTAGGCTCTGTGAGGTGGAAGTAGGCCTGGGTATATAACCTACAAAATTCATATCCCTACAGGGCAATGTGGTTTTACGGGCACAGATGATCAGGAATGAGTATAGGAAGCTGCATCCGGTTCTCCATAAGGAAGAAAAACAACATTTAGAGAGACTGAACAAGGAATACCAAGAGATTTTTCAGCAACTCCAGAGAAGTTGGGTCAAAATGGATCAAAAGAGTAAACACTTGAAAGAAATGTATCAGGAACTAATGGAAATGTGTCATAAACCAGATGTGGAGCTGCTCCAGGTAAGAATGGAGGATGCCCCTTGAGACACTTTGTGTTAGCTGACCTTTACATCTTTGCCTTCCATTGGGTACCAAAGACATTATTTCCTCATCTCCTGTACTGACGGTGAGAGTCATTCCCACCGGTTATAGAGATAAACTATAACTCCTACGCTAATCATGGAAATAAAGCTTTATGGAATTGTGCAACTAGATTTCCATACAACATTTTCTACCACAAGCTTCCTCCTCCAGCACATTTCATTAAAACTCTGGAAGAAAAAATTTCATGCTTGATTTGAGCCACATTACACTTTGGGGACTAGCCCTGAAAAAGACCACATTGTAGACAGCTGCAGCAATGCGCAGTCACTACTCACACCTTTCTCTCTCACTCAAATTTAGGGTCCTTAATTTATCAGAAATCCATATTGTCAATAGGTCTTACTGGTATAATTGTTAGAGATGAGAATACATTTTAAAAGAGTGGCAGTAATAGTATACGGTAATTCTAAAGTTTTGAAAACCTAAAGACCAGATAGGCAGAATAGCAACTTTTTTGTGTGTTTATTTTGAGACAGAGTCTTCTTCTGTCACCCAGACTGAAGTCCAATGGCCCAATCTCAGCTCACTGCAACTTCTGCCTCCTTGGTTCAAGCAATTCTCCTGCCTCAGCCTCCCTAGTAGCTGGGACTAAAGGCATGAACCACCACACCCCACTATTTGTGTGTGTGTGTGTATTTTTAGTAGAGACGGGGATTTGCCATGTTGTCCAGGCTAGTCTGGAACTCCTGACCTCAGGTGTTCCACCCACCTTGGCCTCCCAAAGTGCTGGGATTACAGGTGTGAACCACCTCACCCAACAAGAATAACAACTTTCTAAAGAAGTCATTTTTTTTTTCTCTCTCTCTCTACAGGATTTGGGAGACATCGTGGCAAGGTATGTTTTTGGCCGTCAGTGCAAACTGGAGCACAAGGCATGCTATGAAAAACATCAAGCTGTTTCCAACAAAGTGAAAACATAATTTACTAACACCATAATGTGTCAGTGTGATTGTGTGTGTATGTGTGTGTAGTCATGTGTTTATGTGGTATGATGAATGTCATCTATGCCTTTTATCAGACATTAATCTTTTCTTACTTTCCCAAGTGACTCAGGGGTTTATGTTTTGAAGAGTGCAATGCAGAGGTTGCTAGAATACAGTTGCCTCTTTTTGCGATTCAGAATCATAATTAGAGATAAACTATTTGGTGGCAGATAGGGAGAGAGGCATTTATCTTTCAGGGGCAGTAGGTTAGAAATGGAGTGAATAGTTAGAAAGATTCCCTAAGAGCCACAAACCCATCCTAGCGTTGTGGAGGTACATTACGGTATCAGAAGTGGGTTTGAATGAAGCATTTTCTGTTGGAATCTGTTTCTTAAACACAGACATCAGAAAGTTAACCAACTCAACCTACTTCCTTGCAGGAGTGAGTCCGTGCTGCTGCACATGCCCCAGCCTGTGAATCCAGAGCTCACTGCAGGACCCATCACTGGACTGGTGTACAGGCTCAACCGCTTCCGAGGTGAGTGTGGCCCTGTTGGTGGGATCCACATGCAATGCCTTCAATTATGGTTTTCTATGGGCAGCTTTCCCAGTGTAATGATCTTTCATCTAGAAGAAGAGAATAGCCTGTGAATAGGTATTTATATTTATAGTTTCACTATCATCAAACAGACAAAACGAAATAAAAGCTGGTGAAATGTAATAGGAATCAGCCATATAACAAATTTCTTAGAAAAATAAAACATGCAGAAGGGCTCTTTAGGACTTTAGGAACCATTCTCTGATACAATTTCATGTATACAATTATTACATGAAGTATACAGAACTGAATTCAGGACATTTCAATTTCAAATTCAGTGCAGTTAACGACTGATTTGAGTGACAGCGTTTTTTTAAAAAAAATACATTTTTAGGTGATGTTTCATAGCATTTATAATTTTAATCATGTTTTTAATCAACTAAAGCATACATGAGTAACTTATATAACAATGCAAAAACTGAGAATCTGTCAACAATAGGAACATGATTTGGTGGTTGATGAGGTCTTAGATAGAACTCCAGGATAGATCATGACAAATCCAGCAGAATAAAAGAAGTCTGTGCCTGAATCTGGCATGAAAGTCAGATAATTTTTGCAAGGAATCAGCACTTTTCAGAAGGCAGATTCAGGTTTTCTCTTTAAGTATGAATTTGCTAGGTTAAGTGGCAGATCATAATATTTCTGGAAAGTGATAACTTTTTTATTTGGGACTAAGAATAGCTCCCCACCTCATCTCCTGTCCAAAGCCTCCTGCTCTGCCCTGACAGAGACGAGACAATGAAGGTTAATTTTATGGCTATGGACTTGGCTGCAGTGGAGGAGCTTCCAGTTTTTCAGTTGTTATGAAAGGTCGCTAACGAGACATAGACATGACCTTCCTCCCCTTTATACTTTTTGAGTTTATGGAAATTGTGATCATCCTAGTTTAGCCATTTACTTGTGCAGATCTCCTAACACCCTTTGATTCCAACATTTTTCCAGACAGAAGTTTCTTTCTAATCTTGACCTGTGTTTTCTAGTGAGAATCTCTTTCTTATCTGAACATAAGAATTTACAAACTGATTTTCACTGGAACATTCTCTTTTTTCTACAGTGGAAATTTCCTTCCATTTTGAAGTAACCAATCACAATATCAGGCTCTTTGAGGATGTGAGAAGTTGGATGTTTAGACGTGGACCTTTGAATTCTGACAGATCTGACTATTTTGCTGCATGGGGAGCCAGGGTCTTCTCCTTTGGGAAACACTACTGGGAGCTGGATGTGGACAACTCTTGTGACTGGGCTCTGGGAGTCTGTAACAACTCCTGGATAAGGAAGAATAGCACAATGGTTAACTCTGAGGACATATTTCTTCTTTTGTGTCTGAAGGTGGATAATCATTTCAATCTCTTGACCACCTCCCCAGTGTTTCCTCACTACATAGAGAAACCTCTGGGCCGGGTTGGTGTGTTTCTTGATTTTGAAAGTGGAAGTGTGAGTTTTTTGAATGTCACCAAGAGTTCCCTCATATGGAGTTACCCAGCTGGCTCCTTAACTTTTCCTGTCAGGCCTTTCTTTTACACTGGCCACAGATGATCAGGATTAAGAAAACTTACTGTTTGGGAACTCCATATACAAGGGAGCCCTTCACTGTTGATACAAAGAAATCATACTGTTCAGGCTTTTTTGTACTTTAGTGTCACTTCATTTTATTGCTATTAAATAAAAAATTTGTAAAAGGCAAAACTTTTTGTACATTTTCTTACAATTAAAATAATCTCTTATGGACCATTACCTAAAATACGTATTGTGATTTTCAAGTGTTTGTGAATTTATTGGATGGAATTCTGGAAATATGTGGGTGTGTGATTCCAACTTAATGATCTCATTCAGGAACAACTTTTGTACATCATGGGCAGACGGGGTTTTGTACAATGCACTTGTAAGTGTGAGAGTTCCCTCCTATTAATACAGTAAATTCTACACCTCATCCCTTTGGGGGGAAAAATTTATTTCACACAGAAGTTGTCACTGAATCTTTGGGCTAGAACAGGAATTTAACAGTCATGCATCCTATGGCAACAAAATACATTCTGAGAAATGCATTATTAGGCGATTTCATCATTGTGTGAACATCAGAACACACTACAAAAACCTAGATAGTATATTCATCTACAGACATAGGCTAATGGTACAGCCTATTGCTTTTCTGAGAATTTGCTAGCGATGTCTGAGCAAGAACCAAAAGGGTTTAACCCACATTGAATTCTGCAGCTGTTTAATAAAGCAAACAGCATCATCCAGGGAATAATAGATGTGCAGACTGTCTGCTTTAAAATGTGTTTATATTTCCAATTCACACAGACTGTGAATTCTCATTGACAACCTAGAGACCAGACATAACCAACACCTCATGTTACATTGGAAACATATTAGTATCAGGTAAAAATAAATAAATAAATAAATAAACAAACTAACTAAATTAAACCAAAACAAAAAGTGAAACAAACAAAACCCAGTTCTGATGAAAACCCAGTTTATAGTGAGTCCATTGAGTCTGTCTAGCCACCAGATGGTCATTTTCATGATCACTGATTAAATAATGGAAACATTCTACTTCCAGTCCAGCAGATGATCCTGGCTGATGTCTGAGGTTCATTGCTTGGGGCTGTTACCTAGAATATATTCAAACGGCCTTTCCAGGTAGCTCCCTGGGCTTGCTCACAGCATGGTAGATAATTTTCCACAGTGAAGATTCCCATAGAGTCAGGAGAATTGTATACTACCATTATTCCAGAGAGTAAAACATCAGCTGTAGCCACAACCCTACACAAAGTAAAGGGACTAGAACACACACACAGCAGTAGCAGTCTTGAAGTTACATCATAGAAAAACAATGTGGGATGGAATATATATTTTAGCACTCTTTTAGAGAGAGTGGGGGAGGAATATAACCTACTACACCTACTCTTCCTAAGAAGTGGACACTGAGGATCTATATCCAGAGACTGGGGGTCCTGTAAAACATGAGATCCAACGAGCCCCTTATAGAAACACCATTCAAGTTCCAGATTCCTGGAAAAGGGCAATTGACAATTGACCAGGTAAATATTCTTTTGGAAATTTTCTTCAAGATTTGGCATCAACTGGACAATCATTATGAACACAGCACAGCAAAATCACTGAGGAAGATGCACATGACACTGGAGTAGAGGGGGGGAAGGGGTGGTCCATCTCCTTCAAGATGACCAGGGAGAGACACAGTAATTCTATGTCAATGAGATGAAAAAGGTCAGGGCATCCTTGTCAGGAACCGCCTTCTGATGTCTATACGCGGCTGCAAACTATTCATGTAGGCCTTCTGAATGCCTTGTACTTCCCAAGATTTCTTGATGTTAAGAACCACTGACTGGGGTTCATAGTACGTAGAATACCTTCAGCATAGAGGGTGACAAAGTCTTTCCCTCAAAAGCCAGAAATTCAGAAACCTGTAGCTGAGTCATCCACTGGACCTTACCAGTAAGTGTGGGCTGAAGAGAGAGACACTGGCTTTAACCTCAGATAAAAGCTGTTCCATTCTCATTGCCTTGTAGCCTCTCATACTCAGAAGGAAAGGTGAGGCTCGGTCCTGTGACTGTTCATTCTTCCAGACTGTGAAAGTTTTTGATGCTGACTCAGAGAAATGTCCTCTGTTTACTAAAATATAATATCTATTAACATTCTGCTGCAAAGGAGATAGGCCCTGTCTTGTCGCAGTCCTCTCAACCTGTGCCCATATGTTCCACTCCTCTGGCCCGTACTGAACCATGATGCCTGCCAGAATCACTCTGAAATTCTTCTGTCCCTCTGTCAGTTTTCTGGCCCAGTTCTCAGAACGCAGGTCCCTGTCTGTCCGCTTTGCAATGATCTGTCCATGCCCTTCAAATTCACAACATAAGAAGAGTTGATCATTAAAATATCCCAGAATGGGAAATAGGGGTTCCCTGTTCTGTCTGAGACCAGCAATGCAGATGCAGGATTCTAAGGGAGGAGGAGAAAGCAAAAGTTGGTGTCCTTGAAACTGCTCAGTCACATCCTTGTGACATCTAAAAGGGTAAAAGGTATTCAGGGTTAAATAATTGGAACAGAAGGAGGACAGTCAAGTTCAGGCATATATGGAGAAAGAGAGCTTCTGTCAGTGCCTGACACCAAGTAAAACTCTTTCTTTAATGGAATGCACCCATAAATGTGTCAGAAAAATAACCCTTGGTGAGGAAAACCAAAGTTGCAGAGAACAAGGGATAAAGAAGACAGCAAGCAACATTTCCTGCAGATTTCAAAATAATTCTTGAGTGCTTACATTTCCTGGAATTGCTGTGAGGCTACTGTGTATTATCACCCACTATGAAAAAGTCAGCTGAGAGTAATATGGTATCATGGTTAAGAGCAATGTCTTGAAGCTAAATTGCCTGGGTTTGATTCCCAAACTCACTGCTCATAAGCCTCCTTCCCAGAACAAAGTGCCCTTCTCAAAGCCTTGTGTGTGGGTGTGGGGTGTATGGGTGTGTTAGGCATATTTTTATATAATATAGCAGTTGTATATTCACAGTAATTGTGTGTGTGTGTGTGTGTGTGTGTGTGTGTGTGTGTGTATGTATATATATGTGCTGGGATTATAGGTGTCAGCCAATGCGTCTGGCTTACTCTCACTTTTAACTATTGTCTTAGAAGCATGCATGACTCAATTTGTTTTTCAATTCACGAATATATCTAATGGTTTAGAGAGTTATTTTTTAACTGAACTGTCACGTTTTGCAATTATGATATCTTTATTTCTATTCAACCCTCACATTATTTACTTCTTTTTCTTGTCTAGTTGCATTGAAAAGGAGATCAAGCAAGGTGTTGAACACAAGTGATGATAACAGGATTTATATCTCATTCCCATTCCTGGGTAGAAGCTTTCAAATTCTCCATTAAATATGGTACTGGCTCTAAGTTATTACATTCTTATTAGAGAAAGTTCATGGCTATTTGTTTTTAATAGTGCTTTCAAAATCATAAATGACCATTTCATTGTATCAAATATTTTCTTCCTCTTTTTACAGGAACAATGATATGTATTTCATCCTGTTCATGTCGTGATTACTTATTTCATTTTCTGATGTTACATTAGTCAACCTTTCTAGAATAAGCTCCACTTGGAGATGATATGAGTTTATCTCTCACAAGATTTGACTAGCTAGCTTTTTTGAATTGTTGCACCTATATTTATTTTAGAGTCTGTACTGCAATTTGCATTTCTTGTAACACACTTTTCAGGATCGAATATCAAAATTATATGTTGGAGCTTGGCACAGCAGCTAGAGCCTGTCATCACAGCCCTTTGGGAGGCCAAGACAGGAGGATCACTCGAGCCTAGAAGTTCTGGGCTTCAGTGAGCTATGATCTTGCCATCGCACTTCAGCTTGGGCAACAGAGAGAGAAGCTGTTTACAAAAAGTAAAAGAAAACACAACAGAAAACCAAAGTTACAAGTTGGGAAGTATTACTGCTTTTTTCTGTTCTCTAGAAGGGTTTGTCTAAAAGCGTGTGATTTTTTTTTCTTAAATGTTGTGAATATTTCACTGAAAAAGATCACCAGGTTTTTCGCTGGGAGAAGTTTTGTTTTTTAAATAATAGGGTAAATTTTTAGAATCTAAATCATATCTTAGATTTGTCTATGGTTTCTTCTGTTGGTTTTTGTCAGATATGTTTTTCAGGGAAATTTCTCATTTCATCTAAATCATCAAGTGTATGAACATAAAAGTCATCTTAAAATCTTCTTATTAACATATTAATTTGTGGATGACCTAAGTGTTGGCCTATTTATTTTTGATTTGAACTCCTCTTCTCCATTTTTTAATTGAGTCTCACTAAGAATTTATCAATTTAATTGATCTATTTAAAGAGCCTACTTTTGGTGGGTGTGGTGGCTCACACCTGTAATCCCAGCACTTTGGGAGGCCGAGGTGGGTGGATTATTTGAGGTTAGGAGTTTGAGACCAGCCCAGCCAACATGGTGAAACCCCAGCTCTACTAAAAATACAAAAATTAGTCAAGCGTGATGGCACGTGCTTGTAATCCCAGCTACTCGGGTGGCTAAGGAAGGAGAATCACTTGAACCTGGGTGGCAGAGGTTGCAAGGAGCCGAGATCGCACCACTGCACTCCAGCCTGGGTGACAGAGTGAGACTCTGTCTCAAACAAACAAAAAAAAAGCCTACTTCATTGATTTTATCTACTGTATGCTTTTTAATCAATATTCTACAATTTTTTTTTTTAGATTTTGGCATGAATTTACTCTTGTTTATCTGGCTCTTTGGGATAGATAACAGATGAATTTAATGCTTTATTTCTAAATAACAGATGAATATAATGCTATACATTTTCTTCTTAACATTGTTTTAATTAAATCTCAGAAGTTTTGTTTCTATATATCTTGAATATTATCCCATGAAAAATATATTCATTGCTTTTCTTTAATTCATGCATTTACAGAGACACTGTAAAAGAAAGAGAAGAAAATACTTTTTTAAACCTTTATTTTAAGTATAGCAATACATGCGCAGGTTTGTTACATGGGTAATCTTGTGTCATCAGGGTTTGTTGTATAGATTATTTTATCAACCAGGTCTCAAGCCTAGCACCCATTAGTTATTTTTCCTGATCCTCTCCCTCTTCTAATCCCCCACCCTCCTATAGGTCCCAGCGTGTGTTGTTCCCCTCTATGTGTCCATATGTTCTCATTATTTAGCTCCCACTTATAAGTGAGAACATGCACTATTTGGTTTTCTGTTCCTGTGTTAGTTTGCTAAAGATAATAGCCTCCAGCTCCTTCCCTGTCCCTGCAAAAGACATGATCTAATAATTTTTTATGGCTGCATAGTGGGAATACATTTTCTAGTTACATTATAAAACAATAAGAAACAACTGAAATTAATTTTAATAAAAATCGTTAACCAAATATATCCAATAGGTTTCGACACGATTAACATTACAAACGTTAGTAAGATATTTTGTATTGTTACTTTTTTGTTTATCTGTTTGTTTTGAGACAGGGTCTTCCTCTGTCACCCAGGCTGGCATGCAGAGATGGGCATTCCAGCTAACTGCAGCCTCAACACCCTGTGCTCCAGCAATCCTCCCACCTCAGCCTCCCCAGTAGCTGGGACTACAGGTGCTTGCCACAACACCCGGGTAAAGTTTTTTTTCTGTAATGATGAGGTTTCACAGTGTCGACCAGGCTGGTCTCAAACTTCTTGAATCATGAAACGTCCCACTGCAGCCTTCCAATGGCTGGTATTACAGGCATGATCAACTGCACTCTGCTTTCTTACCTTTCGTGCTAAATTTTTGAAATTATGCACTAGAAGATCCGAAGTAAGAGAAGTGTTAAAAAAGATGAAGCCCCCAAATTGCAAGAACCACAGAGAGTAATAAACTGTGGTCCAAAGGTAATCAGACAGATTTAAACTCATATACAGAAAAACCAATCTAAAAAGAAAAGAAACGTTGATTATAAAGCGAGATTCTTGACTTTGTGATTGCAGACTTTGTGATTAGCAGTTTTCTATAATGGTAAAATCCAGGTCAGGCCATGAAAGTGGAGGCAGAGATACAATAAAGGAGAAGTTCTTTCAACCAGACCTCACAATCTAGTAGAAGTAACAGACACACTAGTAAAGCAACAATCCCAGTACAACATGGAAACTGCCACAAATATCTATCTATTGGACATATAGAATCAAAGATCAAATCGTTTGCATGAGTCTTGAAGAATGAATGGAAATTTTCCGGGTGAATAAACAGTAACAGTTGTCCAGGTTCAGAAAAATGCCTGCATAAGGGAGAATTTGCTGTCTAAGGTGGTTTTCAATACCTGTGATTCTCGGCAGATGAGCAATGCTTTGATGGTCCAGAAAAACCGAGGGGTTAAAAGTGTATTTGTGGAATGCAACTTTTTATAAATCCAAAAAGTAACTTTAAAAGGAGACTGTGGATGGATTTCTGAATCACAAGTAAGGGAAACTCTGTCAGAGAGGACTTCCAACTGGACAATTTCAAATGAAGAATCCTTAGCTCATTTGAAATACCAAGGTCTTAGAAAAAGAGAACAGAGGCCATGGACTGGAGACGAGAGTTTGAGTTTTAAACAGGGTGGTCAGAAAATGCCTCAATGAAAAATTCATATTGAGACAACGTCTTGAAGAGGAAGGCAAACACAAGTGTGTGTGTGTGTGTGTGTGTGTGTGTGTGTGTGTGTGTGTGTGTTTGTGTGTGTGTGTGTATGCTTAGAGAGAGAAAGAGAGGCAGAGAGAATTCTAGGTGAAGAAAACAACATGTGCAGTAATATTGAGTTTGTGTTTATTTTGAGGGCTGAGGAACCACAAAGAAGTTTATGTTTTATGTTAAAGTCAGTATGAAAAACAATGGAAAGAAATGAGATTAGATAGACAAAGAAGGCCAGATCATAAATGAAGCCTTATTAGCATAGGTTTTGCTTGGTGAAATGCATTGAGTTGAGCATGCTAGTCTGAGGCTATTTCACACATAATGAATTTAAATAACTTGCCCCAAATTTCAGAAATGAAAATAATTATTCCCTTTCTAGTCAATATAGCTCTAGAGTCTAACTATTAAGCCCGAACTGTCTTACTTTTCTATAAATATGAGTTGGAAAAGAGGAATCCAATTTGTTTTTCTTCTTTATGACTATCTTAGAAAAAACACTTTATCACGAATAAAGTGAATATATTTGGTTAGATACATCTATGTTCGTTGATCTTCATGCAGAAAAGAAAACAGAGTAAAATTTCGTATAGTCTGAGAATTGGCAAGACTAAGAGTTAAAATATGGGATGTTCAAGAGACAAAGAGGAACCAGTGAGATTCAATAGGAGATGAGTACGTCGGTTTTGTTTTTGACTAACCCGTTGTTACTGCAGGATTATGTGAATTTAAAGATAGAAGCAATCAGAGCTGAATATCAGAAGATGCCTGCATTTCTCCATGAAGAACAGCAACATCACTTGCAGATGCTTCAAAAGGAGGACGAAGACAATTTTTAGCAACTCCATAAAAGCGATGCCAGAATGGCCCATGAGAGGGAGATTTTAAAAGGAATGTATGAGGAGCTGAAGGAAAAGTCCCATAAACCAGATGTGGAGCTAATCCAGGTACTGACTGACCATGGGGTATCAGGATGTGGAACATTCATGTGCACAGGTGTTCTTCCTCTTTCCTGAAATGCCTTCTTCCCTGTATTTCCACGACTTCTTTCCAGAAACACATTTCCATAACTCATGCTACTTTGTGGGTAGAGTATAGCCCCTCCCAGGGATTTTACCAGAAAAAAAGGTCCCTCTTACTTTATCCACCAGCAACAAAACTTTGTGGAATGGTCAAGGTAACAGCCCTAATAAATATTCCCCATCTACGGTCAATAATATATTTGGCTTTTTGAACATTTATAAAATAGTGAGAAATTCATTTACATTAGGTCAGTTTGGAGACATGGCAAGACTGGGAGTTTGGGGAATCTAAATATTATTTTTCATCCATTCACTTTTATAATAGGGCCTAGGGAAGATGACTGGATAGGTTCTTCATGGTTACTGCAGAAGATAGACTCTGGGCCTTTTCTCCCTTCACTTGTATAAAGAATGTCTTCAAGACTCTGACTTCACTAGGACATTAATTCATAACAATATGATAGACTATGTTTTTCATTAGAGAAGAAATATAAAATGCTTTCCAGAAGGGAAAATGGCAGGAAAATAATATTTTCAGAAACTGCCTCCAGATCTCACACTGAACTTAGTGGAAGATTCATCTTGTAGAAAGCACAAACCCTTTCTATTTTTTTTTTACAGGTGTTTGGAGACATATTACACAGGTGCACGTGTACCTGGATTTTAGCAGGTGTTCTTTCAGTTTCCACAAATATCAAACAGGATCTACTAAAGCGAAGGCATACATGATCAAGATATTAATATTACTTTTTCCTGGTTCTACTTTTGCTCCCCCACCTTATGTAGTCATCTATTATGTCACCATACTCAGTGATTTTACTGGACAGATGCAAAGAAAGTATTGGGAAAAAAAAGGAGAAAAAGCAAACACCAATACATAAATAAATAAACAAAAGAAGAATGAAAGAAAACAAGCATCTCAATTTCTGATTTTTTTATACCTCCAAATCCTGGATAGGTGAAAGATAAAGTGTTGTTTCCTGGATGGTGGGAAAATCACCAGGGGAAGCAGCAGGAGAGAGAAGGGGAAACTATTTTAGAAGTGAGAAAGTGTGGATGATTTGTTGTTTACATTATATATATATACACACACACACACATATATATACACACACATACACATATATATAATCAGTTGATGCTCTGAAAAATAGATTAAACAAACTGTAAAGGGTTAGAAGCCTGTAAGCCTCTAGAGAAGTCTGGCACTAAAGAAGAAGAGCACACTGACAGGCACCAGCAGATGCTGGCAGCCATTAATGGTAGAATGACATGGAAATCAGCTGAGAGCTCTTGGAGGCGAGCCCTGCTGCTGAGACGTTTTACTGCAGGGGAACACCACCTTCCCACTCCATCCCCCTTCTGGCACACCATTTATCTGCTGAAAGCTGCTTTCACCAACCAATAAATCTTGCACTCATTCTCCAAGCCCACATATGATCCGAGTTCTCTGGTACACTCAGGCAACAACCCCAGGATACAGAAAGCCCTCTGTCCTTGCAAAAAGGCAGAGGGTCTAATTGAGCTGGTTAACACCAGCCAGCTGTGGAAAGGTAAGCTAAAAGAGCACAATGAAACACAAGCCCACTGGTGCTTTTCTTTTCTAATAGTATAAAATCTAAAACTTAAAGAAATGTCAGTTTTATTTACGACTACACTCCAGGAAATAATAACAATCAGTTAATATAACGTCTAGGACATAATGGAAATGTAACAAATATTTGAATAATTAAATTTAAAAATGCATAAGAGAGATTTGAAAACTTTGATGTTAAAGATAGGAGCATTAATTTAATGGTTTGCGTTTTTTAGGATTTTAGGTTGATGTGAAAACCAATTAAATTCTAGAAGCTTATTTTAAACCTCATCCATTTTTCATCTTTTTAGAAAGATTCCTGTTTGTTGGGATGCAGGGAGTATAGAGAGTGTATTAGCACAGAAGCCTAATGTGTGGGTGTGTGATAAAGTCATGGCAGTTATTCATTATTCATTTTATTTATATATATTTGGATAGAGAGATAGACTGAATTTTTAAAATGGAGATAGGGTCTCACTATGTTCCCCAGGCTGAACTCATACTCCTGGGCTCAAGGGATGCTCCTCCCTCAGCCTATGGAGTAGTCAGGAATATAGGAGCTGGCCACCATTCCTGGCAGTTTGTTTCATTTTAATTTAATTTGAGGTCATCCCCCAGGCCATAAGAGAAGAGATGGGAGAATAGAAGAACAAAATGTAGACATATACTCCCTTCTTTCTATTCTCATTTCACCATCATACAATATCCCCTTGGTTTTTGTTTTAATAATTGTTCTGCCACAGTTAATTACACATTCACTAGTGTGTTTCCACTATCAAACGTACTTCTTCGGTATACTGTGGAAATTAACAAACGCTTGTTAACAGAAAAAAAACAAAACCTAAAGCTTGGTCAACATCACTGTCTTCCATACCGGGGAATGAGTGTTGCTGTGGGGTCTTGAACAAGTCTCCTCAAGGTAGGAGGCTAAACTTGACTTTCGAGGTAGGGCTCAGACACCAAACCAAGTTGAGGTTAGCTAAAACAGGGACCAGGCAGAAGCAGCTTTCCAAAAGACACGCCCACCAGTGTGCCAGAGCAGGTTACCATTGCCATGGCAACACCCAGGAGTTATCACCCATTCCATGGCAATGACTTGACATCCCAAATTACCCTTTCTCTAGAAATTTCTGCATAAACCCCTTAGTCTACATGCTATTAAAAGTAGGTGTAACCATGACTGCAAAACTGCTGTGAGCTGCTAATCTCTGCCCATGGAGTAGCCCTGCTCTGTGGGAGCAGCCACAAAGCTGTAACATCACCAGAGCTGAAACGCTACTGCTTCAATAAAGCTGTTTACCTCTACCTTTGGCTTGCCCTTGAATCCTTTCCTGGGCAAAGTCAAGGACTCTCAAAGGTTAAGCCCCATTTTGAGGCTCAGCTTCCCTGCATTGAGCTTAACTCACTTTGCCAAAGTGTTGTCAATTATCAAGCCTAGTGATGAGAGCTTACAAAGCTTACATTTATTGAGAACTTATCATGTGGTACGCATGTGTTTTAAATGCTTCAAATATAAAAACCTCTATAATCCAATATTTACAATAAAAAACTGAACTGTGGGAAATTTAACAGATCTGAACTAAGGCAACTAGTCTCCCACATCTGTACTCTTCATTTTGCAGTGTGTTGCCGTCTCCAGTGAAATGTGGGTAATAGACCAACATTCCAACGACCACTGGTTGAGAGTCAGGTCACATCATGCTGTATCCAGAATTGGTGAGTTCTCGGTCTCGCTGATTTCAAGAACGAAGCCACGGCCCCTGGCGGTGAGTGTTACAGTTCTTAAAGACAGTATGTCAAGAGTTTGTTCCTTCAGATGTTCAAATGTGTACAGAGCTTCTTCCTTCTGGTGGGTTCGTGGTCTCATTGACTTCAGGAGTGAAGCTGCAGACCTTGAGGTGAGTGTTATAGCTCATAAACACGGGGTGGACCCAAACAGTGAACAGCAGCAAGATTTATTTTAAATAACAAAAAGAACAATGCTTCCACAGTGTAACAGTGTGGTAAGGGACTCTAGTAGGTTGCGCCTGCTGGCGCAGGTGGCCTGCTTTTATTCCTTCTCTGGCCACACCCACGTCCTGCTGATTGGTCCATTTTGCAGAGAGCTGATTGGTCCATTTTACAGAGAGTTGATTGGTCTATTTTGACAGAGTGCTGATTGGAGTTTTTACACTCCCTTAGCTAGACAGAAAAGTTCTCTGTGTCCCCACCTGATTAGCTAGACACAGAGCCCTGATTGGTGTGTTTACAAACCTTTAGCTAGACACAGAGTGCTGATTGGTGCGTCTACAATCCTTTAGCTAGACAGAAAAGTTCTCCAAGTCCCCACCCATCCCAGAAGCCCAACTGGCTTCACCTCTCACTGGCACTTGCCGCTGGACTTTGTGGCACCTAGCCCGGGCACTCTGGCATCCCAGAGGGATCTCGTCCCAGACAATCTAGAGGAAAAGAGGGGAAGCGAGAAAGAGACAGAGACCTACTAACGTGGCTAACGATCCCGCGAAAAGGGAACAGGGGTCCCACGCACGGGATTGAGCCTCCTATCAAGCCCAGCAGGCTCCGACGGGCTGCGCTGAGTGCGGGACTTGCCGAACCCTCGCTAGCCCGCAAGAGATGCGTGCGGCCCAGGCTCCTGCTGGCGCGTCTCTCTTCACACTTCCCCTTCAGCAGAGGTAGCCAGCTCTGGCCTAGGCCAGCACCAGAGGGGTCCCTCATAGCGCAGCAGCAGGCTGAAGGGCTCCTGGAGCGCGGCCAGAGTAGACACCGAGGCTGAGGAGGCACCCAGAGCGAGCGAGGGCTGCTAGCATGTTGTCATTTCTCAGTGCCACTAAAGAGTTTATTATAATACCTAACACAATAAAAAATAAATATCTGCTGTAATATTAAAATATTAATAAAAATAATATTTACCACATAATTTACCACTTTCACTCCATCTCATCACTGAATAATCTATAACTTTACTGCAACAACAAGCCCAATCCACCTTCTCTTTCTTTCTCAGGAGATGACTTTGCATCTCATCTTGTCAATAAAATGGAGTTTATGTAATCTTTTACATTTAGGCTCAAAGCCATTTTTTTCATAACCTTAATAGCACCCTTCATCACCGCATTTCAACTGTTTACACAAAAACACAATTTAAAGTTTTTTATGGCTTGGCATGGCAGCTCATGCCTGTGATCCCAGCACTTTGGAAGGTCGTGGCAGGAAGATTGCTTGAGGTTTGAGACCAGCCTAGGCAATACAGCAACACCCCATCGCTACAAAATATATATGTATATATAAGCCATACGTGGTGGCTCACACCTGTAATCTTAGCTACTCACAAGGCTGAGATGGGAGGACCCCTTCAGTCTGGGAGTTTAAGGCTAAAATAAGCTAAGATTGCACCACAGTACTCCAGCCTGGGTGACAGAATGAGACCTCGTCTCAAAAAAAAAAAAAAAAAAAGTTGTATGTGAATATATGTTTACAAAAATGCCTGCTTTGTTCTAGACATGGATTGTTGTGCTCTGGATATATGAAGTTCTTAATATTCTCCTTACATAAGAATAAAAGAATTAATATAAACAAATATTTTTCTGTAATAGAATTAGGAAATTTTCCCAAAATATGGGTAGCATAATATGATAGAAAATATTAAAGGATAATGTCAAAAAACGTAAGAAGATTAGTGTCAAGATTCACATGCTAATGAAGTGTCAAGATTCACATGCTAATGAACTTTCATTATTTATATATTTGAAACAATTGTATCTTATTTTTATTCTATAAGGTTGATTGTGAAATTTTCTGAGGATGGCCAACATGTACCAGGAAAATACGAAGATTCTTAGTGATAAGAAAATATAAAAAAGGACTTACAATGATGGAGACTGTCGGGAATTAAACTGACATACATATTAAGCTACTCACTAAGAATAAAATGATTTCCATCTCATTTACTGTAGAAATATACAAAACACACTTACATCATAAAGAGGAATACAGATGATAGAGAGTGCATATTTTTATAATAAATTGAGAAACCTATGTTAAAACAAAAAAAGGAAAGAAAATATCTTGGATTATAAACAAGGGATCAATTATGACTAATATGTAAAGAATTTGTATCATCTGTAATTCATTCAGTCTCATAAACCTGAGGGTACATTTCTCACAGATACCCAGAATCAGCAAAAACCTCTCATGGGATCAGTTAGGGCACAGGCTAATTTACTCTAATAAAGATCCCAATTTTAAGTAAATGGGGGCTATTTTTTACATCTACTTATCTAAATAGAGGAGGTAATCAAAAAAAAACGACTGTTACTTTCAACAACTGGATTTCATCTCTATTTGCAAGAAAGTGAAATTTGTTGCCATCTCCTGTTCAGCGAGAAAACTGAAAAAGCATCCTGAGCAAGAGGACCTGAATGTCAGGAAATGACGTGGTGCTTTCTACAATACTTCTGTTCCCATCCTCTTCCTTCAAGCTTAGGCATGCAGCACACTGAGCTGCCAGATGTATCTGGAAATGCTGAATACACATTAAATGTTTATTTTTATTTCCTTTATTTTATTTATTTTTATTTTATTTTATTTATTTTTTATTTTTGTTTTTATTTGCCAGAGACAAGGTCTTGCTATGTTGCCCATGATGGTCTCAAAGTCGTGAAATCTAGTAACCCTCCTACCTCAATCGCCCAAAGCATCGGGATTAGAGGCATGTGACACTGTGTCTGGCCTTTTCTTTATCTTTTTTTTTTCTTTGATTTAGAAGAAAAAAAAAATTCAATGACAGACAGAGCAGAAGAAATACCCAGAGCTTGTGTTCAATGAAAATCAGGTGATCCTTTACTAAAGAGTTGCTTTTAGTTCGAACCGGGAATGAGTATTCAGGAATAAGTAAACTCTGCTTTTCACCACTGTCGAGGTGTCCAGTGTTTCCCCATTCAGCAACTGGCTAACTGAGGATCATATGGCAAGAAGGATCTTATGTGTCTTTTAATCTCTTAAATTGGTGGCTAAATCAAGGTGATTATCCAAATTATGAAAATACTTATCAGCAATGCTTCCTTATTCTTTCTGTCTGTACTACCTAGACTGCTTAGTTAACTTTCTCTCTTCTCCTCCTACACATGTTTTGTAGCACTTTACTCGGCAACAGGAAAATTCTATCACCTTCTGAAATTTGTGTCTCTCCAAGTGATCTCACATTGTGGAATTTTACCTTCTGGGCTTTCAACCCAATTTTCCTTTCTGTTTCCACCTAAAGTTCCTGAGCATTCTCTATTGACACTAAAATTTCCATAAGCAGCAGCCATTACACTCTCAATTACCTTGTTACCAATTTTGTTTGTCATTTATTCAAAGAAAATTTTGTAGCTAATCTTATTTAGCTTAGATTTACTTGTACATACAGGTGGTATTAGCCACTAAGGACATTTAAGATATAGGTTGGTAAATTTTCTCAGCCATTAAACCAAAAATTTATTACATTCTTCTGTTTTGATAACTTCTATTATAATTATTATCACCTGGGACATTCCTAAAATTCAGAAATAAAATTAAGGTAAGACACTGGGAACCTTGCCAGTTATATCAGAAACCTAAGATTCCTTCTCACCTCGTGAAGAGGTTATTGATCCATTTGCCTTGTCACATTTTGGGGGGCAGAAGTAAAATTCTTCATAGAAATAAAATTAAAAACTGATGTGGAAACATAGTATGTGTGTAGTTCAAACCAGAGAAGTGATATGAAATTTAAGGAAGAGTATACAAAATGCGAAGAGATCACAGTCTATGATGAAATTCTGGGAAAGCCGTAGCATAAAGATCACATCAAGGAATATGAGCCCAGGAAGGAACTAAGATGTGTTAACCATATACTTAAAAAAAGAAAATTACATGTTGGGAGGCTGAGGCGGGCAGATAACTTGAGGTCAGGAGTTCGAGACGAGCCTGGGCAACATAGTGAAACCCTGTCTCTACCAAAATTACGACAATTAGCCAGACATGGTGGTGGGCATCTGTAATCCCAGCTACTTGAGACACGGGGCTGGAGACTTGCTTGAACCCAGAAGGTGCAGGCTGCAGTGAGCTGAGATTATGCCACTGCACTTCACCCTGGGTGCCAGAGTACGACTCTGTCTCAAAAGAAAAGAAAAGAAAAGAAAGGAAAGTTGTTTGTGGCAAAATAAAGCAAATGCATAATAGTAGCATACATAGAGTTCTTGTCTTGTGTTCTCAATTTAGCCAGCATAATTTAATTTATCATTTCAACTAACTATAGCTGTTGATGCTGCAGACTCAGAGAGGAATGTCTACCCAGGTGTCCTCCCGTGAGCTTTCCTCTGACTCATTGCTAGTAACCAAAAATTCAAGATTATGTAAAATAAAGTTACTGTTATTAGACAATAAAAATTCTACTGCCTTCAAATCAGAAAATGTTATTTCTGTTCTCAGTTCAACTCCTGGTGTGTGTGTGTGTGTGTGTGTGTGTGTGTGTGTGTGTGTGTGTGTAATTTTGGCCAGATTTTCTCATATCTCTTCAGGTTTTCTCATTGTATATTTGAAGATATGAAAAGACAAAATTTTTGCAAATTTAGCTAAATGATCAAATTGGCTTCTATCTGTGATTCAAAAATAAGAAAATATCTCATCCAAAAATAGAGAGTTTCTGTGCTGGGTATGGGACAAGAGCCAGTTTCTGTAAGGTTTCTTGAACAGGAACAAAGAAACAAAATAATACAACAAACGAAATGGTTAACATCAGGTTACTCTTCTTGCATAGATGAAAGAATAGAGGACTTCCTTATCATGCTGGCTAAAGCTGGCCTGTTTTGGCATTTGGCTATTATGCATCCGTCCTGATTTTTTACTAAGTCAGGTAAACAATGTAATTAAAAACTCAGGGATGCAGAACTTTAGCATGAATAGCTGCATTTTGATTTGGTCTGTTGGGGCACAGTCCAAATAAATGGAATTTTTAAAAATTTGAATTAACAGAATGTTTTTACATTTATCTCATATTTCTATAGTATTTTAGGATTTAATTTTCTATCCTTGATACTCATCTGAGGTTTCCTTAAAATGTCTGAGGACAGTCACCTAATACATACTGGAATTTTATACTTCTAACCTTTCTAACTTTTAGGAATACACATGAGCTTATTTTATAGGGGGAGCTTAAATTCATTACTTTATTACTTGAAAATTTCAGAAAGAAAATATCTTTCTTTCTGAATTTTCTGGGAAGTAGGCAGAATAATCTGGGAGATAGGCAGAAAATCTAGAGACAACTGAGAGAAGAGGGCAATATAATCACAATGTGGAAAAGAGATCAGTGGCAATTTTTTCTTTTAATCCAATCTTGGAAACAGATCATTTATTCACTCACCCATTCTTTAATCCCAGCCACTTGGAATTCCCTTGTGAGTCTCTTCCCTCACCTGTAGTTTATTTCCAAACATATTCGGGAAACATGCACAGAGAACACTACATTACCCTAATCCTATTAATAAAACAATCACTTTAATAGGAAGGAAGAAGCCTGTACGAATCAAAAAGGATGATCAAGACAAATTTCTGTGATTTTTTTTTGTAGCATCGTGCATGGAGGATCCACATGGTTTCCACAGAGCTGGAGTCATTCAGGGAAGCTTCTTATATCGAGAGTGGTCCAGAAGAATTCTACCAAAGATTTAAGAAGTGTTTTTCTGCAACTCATATCTTCATAAGTATGAAGGGTAAAGATTCTCAGAATACAGTTCATGGATATCTGATTCTTAACAGGTAAGACAGATACTGTCCAAGAGCATTTCCAACAGGATAATATTGAGTAGTGTATCCTTCCATGCACCTGGAAAGCCAGGAATTAGAGAAAAGTATGAAGATGAGAAAGCAGTGTCATCTGCTATTGTTGCAGTGATGGTACAAGCTCCAGCTTACCAAACTATCAGTGGGCAGCATACTGCCATTACTCAGTGAGGAGCTTTAGAACTAACTAGTAATGATACTCTTGGTGCACAAGGACTGCAGAAAAGATAACGGATTAGAGGAGCCACTCTATTGCTGGTGACGTACACAGTGCACTATCTAGAGACCACTGATGGGCAGAGAATGCTAGCAGCCAGTAACCAGGTTGTGGTACCAGCTGTCACAGAAAATGTGCCATCATCCCAGATTGGCATCCTCTATCAGCATTGTGCCTGGAGCGGGTAGGGCATCTTTCCCAGGTCCAACTGCTCAGCTTTTCAAAAGGCAGTGGAGAAGAGAGAGAGGCTGGCCCAAAAAGAAACAATGAAGCATCATGAGAATATTGTAGAAAGTATAAGGAAAATGGGAACAATTTAGAAAAGAAAATGCAGAACTTGGAAAAGCAAACAACTCTTTCATTAAGGACATAAATTCACTTAAGAGGTTTGTTACGGAAAAAAATAAAATAGATTGTGTTTCAATGTATTTGTTGTGTTTATTTGCATGGCAAGTTTCCTGACATTAGCTTTATTGAAAGAGCTATTTGTTCTGAAGAAAAGCAGCAGGAGTATCTCAGATTAGTACTGAAAAAGCAAGGATACCATAAGGAAGAGTTTGGACTATAATAGGAGCTTCACTTGAATGCTGAGTTATAAAATCTGGTCAGGTAGTGGTGTGCAAGATGTTCTATAGGCAGAAAGAGGCAACGGCTAAGAGAGTAGAATAATTTCCATGGAAAGGAGCCTTGGTTGTTAGTCTAGGATACAAGTAACAGACAGAGAGATGGAAGGAAAAACAATATAGGAACATCTCTAGCCAAATATTTCAGGTATTACCATCTTATCCCTCAAAAGTACTTATCTAGGCCAGGCGCGGTGGCTCACGCCTGTAATCCCAGCACATTGAAAGGCTGAGAGCGGCAGATCACCTGAGGTCATCAGTTCAAGACCAGCCTGGCCAACTGGTGAAACCCCGTCTCTACTAGAAATAAAAATAAAAAATTAGCCGGGCGTGTTGGTGGGTGCCTGTAATCTCAGCCAATTGGGAGGCTAAGGCAGGAGAATTGCTTGAACCGAGGTGGCGGAGGTTGCAGCGAGCCGAGATCGTGCCAGGGCACTCCAGCCTGGGGAACAGGGCAAGAGTCCATCTCACAAGCAAACAAACAAACAAACAAACGAAAAACCAACTTATCTAATGCGGTCCCATCTTCTCCAACCCAGAGAGTGTGAGGCGTGGATTCCTTATTTGGTCCTAAGCATTTGGCTGCATGGCTGAGACAGCTCTTCCTCTCAGTTGTGCTCTATGTCCTTGTTTCTCTGCTGTGATATCAATTGTGGGTGTCAGTTTGAGTGCGGACTTTCATGATTGACACGGGTGGCACTTTGTGGTATGTGTGACGGCAGATCCTCATCAGGACACAGATTCAGAGTTAGTTTCTCAGAAAATGAAGATCTCAGAGGGAAGAGCTGTGCCTAAACTAGCCCCGTAAAATTTGAGAATCAGTCAATTACTCTGCAGAAAAAGAAACACGCCTAAAATTTCACATGGAATTGTCTTCATTGACAAGTGTCTTGCCATATTTTAGTTTAGAAACTGTACATATGAGTAGGTGACTATGAAGTAATGGCAACAGTAACAACAAGTTGATAGTATTCCTAAATATAGAAAACAGCATTTTGCCTTTGTGGAAATAGGAGAGAGGACATTTGCACAGAGGAGCGCCAGGCACCATCGGATGAGGGATGGGTACCAAGACTGGAAATGGTTACAAGGAAATATATAAATAGCAATAGATGATAACCACTTTTAATTTAATTTATTTACCAATCCCCCAATTTAGTGAGGTGTACTTTGTATGTAAGATCTAGTTTTGTGATTCTTATTGTTGAAATCAAAGAAAGTAAATGGTTTTGTATCTGAATTGATGAAAACTCCAGCAGTTGCAGCTAACTTGAGATTGGTGAGAATATCCAGAACCTGAACTGATTCTGTTAAAGCAGGAGGTCATATTGGAGAGGTCACTATAGACTCTGTATACAATCTGGATGGATGTTTTGGGGTCAAATTTTGTATTTCTCAAAAAGCAAAGTGGCCTCAATTAACATCAGAGGATCTGAACATATCTGCTCTGTTTTTGTCCTGTGTGAGATGTTGTGAAGTGGAACAAGGAAGAAAGAAAGAGCACAGCCATGAGCTACCATGGTAAGTAGCGGCCCTGAAACCAGAGTTCTCCAGCACAGGGCTGGTCCTCAACAATGAAATACTAGCTGATACTGGGTGTCTAATTTGCAAGAAGAAGACCAACATACAAAGAAAGAGCCTTTTTACTAAGCATTAGGGGTTATGACAGAAATAAAATTTTTTCTAGAAATGATGAGACAGAAGCTAACCACCAAAATTACTCATGCAGGGAATATTGCCATAATAACCAACGAATGCATGTTTTACATGTTGGGAAGAGTTTTCTTAGGACTTCTTAATTTTCTTAGGACTAGCACCAGAAAAAAGCAAAAACATCTGGAAAAGACTGAATAAAAATTCCTTTCAAGGCCAGACATAGTGCCTTATGCCTTTAATCCCAGCACTTTGGGAGGCTGAGGTAGGAGGAAGGCTTGAATCCAGGAGTTCAAGATGAGCCTGGACAACACTGAGATACTCCATTTCTATAAAAATGTTTTTTTAAAAAATTAGCCAGGCATGGTGGCACACATCTTTGGTTCCAGCTACTTAGGAGGCTGAGGCGGGAGGATCACTTGAGCCCAGGAGTTTGATGCTGCAGTGAACCATGATTGTTCCACTGCATTCCATTCTGGGCAACAGAGCTAGAGCTTTTCTCAACACCAACTAACAAACAAAAAAAGGTATTTTATTTCACTACAATATTTTATTTGTATATATTTACATGTGCACATATATGTGTGTGTGTTGATGTATTTTAGAGTAGAAGACAAACTTTAAGTCACTAGATGGATGACAGTTTGAGCTTACATTCCCAAACTGTAGCATGTGTTAGAATTATCCCCAGGGCTTGCTTTCTAGATATTTCTAAACCCCATCATATAAAGCTTATTGTAACTACAGACATCTAAATAATTATTTATGTTAGCTCTATAAGAGATGCATATCTGAGAGTATATTCTTATAGAAGCAAAGATTTCATTTTCAGTAGAAGCTTATGCTCATTAACAAATGGCCATAAAATGTTTTTTTAAAAGATGATAATTTTAAAAATAATATCAGCAAGCTTTTACCATTAAAATCTCCAAGGGGTTTAGTCCTTTTGATATTTTTCTGTACATGTTTTTGTCTAAATCCACCTTTGTCTATATTTTTTTAGAAATTTTTCTAAAATAAGTCATATTTATTTATTGTATTTTAAAGCTCAAAATGTATTTAAACATTTTATTAATTTAGGTTCTTTTAAGTAATATCTTATTATTTGATATGTTCAGTTAATTACTAGTTGGTAACTTTAGATATAAAGTTTTTAAATGGCAAAAGTCTATTTTATAAATTATGAAGCCTGAGGTTGTCAAACCCTAATTTGATCAATGCACAATTTATACATGTATCAAAATATTATATTGTATGTCATACATATGTGCAATTTTTATATATTGATTAAAAATAAAAATTTAAAAATTATTCAAATAAGTTGTCATTTAAATAAAGGTTTTTTTGATTAGTTTGAATTTAGTAAAAATGCTTTAAATAAAATCACCTGAATATTTTTTATGCACAGTACCTATTTCATTTCCCTGAGTTTAAAATTAAATCAGCCATAGGTGCCAGACATTGAGGCTCTACTTGTCTTTTTCCAAAACCATCCATCATGGTCATTAGCATTTTGATCTTCAAATCTAAAGACTGGTAGAAATTGATCAGTACTGAAGGGATTTACCTGTCGATGAGCCAGGTGAGATGGTAGCAGATCCTAGATTTCAGTGAAGAAAGGGCAGAAATTATCAAAGAATGGAATGATGTATTCAAATATCATATAAAAATACTATCAGACGTGGGAGCAGAAATGAAAGTAGACTTGGGGCCCCAGAAAATCAAACATGAATTTGCCACGTGGGTGTTGTTTAATAATCAATGACAAAAGCCAGGCATGGTGGCTCACACCTGTGATTCCAGCATTTTGGGAGGCCAAGGCGGGCGGATCACCAGAGGTCAGGAGTCCCAGACCAGCCTGGCCAACATGGTGAAACCGTGTCTCTACTAAAACTACAAAATCAGCCGGGCCTGGTGGCACATGCCTGTAATCTGAACAACTCGGGAGGCTGAGACAGGAGAATCCCTTGAACCTGGGAGGCAGAGGTTGCGGTGAGCCGAGATCAGGCCATTGCACTCCAGCCTGGATGACAGAGGGTGACTCCCTCTCAAAATAAATAAATAAATAAATAAATGACAAGATAAACCAGCACTAACCACAACTAGAGGGTGTTTGTAGAGGGCTATTTACAGAGATTAGAAATTGAGCTGATGTAAACAATGGTGGAAGGGTAAATCCTTTCATTGGTCCTCTGTACTGCAGAAACCTAATAAGGGAGGGGCTTTAAGGATCCTATAATACATTGGCCTCCAAAAAGCAAGGCTTATTATTTATAGAGGCATTTGGAATTTGCTAGACTGTGGAAATCTCAGAGAATAACATCTGTTATCCAGAAAGCCCAGAGGACACCCAACTCCTGAGCCAAATGCATGAATTTTCCTGCAAGCACTGTTCAGACCAGTTATAGAATATTCAGGTGAGTATTTCCTTTAATTTTTTTCTTTGGGTATAAAAATTGTGAACTTCTGGACGGAAAGTCCTGGATATTTTACAGTTTTATCTGTAACATGACATCTAGAATTTAATTGGAAACATTTATTGTAGAATATGAAAAGTTCTATGTTGTCCGTAACTTCAGGTTGCATGCAGCCTTGGTCGTCTGCAAAGTTTCCAAAATGCTCAAAGGCACTTTTTTATTTTCCTAATATTCCACTGAAGTTTTTATTTATGTAATGGTATTTTTAATTTACAAAATCTGTTTTGTTGTTTGAATGTTCTTTTCAAAGCCTCTTTTTATTTTTTGATATTTTTACTCTATAAAATAGAAAACATGTGACTTTGTGAAGGTTATACATTTTTATTTATTAATTTATTTTTATTTTTTACTTTTTATGTCACAAAAATTAAAAAATAATAATAAAAATTAAAAATTAAGAATTCATACAGCTTCACAAAGTCACAGGAGTCCATACATTATACTTAAGATCAAAACTTACCCTCAAATGGTTCAAGGATAAAAGGATGTCTTAAACTTCTAAGTATTTTACAAGTGATGATGATAAAAAATAAAAAGTAAACAAATAAAAGATGTATTCTAACACAGAAAAGAGGGCAATCACATACAATTGACAAGGTTAATTTTTTTGAGACAGGGTCTCACTCTGTTGCCTAGTCTGAAGTGCACTGATACAATCAAGGCTCACTGAAGTCTTGCCCTCCTGTGCCCAAGCCATCCTCTCACCTCAGCCTCCAGAGTGGCTGGGACTACAGGCACTACAAGTGTGGGTCTGGCTAAATTTTTGTTTTTCTAGAGATGGGGTCTGTCTATGTTGCCCAGGCTGGTCTCAAACTCCTGAGCTCAAGCAATCTTCCTGCTTCAGCCTCCCAAAGTGTTGAAATTACAGGCGTGAGCCACCGTGCCGGGCCCTGTATAAATTCTTAGTTTTTCCCAGCTTCTTTCTTTCTTTTTTTAAGAGACAGGGGTTTCTCACTTGTTGCCCAGGCTTATCTTGAACTCCTGAGTTCAAGTGATCCTCCCATCTTAGGCTCCTAAAGTGCTGGGATTACAGGCATGAGCCTCCACACCTGGTCGCAGTTTCATCATGGAAGTAATAGAACAGCAAGCATAAAATGACCTCATAGAGATTCAAGGAGAAAAATAAGATATTAATAATAAGTGTAAAACATTCGCGTATTACTTTGCTGGGGCTGCTGTAATAAACTATCACAGATGAAACAATAATTTGCTCTCTCACATACTGAAAACCTAAAATTTAAAATCAACATGTTGACAGAGTTGGTTCCCATTGGGGATTCTGAGTAGAAATCCAGCCCCTCCCTGTCTGCTGGTTTCTGGTGGCTGATGGGAACATTTAGCTTTCATTGGCTTGTGGCAGCATAGCTCCAGTGAGCTCTGTCTCCGCCTCTGTCTCCACATGGCTGTCGATGTGTCTCAGATCTTCCTTTGATTTCTTCTATAATGATACGAGTCATTGGACTTAGGTCCCACCCTAAACCCAGACTAATCTCATTAGGAGATTACCAAGGTAATTACATCTGCAAAGATCCTAGTTTCAAAAGGTCATATTCACAGGTTTCAGGGGTTAGGACTTAGACACATATTTTGGGGGGCCACGCTCTTTAACTGGCAATTTGAAAAAATGTCTGGCTCATAAAAGAGCCACATAACAACAAAAACACAACTGTATTTTTATTTTCGCTGCTTTATACGCATCATCCTAACATTTACAATTGGGAAGACGGTACTTCTTTTCCTAAATTCAGATTCTGAGTATTCCACATCTCTTTTCCCACATCAAGTCTGTGTGACTTCCCCTTTTTCTGAGTTAGAATACATCTTATATTTATTTATGTATTTATTTTTTGTAATCATCACTTACAATATATTTGGAAGTTTGACATCTTTTTATCCCTGAACCATTTCAGAGTATGTTTTGATCTTAAACACAAAGTATGGAATCAAATATTTTTTAATTTTTTTATTTTCCTTTGTGAATGTTACTTTTTTCTTAATTACTCTCCTGTTATATTATTAAGTTTTTTTTTTTTTTAAGGACACTAATGAACTGACTTTTTTTCAGATTTTTGAGGTTAAAAATTCAATAACTTTCAAGTTTACCCTCTTCTAAGTTTTTCACAGTTTATTTTAATGCTTTATTATAAATTTTAATTTTTTATTTACATTTTCATTTATTATGAACAATTTTCCAAAAGTCTTTTTCACATAATAAATTTGATATATGAGCTATTCTTTATTTTATCTTCTACCTCAAATATGGACTTGAATTATTATCCAGTATTTTAAAACATTTTAATCTCTATATTAAGGAATTTGTGTTTTGAGGCATGTGATATTATAACATTCTTCACACTTCTAGTGAATTTTTAACGTCATTCAAAGGCTACATCCTTCTGTACTCTACTGAGAATTAAAAATAGTTCTCAAAAATATTCTCACATATTCTGAAACTCATTCTCAGAATTTCAACCTCCACTGACATCTTAACTCTGTTCTCTTTCCCTTCTAATGCATATTTTCCCCCGAAGGCCCCATGTTACACTCCTTATGCACCCTCTATTTAAGATCTGGTTTAATTTAATGTTGTATGTGTTTGTACACAATTTTACTGAAGTTAGGCTTTGTCTTAGAATAGAAGATTATCCTAAAAAGACAAGTGAAAGAGTTATGAGAATTTGGAGAATTAGTTGGGAAATCATGTCCCAGAGGAATTACTTTAGGCAAAACAAAATTGGTAAAAATAAATAAATAAATAAAATAAGCAGTAGTTATCGGATCTGCCATGTTTTCAAGTTCTATAATGGAAAATGCCAGGTATTTTGGAGGCACTTTCCGGAGGAAGCCAAACTTTCACTGAGGCTTAAAGATGACGAACAGTTAACCAACTGAAATTGAAATGTTTTATAATTGTCATTAAATCCTTGATATTTAAAAGGAGAAGCGGTATGGTTCGCTAGAAAGCATTCATTCCCATGCATGGGTCCTGGAGAATCTTTAATTCAGTCTTTTATCACAGGTTCACATTCCCTCATAAAAAGGTAACAGTTGGATGCATGTCTGGAGGAGCTCTTGGGCTTGTCCTGTTGCATCTTTAACTTCTCATCTGCACCTTTAGCTATGGCTATTTGGGCTGTGCTTAGAAAATGGCGATACTCAGGGCACTGTAGAATGAACAGTCTTTCCGGTTTAGGCATTTCTCCTTCCACTTTAGCTCTTGACTCTGTCTTCAGGGCATTTCTGTTCTATTAAGCTTCTTAAGTGATGAGTGGTCTGGTGTTTGCCTTATGCAACTCAATTTAAGATCGGTTCATGCGAGATCTGGCAGAAAGAAGGCTGGGGTGGGGTGCGGAGATGTTGAATATTGCGCATGTAGCATATGAAAGGCAAATATGGATTTTCATTCAGAAATGGGCTATATTTTATTTATATCCTTAAGAGTAAATTAATTATACAAGGGATATATGGCGAATAGGGTGTAATTTTTTTCATTAATCCCAATGAAGCAGAGTAACTTTCCTTTCTTTCTCCTCAGAAATACAGAATCACACATACTGCAGGACTTCCAGAAAGAAATCATCCACTGACTCTTAAAAGTAAGGAACTCTGTGTTCTTACTCTGGTGTTTGCATAACTGGGATCTTATAAGTAAGCCAAAGACATCAAAATGGCTTTGCCTAGAAGCCAAGGCCATTGGTCCAACGCAGACATCTTGAGGTTACTGGAATGCATGGAGAATAATCTCCCATCTGATGACAACGGCACGTTCAGCTCAACTCAGTCACACATGGACTGGGGAAAAGTAGCTTTTAAAAACTTTTCTGGTGAAATGTGCAGACTCAAATGGTTAGAGATTTCTTGCAGCTTGAGAAAATTCAGCACTTTGAAAAAATTAGTCCTGGAAGCTAAGAAATGTGTTAAAAATACAAACAAAAGCCAAAAAGGCAGGAACCATCCAGACTTTCCAAAGAGGCCCCTTACTGCTTATATCCGCTTCTTCAAGGAGAATTGGCCCCAGTACTCCCAAATGTACCCTGGGATGAGAAGCCAGGAACTGACCAAAATCCTGTCAAAGAAATACAAGGAGCTCCCAGAGCAGATGAAACAGAAATATATTCAGGATTTCCAGAAGGAAAAGCAAGAATTTGAGGAAAAACTTGTTCGATTCAGGGAAGAGCACCCTGATTTAGACCAGAAGGGCAAGAAATCTGATATCTCCAAGAGGATTCAAACCAAAGTGCAAAAGAAAGTTCAGAAAAATATTGAAGAAGTGACGTCTCTTCCAAAAACGGATCAATTTTTCAAGAAGGTAAAATTTCATGGAGAGCCTCAGAAACCCCCCATGAATGGATACCACAAGTTTCACCAAGATTCCTGGTCAAGTAAGGAGCTGCAACATTTGTCCCTGAGGGAGCGCATGGTAGAGATTGGCAGACGCTGGCAGCGCATCCCGCAGAGCCAGAAGGATCATTACAAGAGCCAGGCTGAGTTGCTGCAGAAGGAATACAAAGTGGAATTGGATCTCTGGCTCAAGACTTTGTCACCTGAAGATTATGCTGCGTACAAAGAATCGACCTATGCTAAGGGTAAGAATATGGCGATGATGGGAGGCCCGGCCCCCAGCTTGAAACAAACAGATCCGCAGTCCTCATCAGCAAAGGGTCTGCAAGAAGGGTTTGGGGAGGGGCAGGGGCTCCAGGCTGCAGGAACAGAGGCATCACAGACTATTTGGGTAAACTGTCAGGTCTCCATGGAACCAGAAGAGAACAGGAAGAAAGATGGCGAAGAGGAAGAAAGCAGTAACTCTTTAGACTGCAGCAGTGGGGAAGACATGGAAGTTGATGTCTGAGGGCAGTGACTCTAGTGCAGCTTCCTCAGAGGACTTCTAACTGGGACTCCACCTGACTCAGACTCTGCCTGACTCAGACTCCAGGGTCAGGCAGAGTTTCTCCGCAAAAGCCCATTCATGCCATCCGTGTCAAGGAAAAGGGACTGTCCTTCTGCCTCTTTTTACTTCTTTGCTTTTTTTTTTTCTCTTTTCTTCCTTCCCCGCTCTCCTCCTCTACACAAAGTAGGACAGGTTGGAAAGAAGCAACTTGGTGCAGCACCCTCTTACATCAGGATTACAAACCTGGGAGGGACTCTTTGCGGAGAATAAATATAAGTTTGAGCCAATACCAACCTTATCCTTAAAAAACAGACAAATATCATGCCTTTCCCAGTGAATTTTGTGCAATTAAAGCTTCTGGAATGAAGCGATGATTAGATGTAGGATACACACTGTACTAGACTGAATATTTCTGAAGCAAGAAGCTTTGCTTTACTCATTTTTGTTCTGCTAAAGGCAGTAAGAAGACACCCATGAGCCTGGGACCCCGACCTTCCCTGTGGAAATGTTTTTCAGGACTCCTGCACTTAGTCTAGGCTTGGGGATATTTGATGAAAGGTGGGGTAGGTGTCTTAACAAAATTGTTGTACTCTTGATATCTCACTCCTCCACTCCCTGAAGTAGGGAGTTGGTCACTCGCATGCCTGGGAGTAGGCAGCAATATTTCCGTATATATGTCTGACTCTTAGCTTTCATTGAGACTTTTCTTTCTCATTTCCAAAAAAATGAAAATACAAAATAAAAACTTACCTATTTCATTGGAATGAGCTCCTCCACAGAATCCCTTATGACATCGGGTGCAGCATCTCTAAGTGCCATCTGCATTTATTCTTGAAGCTCCAAATATTTTCTGCTGATTCAGGTGCAAGTGAATCTCACCTTAAGCACTCAGGATTGATAGAAAGATGCACAGAAAGACACATATAGATAAATACACTATTCTGTTTCACTATCTGCTCTATGAATTCATGCACCAATATAACATTGTTTTAATTTTTTTTGGTTTACTAATATGTTTGAAAATCAACCTGAGGTTAGTGCCTTCTCAGTATACCTTCATTCTCTTAAACATTTCTGGCTATTTTCATATTTTGTTCTCATGAATATAAGCATCACAGAAGTAGATGTATACTTTTTGTATGAAAACCACTGACTATCATGTGTTTATTTTGTCCCTAGATATCTTAATAAATTTTTATTTAAAAGTTTTTTCTAGGTAAATAAGTTTCAGAAAATAATGAAAATATTTACCATTTTATACCTCTAAATGTATCAGATTAAAGTATCCAGGAGAATGTTAAGCAATAATAAAGTAATATGTTCTTGGCTTGCTTCTGACTTTCAATCTAATGCTTACAGAATTTAAAATCATGAAAATTATGCTGATGTGTACATTTGAAATAAATTATAAAAAAAGAAAATTGCTATTTACTGTTATTATTATTTGGTTAACTTTATAATGTATATCGATTTTTAAAAATTTATTTTGTTAAATTTATCATATATTTATGTAATTTTTCCTTAGTGTATTAGTCATCATCCTTCAGAGAAACAGTAGCACCAACATAGAGAGAGAAACAGAGTGACAGAGGGAGAGATAGAATAATACAGAGAGGAGACAGAGAGGGACAGATACGGTGTCTTGTCGCCCAGGCTGCAGTGCAGTGGTGCGATCTGGGCTCACTGCAACATCCGCCTCCTAGATTCAAAAGATGCTCCTGCCTCATCCTCCTAAGTAGCTGGAATTACGGACACCCGCCACCACGCCTGACTAATTTTTGTATTTTTAGTAAAGACAGGGCTTCGCCATGTTGGCCAGGCTGGTCTCGAACTCCTGACCTCAAGTGATCCGCCCACCCAGAAAGACCAATTTTATGATGAAGAATTGGCTCACAAAATTGTGGAGGCAAAAAATACCATGATCTGCAATCTGCAAGCTGGTCAGTTAGGAAAGCCAGAGGTGTCATTCAATCTGAGTCTGAAGGCCTGGGGACCAGGGAAGCCAATGGTGTAAACCCCAGGTCAAGGGTAAGAGAAGAGAAGATGAGATGTACTAGCTTAAGAAGTGAGGCAGGAACAAAAGGGTCAAACTCCTCTATCATCTGCCCTTTGTTCTATTCAGGAGCTACTGGGGAGGGAAACCTACTTTACAGAGACCAATTCAAGCTGACACATAAAATTTACTATCACACTTTCATTTTCTTACAGATTCTGGGGATTTAGGCATTTTCACCATTTTTTCATGAATTCTAGATGGCTGATGGGTTGAATTTATTTAGAAAATGTATTTGCATATTATGCCCCTTGTTTCGCTTCTTAACATCAAGTTTGCAAAATTAACTTTAAAGATCTGATTCTTTTTACTTCCAATTTAGAAGATACCATAATTCACATTTGCCACTAAGTGGTAGTAAGGCCTATAGCTCAGGCTAGATGGTGAGATGTACAAATGCAGTTGGGGCTTTGCTTGTGATTTTAAATACAGCGTTTTAAAATTCATTCAGCATCTACTCTTTTTTAAGTCTTGCCCTCCTTATGTGTGACACACAGATGAAAGGTACAATTCTTGACTTCGTGACACTCAGAGTTAAAGATGGTATTATTTGGTTTAAAAAGCAGAAGTACTGACAAATAGAAACTGAACTTCTGAGTTTGCTATTATAATAAAATATCATTGGTTAAAATAATGATCTCTTCGCTTTTGTTACCTCATCTATACATTCATGAAGTGGGAATAAAATTACAGTGAGATTAGGCCAGGCATGGTGGCTCATGCCTATAATCCTAGCACTTTGGGAGGCTGAGTGTGGCAGATCACTTGAGGTCAGGAGTTCGAGACCAGCCTGGCCAACATGGTGAATCCTCCTCTCTACTAAAAATACAAAAATTACCGGGGTGCAGTGACACTTGCCTGTAATCTCAGCTACTCAAGAGGCTGAGGCAAGAGAATTGCTTGAACCTTGGAGGCAGAGGGTGCAATAAGCCCAGATCATGCCACTGCGGGCCACTCTGGGTGACAGAGCGAGACTCCATCTCAAAACAAAACCAAAAAAAAAAAACCAAAAAAATTACAGTGAGATTACATATAGGTAAAGGTTACACTTAATGCTTATAAAGTACCTATCTCACAGTAGATTTACAGAAAATGTTAGGTTGATTTTCACATTTTTTTTCCTTTATTCCTTTCATCATCCATATTTCTCCTTTATTTAATTCCAACAAAACCTTTAAGTAATGCATATTACATAACAAGATATATTACATTCAATAAATAAAAATTCAATGAACGATATTTGTCTGCAATGCATAAAGACCTGCACCCTTGCTAGAATTTGATCCCAACTTTGACCTAAGTACCAGAAATTTTAAAAAATAGTGTTGATTCTATGGGTGTGTGTATATGTATGTGTGTGTATATATATGTATGTGTATATGTATAGGTATACACACTATATATATATTTGTACATAATAATGGGAGATCCTTGAATGCAATGCAATTGATAGAAAGTACAATACAATTTTTTAAATGTAAAAATGTTTCTGCAAGGCAATTAAATCAAAATTTATCCTTGATAAAACAAGTATTAATTCAAAAAAGAAGTATTGGAAGTGGAAGTGACGTCCAGACAGAGGAAACAGCATACCGAAACACTCGAAGAGAAGAAGGCCGTGATGCCTGTGGAGAAGCTACTTCTACAATTCTTTTGTTCTGGTCTTCTGTTACACACAGCTCATGGAACCTGCTAAACACATTGAGATCCAGTTTAGAGGCATTCCTTGTTTGCACATTTTAAAAATTTGCACCTTAAAATTCTGAAAAGTTAGAGAGGTGCAGTATACTTACAGACCATTTCCAAACCTCTAAAGAAAAACAGTAAAATCTAGAATAACAAAATCAAAATTCATGAACAATATCTACAACAACACTGAGTGACAATGTACCCTACAAAAATCCCAAATATGAATAGTCACAGACAAATCAGGTGCAACAGCAATATCCATGAGGAATCAGAATCCTTTCAGGATGAAGCAGAGAGGGTGAACAGAACACATGTAGATTTGAGAACGCCCCAAGTCAGCAACGAGGATTCATTAGAAAGTGTGCAAGGTAATTAAAAAAGAGCTGCTGAAACTGAGTAGGGTGGGAGTTTGCACACATCAATAAGCAAGAGTGCAGGATAAGATAAAAAGCGGCTGGGACCATATGGCTTCTACAGCTCTTAAAATAACCAGCCCAAATTCTCTTCCAGGATCAAATTCCATACTGAGAAGAATATACTGGGAGTAAACTACATATTAAACAAGGCTGACACAATAGGATCAAAAAAAGCGAAGGCCCCCATAAAGTAAGTGGAGACAGAAGCAGAACCAGGACAGAGCAAAAAGTCGACGCTCTTATTATTGAATACCTTATGGAATCAACAGGAGAGCTCTAGAGTCAGGATGCTAGGAAAGCTATCTTGACCGATCTTTACCTTATAAAAGTTCAAGTTTCGTTCCATACAAATAGCATCAATAGGACATGCTGTTGTTGTTATTGTTCTTTGTTTCTTATTTAAGGAGAGGGCAGAGGGAAGAAAATGCCTTTCCAAAAATAGTATGCCTTGATATGACTGTTCATGAAGTAACAACTAGCGTTCTTAAAAGAACCTTAGTGCCAGGGATACAGTGAGCTTATACTCTTTGGCTGCAACCTTGACAGAAGTGTCTCTGGGCAGTCCTCTTGGTTTCCAGCCCAGCAGAAATCTCCGCCCCACCTCACTGGATCCAGCTCCATCACTGTGCCTGGCCACCTCCAGCTATTCCTGAAGGTCAATTTCTGCAGTATGTCCTGATCCTCTCCTCCTCCAAGCACTGCTCCTGGTCCCTGCAGTATCCCTCCAGGACCCTACCTAGCAGCCTTTTTGCCCATCCTTGCTCCAAAACACCTCATCCAGGAATGTATTATAAGCCTGGTGTGGTGGCTCACACTTGTAATCCCAGCACTTTTGGTGCCCCAGGCAGACAGATCACTTGAGGTAAGAAGTTCGAGATCAGCCTAGCCAACAAGGTGAAACCCCCTCTCTACTAAAAATACAAAGATTAGCAGAGTGTGGTGACGCATGCCTGTACTCCCAGCTACTTAGGAGGCGGAGGCATGCGAATAGCTTGAACCTGGGGGGCAAAATTTGAAGTGAGTGAGATAGCAGCACTGCACTCCAGCCTGAGCAACAGTGACGACGAGTCAGAAAGAAATACCATAGGTAGAGCTAGAGGTACATATCTATCTACATATCTATGTATCTATGTCTTTAGCTATATATAATATATATATGTATATTATACATATACATGAATATATGTGTTATATATTGTTTAATATGTAGTTTACTTCCAGTATCATATATAATACATTACATATATATATTGCATATACGAGAGAGAGATCTGAAATGTATAGAATCCCTAATAACAAGCAGCTACCACCCCCATCTTTCACAATGGCTAATTACCTGACTGTGTGGTTTACTCTCAGATATGGTACTGTGGACCATGAGGTGTCTCCAGCAAACTATCAGCAAATTCAAGTGCAAGTTTTTGGCTTTAGAAAATGTTTCAATTAAGTCAGCTACACTTGGGAAAGGAGGTTAGAAAAAGGCACCCAAAGGGTTGATCTTGACCATTCCTTATTAGTAGTGGGAAAATTCTGGAGATGAACGGATGTTTGGGGTGGCTGTCTTGCTCTGACAGGAGTAGGGATGGGGGATGGATTTCTCCTCTATTCCTCTTGTGTTAATAATGGCGGGAGATTTTGGTTACTGGGAATAGTATCTACATGAGCTGGATAAAGTGTGAGCACTAAAGGTCTTGGGAGGGTAAAGAGAGGGGCTGCAGGGAGTGCAGGGAGGAGGAACTAAGGCTTTTTCAGAGAGTGTGCAGAGAGAAAGCAGTCAGCTTCTCTGTCCATCATCCACAGCTCCAGGATGAAAGAAAACTCTGCTTCCTCCCTGCACATTCTTTGTATGTGTAAGTGAAAGTGGGTGGGTTAAATTAGTGATCTGAAATGATTATTTTCCAGAAAGACAATTGAACCGCTACCAAAATATGTAAAGGCAGCTGGGGCTTTGCGAGGCCACCCAACCCAACCTCCATATGGGGGAATGAAAGGGGAACCAGCTGTCCCCAGTTCTGGAGCTTTCAGGTTAATCAGGAAAGTGCCAAGGAGGCAGTGGAGGGGTGGGGTTAAATAAAACACCTTCTGTAATCCATGTATTAATGGGCCAGGCTAGGAAAGAAAAACTGGTAAACATGAGTTGATAGAAGAAAAATATGAGAGAAGGTTTTATTTTATTTTTAAAAATAATTTTCAGAAACCAAGTTTGTATGAGTTTTACAGAAGAAAGGACTAGAAATAATGGGAATCAAAATATGTGGGTTTAGCAAAGGAAGTTCGTGGTCAGATAAAGAATGTAGTTCAAAGGATATTGGTGGTGAGATGAAGAACATGGTTTGTGTAAACTGTTGGGTATGAAAGATTTCATTGAGTTGAAGAAAGATGGAAAGTTTCACAAATGAGTACAGCGAACATACTCATGTGGTCAGGAATATGCTTTGTTATGGACAAAGGAGATAGCACAAAAATCAAGTGAAGATATTGGGTCAATGTAGCTATTTAGTTTTATTTCGAAACAGTGGGAGTAAATAAAGTAGGTTTTAAAATTGAGAGAAAATAACAAAGAGAAGGCGAGAACAAGAAAGTGAGAGAGGAAATTAATATTGGAAGGCGATTGTCTGTTGAATAATGTCTCTGAGAATAGCATGGAAGTCAGCTTCTACGTGTAGGGCAAAGCCTTAGAAAAGAAGAAGCAAGTTGCACTAATGGGGTCAGGCTCTGGTTAGCAGGTAGTTTTTGAATTGCTAAAAGAAAAAATTTTGGAAACATCTTATGTCATTCTATGAAGTAATATTCGCTACTGTTTTTGAGAATAAAGAATCAGCGTACAGGTAAAATATTTGAGAATAAAGAAACTAAACGGATTTAGTAATGAGGTTTTTGTGTATTATAAGATAATTAATTATCAAATCATAAGCTACCATTTTTAAATCAAGTGTAGATACTTGAGGGCAAAGAGTTGAAGGCCAGATTTTGACTTCTGGTGCAAATACATATATACATACATACACAGAAAAGAAGGAAAGAAAAGGAAGAAACGAAAGAGAAACCAGTCTCTAATTTTTGGTTCATTCATTGCAACAAATTGCTAAATATCTTAAGATAAAACAAGAAATAAAAAGGCATGAATAAAAGTAGACTATGTGTTCCAATGATTTCATTATTACTTCAGGGTCATGTGAATCTACAGAGGAAGATGATTCATGCTGTGTATTGCAGAGTTTGTCATTTGCTTTATGAGGAAGAGGAATGTCACTTGGAGAGACTGGAATAGGAAAGCAAAGAGAAGTAAAGACAGTAAAGACAGAATGAAATGAAAGGAGAAAGCCGTAGGAGGAATGTATAAGAAACTGAAGGAAATGTACCATAAACCAGACCTGGAGCTGCTCCAGATTAGGACTGAGAACAAGAGAGTCCACTGGGAAAAATGACCTCATTCTCTTTGCCTTCTGTGATGTGTTTGGAATGATGCTTTCATGATGCTTGAAAGTGAATTGCTTGTCTAGTAACAAAAGAGACAAAGTCAGTTTTTCTTGATCCAGGAGCAAAACACAAACAAACAAAAACAGTAGAAAACACCCCAGAAAAAAATTTCCTTTCAAAATTCATTCAATTGCTGAAAAACTGCAGTAAAAAAGTTTATTTGAAGCTTTTTGAATTTGTATTTAAATATATTCAGATATTTAGAAATTTGGGAATCCATGCAATATATTTCCTCGATGGCCATTTCCTGGATACCAATTGCTATAAACTTTGGGCTCACCCATCCTCAGGAATCTAATAAATTAAGCCTTCACTATGAATTTTGTGATGAATGCTAAGACTTTCTCTATTCTTTCTTACCTAATTTTAGAAATGTGTTAGAAAGGTAAATTTCTTCCTATATTCAAGTTTTGAGAACTGTAACAGTGATCAGTCTCATACTGAAGTGGGAACATAGTTTCTTATGAAAATGTACCCTCCTTCATAGTATATTTAGTCTTCCCCTTCTTAAAGGGTAGAAAGATTTTGTTTGTTTGTTTGTTAGGCAGGGCTATTATTTTCAAGGAACTATAGAGAAATCACGTAGAGAAAATTACCATTTCCAATTTTAATTGTCAAAGTGTATAAAGAAATTGACATAACAGCCCCAAATTACGCCAGGACTTATGGGGGAAGGGTAAGTATTTCTGACAGTGTATGGTGAAAGCAGGGTGTAAAGAAGCAAAAGAAAAGACCCTCAAGGATTTGGGGCTTTTGTAGGTAGCAGATGGTGGATTCCAACTTCAAATGGAAAGGCTGTAGGGTGCCCTTAGGGAAGCTGGGTCTGAGGAAGCAGGATGCCTGCCTCAGGTAAGCTTGTCAAGCCCCAGCTTGTGGTTACTGACACTCAGTATTACAGTGGTGTATAACAATACACAAAATAGTTTGTATAATCATCCACGATATTAAAATCATTAGAGGAATATTTATAACAACAGCCACAAAGTCAACTGGCAACTAATTTCACTGGATTTATCCCTTTCTCAAGAGATACTCTGGCAGAGAATTCTCACAAAGAAATCTTTCAAAAGCATATGTGGATTTTCTTTTACTTTATTATACCTATGCATGCTTCAGTGAAAAATCCGTAAATCGGAGACAAAGTGGTTATTTAAAATAAGAGTTATTATTTACATTATTTTTCTGAGAATAAGAGCAAGCTGCTTTTGCTACTCACTTCGAATTATTAAAAATTCTACAAATTTAAATGTTCTAGGGCATGTGAGCTTAGCAATAATTTCTGTTCTTTATAGATTCCAAAAAATATTGTAATTTTTCCCCATTTTTCTGGTTCAGGATTTGCTTGTTATGAATATGGAGTAACCCTTGAACATCAGTAAACTTCACGAGTATTCCTGCTGTCCTGACCCATATTTCCAGTGACAACCTGACATATGTAGACACTATGCAAAGCCCACCTCCATTAGAAGTTTATAACACTGTGTTTTCATGTGACTGTTTTCTTATTCCTGCAGCACATATTTCCCGGGATAATAAAATAACCACTTCTTGCATCCCCCTCGTTTGAAGTTCTGAGACAGCTACTCTTTGGTTCTGATGATCTCAGCATTGCCCCAGCTCCAACAAAATCTGTTTTCTTGATGGCAAGCCCTGCCATTCACTTTTGAAGATATTACTGAGAGGTGGATGTTGGGCAGTGTTGGAACTGGGCTGTTGGATTTTGCAACGATTCTTGGACAATAAGAAATGACATGCTGGTTAACTCCAAGAATTTTTTTCTACATTTCATGTCAAGAAGGCTACTGGTGTCATCTCAAGACCTCTTCCTCACTATTACCTCAGTATACAGAAAGGCCTCTAGGACAGATAGGGATGTTTCTAGATTATGAATCTGGTATGGTAAGCTTTGTTAATGTGGCCAACAGGTTTCTCATTTGTAGCCTCTCAGGTTCTTTCCCTTACACTCTTAGACGTTTGCACTCACAGAATCAGGGATAGGTCAGTAACATGACTAAAGGTATCAGAAACACCATCTTCTGAAAATGCTAACCTACTGACTACTTGATTTTCTTTATCTGTTTCTATAAAATTTGTACCATTTTTAAATTGCGGAGGTATACATTTGTTTTGATTTTCATTAAACTACTCTCTCTTAGAATACTGTGCATGTCTTTTCTTTTATGCTGTATCTTTTTTTTCCCCTAGATTTCCAAGCCAGCCCAGGTAAATGAATACCTGCGTGTGTTTATCCAAACTGATGGGTTAATGCAAGAGCACGGGGTTCTTCCCCTTGAACCGGAATTTCCTTTTCTCTGTTCCACATCTGCTAAGTCACATTTCATCAAGTGTAAGTTCCAATATTTCTTCAGGGAATTCTTTCTTTAGCTCCTGGGCTAGATTAGGCTATTTGTTTTAAAGACTCAGAAAACCTTATACTTTTCTTTGTAAAACTCACAATGTAATAGTAGGCTTATTTTCTGCTTTTCAAATTACAAGAAAAGGATTGTGTTTGTACTACATACAGTTATATTCCAAGAAAGTAGACAATGGTTAAGATATAACTGATATTCAATAATTGTCTGTTTGAATAAAAGAATAAATGCACAAACTAATTGATGAAAACATATGATACAACTATTTAAAAGGCTACCAAATTTACCCCTGTATTACTATTGATTTTGGCTACTGAATGTAACCAAAATCAACAGGGATACTGAGAAATATTATTTAATGAAGATATAAATTGGATGCTTATCAAATTGATAGGCTCAGTCAATTTTCTTTAGCTCAGGAACAAACTATTGATGGACACAGATCTTAACAGAATGACAATGATACAGATAAAAGACTGAAAACCTGTTAGGTTTTAGTAATTTCACCGATGGCATCCTACAGACAGTTACCTGGGAACATGTCATTACCAGAATAGAAAGTAAGACTCACTTTTTGCTTCAGAAAATACAGAATACTCAGAAGCCTCATTACACTTTAATAAAATTCCAAATTTATTAAGGTCTTTGAAATTTTTAAGACACATGTGCAGTAAAATATCCTTATTATCAGAAATATGTATATTTTGGTCATGTTAACTTGGTATGAAGCCTTTCCTTAAGTATCGACTGGAAATTGATTCCAGGACTCCCCACAGATACCAAAATCTTGGATGCTAATAATCCTCAGATGTCCTTACATAAGATGGTGAAGTATTTGCATGTAGCCTAAGCACATCCTCCAATGTACTTTAATTATCTCTAGATTACTTAAAATACTTAATGCAGTGTAAATGCTATGTAAGTAGTTGTTACACTATATGACTTAGGGAATAATGACAAGCAAAAAAAAGTCTGCACATGTTCAGTGAAAACGTAATCATTCAATTCTTTTCCTGAAATTTTTAAATCCATGATGAGTTGAATCCATGGATGCAGAACCCTATCATATGGAGGGCCAACTGTATATCAAATATCATATTTAATGGTGTATTTTCTAGTATTTAATTTAATTACTGACAATATGGCACACAACAAACATATCAAAAGTTTCTGATATGTGTTTTTTGAATTTATTTAAAGCAAGAAAATAATGCCTCCTTTAATGAGGATTGCTGAGGACAAAGTCTAAAAAAGGCTGACTCCATCTATAAGGAGTAACTCTGATCTACAAGTTTAATGACAGAGAGGATCTCTGAGTTGTTAGTCCACTGAATGTGGGACATAATTGTCAACTTCCTGATCTGTGAAAACAGTCTCCAAGCCACACACGCATTGAATGGTAAAGGATAAAAATCTAACTAACTAGGAAGGCTTAGGCACAACTTTTCAAATACAGATTTAGGTAGAAATAGAGAAAAATAGACATGAATATTGCTGAGTTTCATGTTTAGCTGAATTCATAGTAAATATTTATCATCATGAATATGTTCATCTCAGAAGCCAAAAGCGTACCTACTGTCACTGGAAGGTTGCATATATATGCATATATATGTGTGTGTGTATATAGATATGTATATATATAAAATACATATATTTCAAAGCGGTCATTCATATATATTTTTTCAAGCAGTAAGCTAATTTTCCAAGGACTATTATTATAGATACAGAAAATATACATATATACATGTATATTATATATATATATAGTCCCAGCACTTTTAGAGGCTGAGGTGGGAGGATCACTTGAGCCAGGAGTTGGAGAGAAGCCTGGGCAACAGGGTGAGACCCTGTCTCTCCAACAACAGCAACAACAAAATTACTCAGGCATGACAATTCAGCCTGTAGTCCAGCTATTTGCGAGGCTGAGGTTGGAGGACTGCTTGATCTGGGGAGATCGACTCTGCAGTGAGCTGTGATCTCACCACTGCACTCCAACCTGGGTGACAGAGTGAGAGCCTGTCTCAAAGAAAAACAAAACAAAACAAAACAAAAACAAAAACCTGATTATTTATCCATTCTTCCTTATTGCTCTAATAGCTGTATTCTAACATACAATGAGATTATATACAAGATGAGGATGGTTAAAAGAGTATAATGCTATTAAAATATAAGTGGCTACAGAATTGTATGTTTGCATTACTGCTGTCATTGGAATACAGATCCTGTCACCTTGGTAGTCAGCATAGTACCCAATAGGTAGTTTTTAAAAAATATATTATCATCATTATTATCATTTATTAATGTGGAGAATAGCCTTCCAAAGACAGCTGCAAATGTCCTTGTCACACAGAGGTAGCAGTCATCAGGAACTCTGCTGACCGATGCTTTAGGTGCCTGTTTACAAGGAAGACATTCTGGAAAAAAAAAGTCAGGAAACTTCAGGGTAAAAAAAAACAACAACAACAACAAAAAACACACCTTTCTTCCAAAGTAAGTATTTTCTGACACTCACACCTTCAGGCTGTTGCCCCTGTTGGAAGTGAGAGAGTGACTAGTTACTGGCAGTGTGACACCATGAGCACGCTCCTAGGCTAATGGAGCTGACTGAAGAGCTCCCTCCAAGACAGGTTCCCTGCAGCCCTCCCCTTTCTTTCTTCTGAAAATGTGTATCTTTCTTTTCAAGCCACGACTTAAAGTCTTATTTTGTTCCTACTCTTAGAAGCAGTCAAAAAGAGCCCCATACCAGCCATTTTATCAATCAATGAATTTTAAAGCAGAGGGATAGTAAGGCATTATTTGTCTCTCTGGTCTTGGTTCCTTTTCTGCATACTGCAATCATTCAACTACATCTCACACTCTACCATGTCCACGACACCACTTATGACTAGCGCCTAGAAGACTGAACATCACTTGTGCCTACGTGCAGATAGAGAGAAAGTCGTCTGGTCACGTTACCACTTTGGTGGAAGGCACTCTTAAAAAATTCAACGGCCAGGTCTGCTATTATAAACACTGGGTCAAAACTGTGGTTGACCTCAAAGTGTTCTCAGAAAGTTTGATAATACACTATTAAAAGACAGTTTTCCACCTGAAAACCTCACTGGTGGCAACCTTCAATTGGCCTCTGCATTTCCTCTGAGCAGAAGCATCCAAGAGACGGAATCGTTTGCATGAGGAGTTCTTACTGCCACTATGGTTGTTAGAAAACATGGAATGATCCCTCTGCCCTCCAGGTGATTGAAAGCTATGCAAAACAAGGTTGTTTCTTCCTGAAAGGAAGGAAGGAATGGGTAAGAAAACTTTTAAGGCATAAATAATATAAAAGGGCTCACACTTTAAGACACATTGACATGACATTATGCTACAAAAAAAAAAAAAATAGTCATTTTCTCTGATTTGAATTAAGGTCCTTCAAACAGTTCACTCCCAGGCCTGTTTTGTGCAGTTAGTTACAGGATTGAAGTTGGAACATGACTGGTTGTTTGCACATCCTCCAGTTTCCTGGAGCTGCTGGAGGACCCCTGAGGGGCTGTGCAAAGGAACACCAGGCGGAGGCCATGTTGTCTCTTCAGCACAGTCCTCTGAGATAGGTGGCAGAATAAGAGGATTCCAACGTAAAATGTTGCTGTCTGTTTCTGAATAGACACAGCTGTCTCCTCTGCTGAACTCTTCTGGATTTTCTGCACGATCACAGCTGACATCGTTTCTATTATCCTGACAGCACTTTTTCCTCCTCTGTAATAACATACTTTGTGGATGAACCAAAATCACCAAAAACTGCCACGGATACTGTTACAGGGCCACTCAAAATAATACCAACGCTATTGTTGGCAATGGATTGGTAGAAACCCAAAAGAGAGAAGTTCAGAGAAAGCATTGTCAAAGTCCCCTGATGAAGCTTTGTATGTTCCATATTTCTATCCTTTTTTCCATTATGCAACCATGAGCTATGAGTGGTCACAGGTTTGGCAGAACAATGTAGTTCTACAGGTCCACCACCTTTCTGGACGGTAGAGGTGGCTCAGAAGTAAAATAAGGTGCCAAGTCTGAGCTCATGGAAGAGCAGAGAATCATGACAGTAACATATAGCAGTGTCCATATAGATCCAAGATTCACATGCAGAGCGCCAGATTACAGAAGCAGGCAAGGCAGGCTTCCAGAACAAAACTCAAGCCTTGGTTCACTTTCCAAGGTACTACAGTTCAGGGTAATCAGACGCATTCCTTAACCTTGACTCCTTCCTGCTTACTAAGACTTTGATCAGGGACAGGCTTCATGCTGTCCACAGGGGGTCTCCGAAACTCAGAGTAACAGTTGGCTTACATCTTCAGTGATTCGTCTGCAAGGTGTATACGATTGTGCTTCTGGGGGAAAGCAGAGATGCCACTTTCTGTACTTACAATGGAGTTCACTTCAGTGCTAAAAGCACATCATAGCAGTTCTGCTTGTAATAAACTCCGAACTGGCAATCTGCCTTTGAGTTGAGCTGTTCTCCTCCAAGATAAGCTGTTAAGTCATGCCTTGACTTTAGAGCTCTCGGCCGGGCGGGCTAAGCATCCAGAGGTCCTGTGTGGCAGCCGGCTGGGAAAGCCACTCTCAGGTCCTTCCCACTGACGCCTGCCTCAGCGACTATGGTGGCGGCTATGGTGGCAGCGGCTGCGATCGATCCGAAGGGGCCCCTCCACGCACCACGCAGAGCAGAGGAGGGCGTGGTGTCTTGCAGGCCGGGGCGCAGGCGCTGGGTAGGTCAGGCCGGCGCTGGGTTCTTGTTCTTCTGGCATCTTGACGCTGGAGCTGGGCATCAGGGCTCAGGGTAGGGGACCTGGGGCGCGCCCCCGCGGCAGCACTCCTCCAGGCAGAGGCGAGTGGGCATGCAACCGGGCGGGCTCATGGCTGCCAGGAGCATGCCAGGAGCAGGAGGAGGGATCCTGTGAGAGACAAGCGGGGCTGGCTGTAGAGGCCGCCCCAAGTTAAGTAGTTTTTTTAACCCATCCCTCTCCCTCCACTCTCAAGTAGATCACAGAGTCTATTTTTCCCATACTGATGTCTCTGTGTGTTCAATGCTTAGCTCCCAATTATAAGTGAGAACATACAGCATTTAATTTTCTGATTCTGCATTAATTTGCTTAGGATCACAGCCTCCAGCTCCATCCCCATTGCTGTAAGAGAGTTGGTGTGCCCAGAGTAAAGCCCTCCATTTAAGCTCCCATTCACAACTACACTGACTCCACACAACTACACTGACTCCATTCACAACTACACTGAGGACAGACCTTATGGTGAAGGTGGGAACAGCCACTGCTGAAACCTCCATTGCTCAGTAAGCCTCCATGAACATTTCCATTTATCTCATTTGCTCCTGAGAGAGTGGTGCATTACATCATCTGCCCATTACTATCTGATCCTTGTTAGAGGTATCCTGGAGGGTCATATTTCTCTATGATACTCTGCTGGTGATTCTTCCACAGGCACATTTCAATGAAAACCATAAGAATGAGAGCAGCTCACCGGGCAGGAATGCCCTCCCCTCAGCTAGGCCCCTGTGGTCCAGCCCAGAGCAGCAGGAGTCAGGGCGCAGGAATCCTCTCCAACCAGTGCCAGGGCCCTGGAGTGGCTGCCTTCCTGACAGCTGTTCTTGGGGAAGTGCCAAGGAAAAAACCCAGGCCCAGGGCTTTTCAGCAGACTCAGGATTGGCTTTTGTTCTTTGTGGCCTTGGAATGCCAGCGGTTCCTGCTGTGGGCACAAACCACGGAACAGGGCCTATCCTCCCCAGCTCCTGGCAGTGCCCAGGGACCGTTGAAGGGACCAGGGACTCTGCAGGTTTGAGTGGGGCAAGGGAATGAGGTTGAGGCATAGAGAAGATTCAAGAGATCTAACTGGCCTTTTGCTTACCCCAGGAGGGCTTCTGGCACATTCTGAGTGGAGCAAACTTGGGTGCTTCACCCACTCCTTCATGGGGCTAGGCTCACTACAGGGCTGTGTCCTCCTGTGTCATGTTGTGGACCACACAGCGCCTGCCTTCCCTGCATCTGAAGGAGCAGCCTGGAGGGCTTAGGGGTCTGGAACCCCATTTTCCTCTCTATGCTTCAGTGGCTATCCTTGCTGCTTGTGGCCCCCACACCAGGGTGGACATACCATTACCCCGAGGGAATGCTAAGCATGGTATTTCCTTCTAACAACAACAGCTACTACTACTGTAATTTACTAAGTATTACTTAATGCCAGGAACTGTGGAGTGCCTTCTACACAGCCCCATTTATCTTTCACAACACCCAGTGAAGCCAGGGCTTTGAGGCAACTGTGCCGCAGAGGGTGCTCTGGGTCACCCATTTGCTGAGCAGCAGAACCAGGATCTGAACTCAGGTCCATCTAACACCTGAACCAGCATTCTCTTCACTACCCCATGGAGTAGCTCCAAGGCATGGACAACTGTAATAACTCCAAGGAAGCATTAGAATAAACTAGAAAATAAACTTAAAAACCGTGTCAGTGTTAGGGGCCACTAGTGGACTGTTGAGAAGAAGCTTGACCCCAGTAACGAGATGTATGATTTTTAGGCCCACAGAGTGGGTAGGTAACTGCAAGAATGTAAAGGAATCAAAGGCTGGTGTCATGGTGAATCCCATCGCTCTCCGACTGAACTCCTACTGGGCTTGCAAAGCACAGACACAGAACACACTTGTGGCAAGAATGAGTGAGTCATCCATTTACACATTTTCTAAACTTGTTTTAAAATTCTTTCTATTTTTAGGCCTACCATATTTTATGTCATGTAGCGTTTCCTTTTATTTGTTCCAAACACCACTCCTTTGAACCTCCTGGAGTGTGCTGTGTCTCTGGTAATTTCTGTCCACTTTGTCCACATTCCCTGCACTTTATAGATTTTGATCCCATCTGCTCTGAGATTTTATTTTTTAAGTAGAATCACTTGCTCCAGTGAAGATGGCCTAGAGTCTTGAGAGAATGATTTTTTTCCTATTTGGGGTCTGGTACCCTTTCTTCCATAATGCAGAGAGACCATAGGGCTCACACTGCTGGGCTGGGAATCTGGTGGCCAAAGCCAGAACCCTGGCACATTCTCATACTGGCTGTGTGACCTTGTGCCAATCACTCAACTTCTCTGAGCCAAAGTTTCTATGTCTGAAGACTGAGACTAATAATGGCACTTCTCTTGTACGATATTATGATGTTTAAGGCAGACAAAGTGTTTGGAGCACAGTGAGTGCTCAATAAATGTTAGTGGCTGAAAGTCAAACTAGCCACAAGAAAGATGGCAGAGAAGCATTGCTCATGGACCTTGGTGAGGTGTCACTGTCATTATACCAGGTATACCGAGAGACAGAGAGAGGTCCCAAAAATGGCAGTGGGGCAAGGCGGCTGGGGAGAAGGAGCAATGAGGACAAACTGAGGAGGTGGTCTCTCAGGTGTGAGTGACCTTATTCCTCCCTTCCATCCTAGATCTGACTGTGCACTCTCTGGGGCTCAGGAGTCTTCTCTTACGGCATCCAAGACTACAGTCACAGACTAGAGCCTACTCCAGCAGCTCAATGGGCTGCCAAGTTCTACTGTCTGAGAACTCTCTGAGTTCTGAGAGAGTGTTCCATGCTACCAGGGACCTGTGACTCTGGAGAGCAGAATCCAGAATAGAAGATACCATTCCCATGGCTTCCAGAGCCATGGCGTCCCAGGCTCAGTTTCTCCATGAACCCAGGAGTTGGAGGTTGCAGTGAGCCAAGATAGTGTACTCCACAAAAAAAGATTGTTCTGTAATGAACTGTATGTATAAATATTTTCCTGGAGAGATGAGAAGTGACAAATGGAACTGTGGGAGTACAGGTTGGGCACCTTTAGAATGAATATGGACAAGTTAGCTTCCCATAAACCTAGTCTGTCTTGTCTTTTTGCAGCTTTTGAATATCCCTTTAAAGACTAAAGGTAAGCAGGTAGGGAAGCGTAAGAAGGGAGTACCTGGAGAGATTCCCCAGTCCAGGGCCATTGCCATTTTCCAGGCAGTGACCAAGGTGTACAGAAGCTTAGGATGCACGTCCTGACTGGGTAATGCTCCTGATCCTGAAAGCAGCCTTGACTGCCCACAGGTAACCAGGAAATAAAGAGAGGGTACACGCTGACCCCCTGAGATCCTCGAGCCACTTTGACAAGTCAAATTAGGTGACTGAGTTCAGTCTTATGGTCTCTTGTTCAGGATTCAAGAGATAGCTGTACTGCCATGTTTGAAACTTAGTCTCTCCATTCTAGAGCCCAAGGAGTTGTGAGTTGTGGAAAGCACCCTGGACTCAAAGTCAGAGAGACCTGGGTTCGTGATACCGCTCTGCTCTGAGCATTGACCTCAAATTCTCGGGTTTCTCACACTTAGTAAAACTATACATGTAACAGCCACATCTTATTAGCAGGGTGACGTGAAAATGACTTGTAAACTATTAAGAAATGGAGAAAAGTAAGGGATGAGGCAATTATGATGATCAATATAATGCCATGGTTCCCTCACCAGGACAGCCCTTTCTATTTTCGATCTCCTCCCCTTTGACGTATTTAGCTGTACAAGCATTTACTGAGCATCTACTAAGTGCTGGACTATCTGCTAGGGCCTGGGAACACAGTGGCGACTGAAACAAGAACCATGTCCTCATGGAACCAATAAACAGGTCCTGGTAGGGAGGTATGCTTCGTGCTGTAATGTGGCTAGAGTGTAGAGGTGGAGGTGTGGGGAGCAGTGAGGGTAACCCACAGAGTCTTGGCTGTCCAGAAAAAGAGACCTCTAAGCAGAGACTAGAAAGAAAAGTTGGAATCCACCAGGCAAATGTGAGAATGTGAAGGGTAAAGGTGGAATGTTTTGGTACTGGCAGAAAAAGGTCCAGAATCCAGACAGGGCCAGGTACATTTAGGGAACTAAGTTCAGTGTAGTGGGAAATAAAGTACAGTAATAGAGTGCATGTTGTGTGTGTGTGTGTGTGTGTGTGTGTGTTATCTGTAGTGAGAGCTGAGAGATGGGTCTGGGAAAGTGTGCTGGGTTAGATCACAAAAATCTTTGTAGGCATGTTGCGAAATGTGGACTTTATACTAAAAAGCAAAGGGATCTTAGTTGGGGAAAGTGAAGGAACAGACATGTTTTGGAAAGCTTTTTCTGGCTACAGTGTGGCGAATGGATTGCAGGAGGCCAGGTTGTAGGCAGGGTGGGGTGTTGGTGGGGCACTGTGTTCCCATAATTCTAAGGGATGATGGCAGCCCTGAGGATAGAGGGAAGTGGTGATGGGGATGGGTGGGGAAATATTGTCATAGTCAGCTTTCGACTCTCAATTCTATCTTTGACTGCTGGTGATGGGCTGCAGCCCTGTGAAGACCAGAATGAGTGTAAGCCCCATCCTATCTTCCCATGTCCTTTGGTGAGCTTCAGCTTCCCCAAGCCCAGTAGTCACTGCAAGCAGATATGGCTCCTCCCACCTCAAAATCTTCCAGTGGCCCAGGGGAAGTTTCTGTCTGATGACAGTCAGATCAGAGAAGTGAGGAGGGGATGCTGGTCTAGGACCAATACTGCCATAGATGGGCTGATGAGATGCTTGAGCCCTCACCTCCAAGTCTTGGCTCCAAGATAGCTTCTCAGGGAACTCTTCTCCAATCCCCCTATTGCAAACCAACGCTGCCTCCCCCACCACGCCGCCACCGGCTTTATCCCTTTCACTCTGCTTTATTTCTCTTCACCATTTGACATATTGTCTACTTCACTTATTTATTTATCATCTGTCTCTCCCCAGTAGAAGGTAAGTTACATGAGGGCAGGAATTCTTGGTAGTTTTGCTTACTGCTGTATCCCCAGTGCCTAGAACAGTGTCTGGCACAGAGACAATGCTCAGTAAAAGCTTGTGCTTACATGAGTGTTCGATGGAATGACTGAGTGGCAAGGGTTACACAATGGCCTCATTGTGATGGTGTGGTGCTGGGTGCTGGGCACACAGCAGTTAATAAGATAAACACTGGACTGAAGTCTTAGCTGTGCCTGCCGCTCTTTGGTTCTTGGCAGCTAGTGGCAGAAGCAGAAACTCAGTAGCCTTTTATTGTTTACCTGGGCATGCTGCCTGCCTCTCTCTTTTTTCTGGATAGCTGAGGACCCTCTGAGTAGAATATGGGTGAGAATTGGGCACAGGCCATGGGCAGGGTCAGGGAGTGACCTTCCCCAGATCCCAAGGGCAGTGGGAGACAGCCAGGCCGCTCTCCTCCTCGTCGGCACTCAGTCTCACCACCGAAGGCTCCAAATCTCTGGGCAAAGGTTATAGCACCTGCTGCCCAGGGAACATGTGACCACTTGAGCGCTGCTGGGTTGGAACAATCCACACAATCACGCCATTGTACTAAACATGCAGGTCTCCTTGCCAAGCCACACCTCATTCCAGCACTGCCAGACCCTTTTGGGGCCCTGATTTACAGGTGCCCCAAAGGGGGAGGTATTGTTCTAATGGCCCTGGGGGAGGATGAGGTCAATTCTGTGGGGCTCACTTACTCTGGCCTGCGCTGAGATCCAGGGAGAAGTAGATGGGAGAAGGAGTAAATAACCGCGTTCTAGCTTCAGGCCCTATGAGGAGTGGTAGACAAGATCATTACTGTTTGACTCCTGATGACATTGGCATTGACTATTGTCCTCCAACATTTGCTTTGCTTGGTGAAGACTGTTGAGCACTTGCTGATTTTTCAGAAGTCCAAAAGGTTCCCTTCTGTCATGACTGGGTCCAGAAATTCCCATCAAGTCACTATCCATTCTTGAAGATCTTCCTTCCCAGAACTGGTTCTCAGCAGACCATTAGACAAGGATTTGGTGCTACTGAACTCTTGGTCTGTACAAGATTGTGTTTGTTATTGTCCTTCTAGGAGCAAGGAGTTCTACAGGGCTTTGTACCCTGTTGACACTCAGGCCAAGGTCACTGGTAGGTTTCACTCCACAGGACCATTCAGTGACTGCAAGGAAGTCCCTGCTTAGGCTGTTTATTTTTTTCATTATTAGTAACCGCACAGGAGATGGCATGATGAGGTAGAATCCAATTTGAATAAAGCAACCTTTTTTTTGAGACAGGGTCTCATTCTGTCACCCAGGCTGGAGTGCAGTGGTTTGATCACAGCTCACTGCAGTCTGAAGCCTCAACCTCCTGGGCTCAGGCAATCTGTCTGTCTTAGCCTCCTGAGTATCTGGGATCACTGGCGTACACCACCATACCCAGCAAATTTATTTTATTTTATTTTATTTTAGTAGAAATCAGTCCCGTCATGTTGCCCAGGCTGATCTCGAACTCCTGGGCTCAAGCCATCCTCCTGCCTTGGTCTCCCAAGTTGCTGGGATTACAGGTGTGAGCCACTGTGCCTGGTGTCCACAGGAACCTTGGTTCTAAAAGGCAAGTGAATAAGGATATACCTTTGCTTGGCACATTGCAAGATACTTGAGTGCCTGGCATGTAGTGAGTGCTAAAAAAAGGTGAATCTGAATCAAGAAGCTTAAAGCCAACCAGGGCCATTTTGGGTTCTGGATATTAGTTACAGGTTCAGAGATATCAGTTCTGCTTTATCCCCAATCCTCATCATACCTTTCCACAAAGAGAGAGGAAGAGACTGCGCCAGCACTCACCCTTTCCCATCTTCACTTGCAGAAAAGACCCTGGTTTAGAGGTCAGGACCCAGGCATCTGAGATGCCTTTGCCCCTGACCCTGGCTCTTGGGGGCCAGCAGGTGGTCCCTGTGTCCCATGTTTTGTCTCTCCAGAGTCATCCTCCAGGGGAACACACACACCCTGACCATGGGAAGGGAGGTCTGGCTAAAGGAGGAGGCCACTGCAATGACTGAACACCTACTTTATGAGCAAGCACCAACTATGTGTCAGATGCTGTCCAAAGCGTGGCGTGTCCAACATTTTCACCATTCTTGGTGCCTTATCTCTAAGGAAAAAGGTCTGCAACCTTGAACTTCTGAGTTGGACTGTCTTGGAGACTCCTCTATGCAAGTTACTGTGGGACCTTAACAGGTGATTTAGCCCTTCTGAACCCCCAGTGACCTCACCTGTGGAATGGGGATCATGAGAACACCTTCATTTCAGGAGTTGTGTGAGGATTAAATGAGATGATGAAGCGCATGGCACAGGGCTTGTTAAGAGCTCTGCAAATTTTAGTCATGCCGGTGATGATGAAGAAGAAATGCGAGTGCTCTAAAGGCTCCCCAAGGTGTTATCCTTGGCTTCACTGCTGCCTAGAATTTGCAGCAGGGCAGCAAGAAGGCCCTGATGCTGGCAGTCCTGGGAAGCCTGAGTGTTTCTCACTTGCCTAGTGGCCTGGGGACAATCACTTTCTCCTTCCGCACCTTCAGATCGGGGTCTGAGGGTTGAGTCCCCAGGGCTCTGGGTCAGAGACACAATGTCAGAGTTGTTCCAAAGGACAGAAAGTCCCCTCTCCTCCAGGCGCCCAAGCCTCACCCTTAACTCCTCTGGGTCAGGCCACCTCCTGTCCCCTCTGCCTGCTGAAGGTGGGAGGAGTAGGGAGGAGGGGTGGGGTAGCAGAGGAGAAGGGCCCTGGAGGAATGGCGAGCCCCTCCAGGGCCAGGGTGTCTCTCCCCATCCCCGCCCAGAGCACAGCGGACTTTCTCTAGTTCACTCCTCCCAGCGGCTGGGTCTCCAGGTGCCTTCCTTTAATTAAAAGTATTTAGCCTTCCGCTACACTGGCCTTCATTTGTATGGGATCCTTCTTTTTATGCAGCCTCAGTATCAGAACGAGCCAGGAGGTTAACGGAGCGTCGTCCTGCAGCGTCCCGGGACACCAGGGCCCAGCGCGCGCTCTGCTTCCCCGCGCTGCCCTGTGGGATTCCGCAGGTGGCGGCCCTCACAGGTCGGGAGCTGTCAGGTTTCCAGCCCCTCCGCCCCGCAGGGCTGGGCCTCCAGGCGCCAGGAGAGGCGCAGCAGGTTCCCCATCCCCCCCGGCAAAGCGCATTCACAGCCCGCCTCTCCGTGGGCTGAATGAAGGAGGAAGACAGCTGTTTTCTGATCACCTACGTGTGCCAGACACTGGACTGAGTTCCGTGGGTATTCCAGGGAAGGACAGTCACAACTCCTGCCTGGAACTCATAGCTCCTCAGGAGGAATCTGTCTTGGTGACTACACAAAGAACTATGACATCAGGTAGCAGGTGGTTAAAAACTGCAGGAATGTTTCACCCGAAGTGGCACTGATTATTAGAGAAAAGCAGGACACGAACTGTCAGCGGCAGATCCTTACGAATGTTTTTTGTTTGTTTTCTCAGATGAACATTCTGATGCTTAAGATAATCAGGCAAATTCACCAAGGCCATGTAGATGGTGACAGGCGGGCCTGGGGTTTAAACCCCAGCCAGCTGGTCTCCCAGGTCCATCGTTTCCCATTCAGGAGAGGAAGCTGACTGCTTGAGACCAGACTCCTTTCCCTCCACGTACTTGTGCTCTGATGGAGGCTCAGACACAGACCTGGGAGACTCCAGATCATGGCGTTTGTTTCTGACTCCAGTCGCCTCTGTCTCATGGTTCTGGCTTCCTCAACCTACCTGAGGTTTTGTCTGTAAACTGCTCCTGGCCTGCTCACTGTCCCACTCCAGTCCCTCTCCATCCCCAGGCCAACATCCACCCCTTCCAGCTGCCCCAGGGTCTTAGGAGCCAAGGGACAAGAGCAGGAAGGAGGCCTGATTCTTACAGATAAGGAAAGGGAGATGCAGGACGGGCTTCTCCAGTTCTGCTTAAGTTTTTACTCGTTATCCCAGACTGACTCAGGAGTCCCACCCCCTCCCCCTCACTTCTGCAAGCTAGTTCGGATGGTCCTTTCCTACAAATTTCTCTTCCTTGGACTAGGAGACAGGCATCATGGGGGTGGGGGGTGGTAATGGGAGTTGCTGTGTTTCATTTCCATGCAGAGTGTCTGATGCAGAGTAGACAACCAATACATAGTGAATGAATGAATGCATGGGTCATAGATTGGGCTCAGAAGTAGATGTAGACGCCCATGTAAAAGACAGAGGAGGAAACAATGTGGACGAAAAGGTGGAAGGGGTGTGGAATCCCTTAGCCACCAGCATTCTGTAGTCTTCCAAAGAGTACACACCAGGGGTCATGCCACAGCCCCTCCCATGATACTCCCGAGGAAAGCAGGCAACATTTCCTTTCACTTTGCTCTGTGGAGCCTCTGGAACTGGGAGCCTAATGGATCACCATTGCTGTCTGGAGTCAGCCCAGAAAGACAGTCAGTTAATACTATTCTAGGTTCAGTGTAGACCTAGGTCCAGGGACAAGAAAGGGAATGATGAGCTTAGGATTTATTTTAGAGGTGTGCTTTCAGCACGTTTTTAGTCACTCCTTCCCCTTCCCTGCCCGCTGGTGAAGGACCTAGAAGATAAAAGTGTTTCATTAGCACTTTCTCAGCCATGCACCCAGAGTGGGTTGAGCTCTCCTGTCTCACATCTCCTTTGCCACGGGTGCTGTGCTGAGTTGGGGGAAGGCAGAGAGACTGCTTGAAATAATGGCAGCATTCGTATCCCAGAGTAATTTAATAGCATTATCTCATATCATTTTCATGAGCAGTTGATAAGGTTACTGTTGATCTGTTTTACGGATGAGCAAAGTGAAGCTCTGATGAGCTAAACACCATACTCAAGGTCAGGTCATTTAATGACTGTGTGCAGAAATCAGGACTTGGACCCAGGCCTTCCAATTCCAGAGTCTGTCTCTGGGACTAGGGAACACCATCAGGAAGGGAACTGGAATCTGGACAAGATCCTTGAATCCCCAGGCTTTGCCCAGGAAAAGTGGAATCTTCATGAAGAGGTCACTTGGAAGAATAAGACAAGCATCTTGATTGAAATGACACTCAATAGGTCAGGTCTCTTCTCTATTTCAGGCACTATGACTTTAGAGATGTGTTAAAACACAAATATTTTTGTTGGGAGTAGTGTGATGATATTAAGCCAAAGGCTCAGCAGAGTTATTAGCAGACACTGGACCATTCAATGAGCTTGCCATCACTCAGAAACCAGAGAGCAAGACCGTCAGGGAATAGATCTTTAGGTGCAATTTGATGGAGATGCAGGCAGGCTGGGAATGGGAAGGGGATGAGGACAAGTATCTGAGCAGTGAGCTCTGTGAGTGGTGGGATTCGGAAGGCTGCAAGGAGGGCATTCTTAGAAGCTCTCTGAGGCCAGAACCTGGGACTGCCTTATCCTCTCTGTGTCCCCACTGACCTACACAGCTCCTGGTACACGTAGGTTCTCAATATTGAGAAGCAGTAAGTAGTAATTGAGTGTTCCAAGAAGAAATAGTTGAGAGAGAAGGTATGGAAGTAGGAGAGCAGACTGGAAGGCAGCTTTCATGTAGGTGAATTTCACTTTAGGGTTGGAGCCGTGTGAGAGGGAGTGAGGTGGTGTGAACATGTCAGTGTGAGCTGAAGCTCCAGTTTTCTCATAGTGCTTTCTTCACCCCAAAACGGACATTTCCAAAAAATTTTTAAAAGGTTTTGTTGATTTTATTGTTGAATATAAAATTGGGCTGACCCTGGAGTGGGCTGTGATAGGGGTGGGAAAGCTGCTGGGCTTAATGGAGTGCAGACAGGTCCTCAACTGATTTAGGTGAAAAGAAAGGTCTTGATGGGTCTAGAGGCCCAAGGAATAAATACCAACCCTGCACAAGGGAGGCTTGTTTCCACCCAATGCAGACATAATAGCACAAGCAGTGCCAAAGGTCTTCTGGAAATTGTATTCTATTCACTGACATTCTTTAGTTGAAAAAATGGCAAACAATTAGGCCCGATTAGGCAAAAAATATAGGAGATGGGTTATAGAGATGCAGAGATGGGTTATGGAACCCAAGGTCAATGATGCAGCTGAGTTTCAGAAATGACAAGAACTAGGACCCAGAAGGTCACTCACTGGGCTGCTGACCATCTGTTTCCCTCCCTCCCTCCCTCCCTCTCTCTCTCTTTCTTTCTTTCTCTCTCTTTCTCTCTCTCTCTCCATCTCTTCCGCCTCCTCCCCCCTCTGTTTCTATTGGAGCATTGGCTTCTCTTTCTGTATCTCTGCAGGGAAGTTCTCTTTTCCATCAGGCAAAAGGCAGGTCCTGAGATTACTCATTAGATCCTCATGAAGAGAGTGACCACTCCTCTTTCATCAAAGAGAATCTCCTCATCCCAGCCTGTGTTGCTTGACACCCTGGTCCAGTCCACTCTCACTGAGGCTATTGGGGGTTCATTTTTGTGAATAAAGATTGCAGTTCTCAGAGAATAGGAAGTCAAGATCTTTTGGGCTGCTTAGACATCTCGAAGATACTCATTGAGGGTGCTTTCTCAGATGGCTTGGGAGTTTTCTAAATATCTATTTGTCATAATTTCCTATCCAGTGTGCTGGGACTGACTGAAAGGTTGTTATATTCTTAGGTGGGACCAATAGGAAAAGCACATCCAAGATAAAAGTGCTATATTTCCTCTATACTTCTTTGAGTTGCACCACACTTGGGTTAATAGCTCCATTCTAACCATTACCTACAAAGAAGGAGACTGAGAAAGAGAAACAGAGAGGACTAGGAACCATGAGAACAGTGTATACCATGCCCACTGAGGATGAATTACAGGAACAAAGGATATTTTGCCTAAAAAATAGAAGACTGAGGGTGAAATAAAAGTCCTTTTTAGAAAACTAGACAGTGGTTATGAGGAGAGAGAATCCATAGGCTTGGTGAGCAATGTGTGAACATCGTGGACAAGTCAGTTTTGCTTAAGTCCGAGTAGCACGTTTGAGGCAGTTGATCTGCCCACACTGTAATGGGCATTGCCTTAGGAGGGAGTTAATGGCCTATTGCTATGCTACAAGTCTTCTTTAAAAAAAAAATTCAATAGGTTTTTGGGGAACAGGTGGTGTTTGGTTACATGAATAAGTTCTTTAGTGGTGATTTCTGAGATTCTGGTGCCCCCATTACCCAAGGAGTGTACACTGTACCCATTGTGTAGTCTTATCCCTCACCCCTCCTCCCACCCTTTCCCCCGAGTCCCAAGGTCCATTGTATCATTCCTATGCCTTAGCATCCTCATAGCTTAGTTTCCACTTATGAGTGAGAACATATGATGTTTGCTTTTTTATTCCTGAGATACTTCACTTAGAATAATGATCTCCAGTTCTATCCAGGTTGCTGCGAATGCCATTATTTCATTCCTTTTTATGGCTGAGTAGTATTCTATGGTATATACATACACCACAATTTGCTAAGAGTCTTCTTTAAGAGGAGGGTTGATGCTGAGGATGCTAAGCAGAGGAGACTTTGGGGTTGGGGATTTCCAAACCTGATTGATCATGAAATTGGCTAGAGGAGTTTAAAAAATCATAGACTCTTGAGTTGGGGTGGGGAAGAGTCTCCCACAGGTGATTCTAATGGTCATCTGGACTTGGAAACCATTGAATCAGAAGACCTTTAAGGTATGTTCAAATTCGAAATTTTGACAGACTTATCTACAACAAGTGTGGCCCCCAGACTAGCAGCATCAGCATTATCTGGAAACTTACTTGAAATTCCAGTTCTTCAACCCCACCTAAGACCTACTGAATCACAAACTCTAGGGGTGGATTCTAGCTATCTGTGTATTGCTAAATACACAGGTGATTCTGATGCCTGCTCAAATCTGAGCACCACCAATCTTCAGTATTTATTAGTCATTCTATTTTTATTCTATATATTGGAGTCATGAATTCCATTGCATTTACCACCTAATATGTTGTAGCCAGCCTTAAAGGTGGCCACTAGAGAATCCCAAAGGCAAAGCATTCCCTGCCTCCCACTATTTAGGCCCTTGTGTATTTCTTTCTCACATGTTATCAGAGTTAGTCTATACGACCAGTAGAGTACAGCAGATTGATGGTATATCAATCCTGAGTCTAGATTTTGACAGACAAGGCTTCTGTCCTGCTCTTTCTTGGATCACATGTCCACTACTATGTCATGAGAACACTCAGGTATCCCCATGGAGAAGCCCATGTGGAGAGAAACTGAAGCTTCCTGCCAACAGCCATTAGGAACCCAAGGCCTCCAGTCAGAAATTAGGCGACATTGTGGATGTGGATCCTTCAGCCTCAGTCAAGATTTCATATGACTGTAGGACTGGTTGACAGCTTGACTGTAACCTCATGAAAAACCCTGAGCCAGAATCACCCAGCTGTGCAGCTCTTGGATTGCTGACCCTCAGGAATAGATGTCTGAGATAATAAATATTTGTTGTTCTAAACTTCTAAGTTTTGGGTAATTTGTTACATGGCAATAGAGAACTAACACTAAACTCTTATTCTCACATCTGCTCTGATAAATTCCACTCTTGGTCATATAGGTGTTCTGACAGGAGACTCCTCAGAGAATATTTTCACAGCTAGAGAATAAAGTGAAATTTCTTCTTCTTTTTTTTTAAACCGACTTCATTTGAGCCATAAATCTGCCTCTAGCACTGACACTGAAATTTGGTGACACATTGATTCATTCTTGGCATTTTAAATGTGTCTATGATAAAATCCCCTCAGGGAATCCTTTCAGAACCCAGTTGGGAGATATCAGGGGCACTCTTTTAGGTCCAGTAGATGCTTTATTCTGCTTTGGCTGGACATTCTGGCTGGGACAATGCGTCAGCCTGAGGGAGAGGTCACATGGCCTTTTCTAGAGACAAGTCAGAAAGAATGGCAGTTGCAGGGGATGGGGAGTAGTAGTTCAGGCCGGTGATACTTCCCTTCCTGTAAAAGAAACAGAGAGAGAGGCTAATTGGGTCTTAGTCTTTGCATTTTGTATATGTATATGTATGTGCATGCATGTGGGTTGTTCTTTCCATTTACCATCTTGGAAGTCTTCAAAGAATTAGCGTCCACGACCACTGGTCAAACATTATACCTTTTGTTCGTTGCTTTCCCCCTGGTTGGTATTTTCTTGTATGAAAAGGGAGCTACAGAGGAGGGATCACAGAACTGGAGAGAGGGGCAGCAAACATTCTGAGTCTCTGAGGACCAAGGCTAGTCCATGAGAAGCTGGCCTGGGTCTGTGAAGGAGGCCTCAGGTCTCAGCTCTTAAGATTTTCTTCTGGGATTCCAAGACAGTGTCCTCTGCTGCTTCTTTCCACTGGCTGGACTCTGCCTGTCATTCAGGCAGGAGCCACCAGGTGGAGAAATGTGTAGATGACATCCTGGGGACACACACACACACACACACACACACACACACAGAGGTTCATTCACAACAAACATTGTACATTTATGAAAGTTAGTTACCATTAATTCTCTCCCGGCCTTTGTTGTCTCATCTTTAAAGTGAAAAGGTTAAGGAAAGTGTTGTGTAATGTCTGTTCTGAATTTCTAGGATTCTATAGTATTGCAGTAATAACAAGGCTTCTTTTACTTTTTAAAAACATATTGCAGGTCCTTAAGGTTATGGGGTCATAGCCATGTTCCCCATTCCTTCCTTTCCCATAGTTTACTTGAGATCTCTCTGAACATCACCTACCACTCAAAGTCAGTTTCCTCAACTTCTTTTTATTTTAAAAATGTCTCTATATTTTCACTTACCTGTTTTTCTTTTTTTATCTCTCTCTTAATTTTGGACACAAACTTTGTGTGCTTTCTTGGATTTCCTCAACTGCCTCTATTTTCTCTCGTTAGGTGCCCAGACAATTCTGAGTTTTCCCTCCTTTTCCAGGCTGGATCACACCATGGGATTTGGTGTTGTGGTGAATGGGGACTGGATGATGCAATCCAGAAGCCCAGGGGGATTTGCTCACTGTTGGGTAAATCTTGATTGGTGGGAAATGGGAGACTGGAGGAAGATGGTCAGATAAATCCTCCTCCTCCTTCCTGCAAATACTTTAAGGTATGATTTCTCCTTGCAAATCCTACAGAGAAGCCCAGCATGTCAAGCAAGCATGTCTCATGAGTGACCTGCTGTATGTCTGTGATGGTTAATTTTATGTATCAACTTGATTAGACCATGGGGTGCCCAGGTGTCTGGCTAAACATTATTTCTCAGGTGTTTCTGTGGGTGTGTTTCTGGATGAGATATGCATTTGAATCAGCTGACTGAATAAAGTAGATTGCCCTCCCTAATGTAGAAGTTCCAATCAATTGAGGGCCTGAATAGAACAAAAAGGCAGAGGAAAAGTGAATTTGCCCTCTGTCTAACTGCTTGAGCTGGGACATCAGTCTTCTACCTTTGAACTGGAACTTACAGCATTGGAATTCCTAGTGGTCAGGCCTTTGGGCTTGGACTGTAGAACTGTATTGCTGGCTTTCCCGGTTCTCCAGCTTGCAGATGGCAGATCTTGGGAATTCTCAGCTCCATAATCACATGAACTAACTCCTTATAATAAATCTGTCTCTCAATGTGTCTCTCTCTGTGCCCCTGCCCCCACTCTGTTCCTCTCTCTCTCTCTCCATGTATAGATATATAGGTCTGTATGTGAGAGATCTATCTCTATATCTATGTATATATCTCTATCTCTACGTTGTATTAATTCTGTTTCTCTGGAGAACTCTGACTAATACAGCATCTTTGCAGCTTGGTGTGAAGTTGCCACTAGGATAGCAATGCGTTTCATCACAGGGCCTTCCATCTGCTTCCATTTATTCCTCACTTTCATTGTCCTGAACTTGCACCCTTCCCCCACATAAAATGTCAGCACTTCAATCCTTGCCTCAGGCTCTACTTTCTATAGGATCTAGGCCAAGACACCTCACCCAGGATGACAAAGTGTCCCTCACCTTTTTAGGCCAATTATGCCACTTGAGTTCTCCTTTTAATCTTTTTCTTCCTCCTCCATATTTTATTAACCATCCTTCCATTGTTTTGAATCTTCAACTTCTCTCTCTCTCTGTCTCTAGATTCTTTCCTCTTAGTCTGTAAACATTCTCAAGTATGTCCATGAAAAGCAAACATTCTCTTTATTAAAAGCATTTAACTCCATCTCTTCATGAACACATTTCTTATAAAAGTGCCCTTACTGCCTCTATTAGTTTTCTAGGGGTGCCATAACTAAGTCCCACAAATTGGGTTGCTTCAGACAACAGGAATTCATTCTCTTGCAATCTTGGAGACCTGGCTTACAAAATCAAGATGTAGCAGGGCCTTGCTCCCTCTGAAGGCTCTAGGGGAGGATACTTCTTTGTCTATTCCAGCTTTTGGTAACCCAGGAGTTCCTTGACTTGTGGCTGCATCACTTCAGCCTCCATCTCCATCTTCTGTCTTCTCTCTGTATGTCTGTGTCTTCACTTGGCATCTTTCTCTCTCTTACAAGGACACAAGTCATACTGGCTTAAGGACCAATCCTAATGACCTCATCTTAACTTGATTACACCTGCAAAGACTTTATTTTCAAATAAGATTCTATTTCTAGGTACTGGGATGAGAATTTTGACATATTTTTGGTGTGTATGATTTAACCCATAAGACCGCCTTAATGTCCTTACTGCTAATTCCTTGGCTTTGTGTAGTTAGGTTTCATTCCACAGGTTTCTCCTTGTATGGTTCCCATGAAGCTCATCAATGCCAAGCTCGATGGCTTTTACTCATTCCCCATCTTTGTGAGTGTCCTGCAGTGTTTGTCATGAATGCCTTTTCCCTCCTTCCTGAAGCTCTCTACTAACCTCACATCCCGGTTACTGTGCACACCTGTGGCTCTTCCTGTCTTTCAGATTACTCCACGTATGCCCTCTTCTCTGACTTTTTCTTCATTCCCCATCTCCAATTCAAGGTTCATTTTTAATGTTGGGGCCTTGGTCACATTCTCTTCTTTCAATACACTATTCTCTGGCCTCCTCCCAACCTTCATGCATCAGTGCTCTCTTCTAAGTAGGGAACAGATATATCTCTCTGGCCTGTTTCCTGAGCTCAGGGCAAGTATTGCCACCAAACAGCCTCAAAAACAATATATCCCCATGTATCCCAAGTACAAGACATCCTCTTTCCTTACACACACACACACACACACAACCACCCCCAACCCCATACTACCATCTATCCATTTTCTATTTTGCCTGTATCTATGTCAGTCTTTGTGATACTGCTCAGAGACTTCTACAGGTACTTGTGGTACTTTGAATGTGGATAGGCCCCTGAAGGAGTAGGTGAGATTAATCCAGTGAATTGTGGCTTATTGCCATTATTGTGACCCAATCTTTAGATTCACCCTATTGAGGCCTAGAGAAGTTTGATCTACACTCGATTCTATCGTCTGAGATACTCAAAGCAGCACCAGAACAAGCATACATATGCAGACAACTTAGGGGTATTTGTTTTGTGGACTGCATATTTGTATACTCCCAAATGTATGTTGAAACCCTAACTACCAGTGGGGTGGTATTTGGAGATGGGGCCTTTGGGAGGCTATTGGGTCATGGGGATGGAGCCCTCATGATGGGATTAGTGCCCTTATAAGATAAAATATGAAACTGCTTGCTTCCTCTCATTCTCATTCTTTCTCTGTCTCTCTCTCTGCCATGTGATGACACAGCAAGAAGATGGCCACCTCCAAGCCAGGAAGAGGGCCCTCATCATGCTCCTGACCATGGTTGTTCCCTTCAGCAGCATGTGAAATAGACGTTTGTTGTTTAAGCCACCCAGTCTATAGTATTTTTGTTATAGAAGCCTGAACTGACTTGACAATTAGGTAGCTCCAGGCCTAGTTTTAGATCAAATGAGGCCGAAGGGCATCCTTGGATATCTTTTCTCTCATAGGTAAATATGTGATCTTTACATTAATTCTGCATTTTTTTCCCCAAAGCCTCTGGTAGAGAGCCTCCCAAATAGCCAGCTTCCTGTAAATGTAGCTGAATGGTGGAATTTGCCTGGCTGCTTCTCTTAGTCAGGAAGCCTGAAAAACTGGCACTAGAGGATCTGTAAATGGGAAGCTGCTGCAGCTTCCTGCAACTCAGCTCCCAGATCCTTCATTCCCTGCCTAGCCAGATAGCATCCTAAGGGTGATGTTTAGGATTCAGCATTAAGGTCAACTCAGGGATGAGCTGCTTTGAATCCTTCATTTCATTGATGGAGGCAGATGTTCTGAGACATTAAGGAACATCCCTATAGTCCCCCAAGGTCTTCTTATATGGCACCTGCCTTTATTTACTTTCTTTTTAGAAAAGATTGCATCATTCTTAGATGGCCATTCCTGGGATGGGCAGAGGGGGCACTCTGTGTGCCCCTTGCCTGCAGTGTGTTGGTGGGAGATACAGTCCCATGGCACATTTTCATCCTGTGACTTTCACCCACAGCTCTGTGGAAATGCTGCCTGGAAGAAAAGCATATCAGGGTACCTTTGGAGAGGTTGTCCTGGGTGGATCCTTAGGGTCTAGAGGTCTCAGCAGAGAGACGAGGGAAAGAAGGAGTGTTCAGGGGTAGTTATGTATTGGGAAATCCAAGCCTTTGTGTGGGTATCTCCTAGTTCATATGGAACCCAAGAATTCTCAACTATTCTCGAGGACTCTGCTTGGACCTTGTAAGGATCCGTGCCTTCCTGGATAGCTGAAACTCGGTGTCAGTCACATTTTCAACAGCTTTTATTGGGTACCCGCCTCTGCGTCTTGTATTGTCATAGCAGTTTACACACAGCAAGCCAGACCAGGAGTGAAGAATTCATGTCATTTGTTATTTTCTTTTATTTGTGAATATGTGTGGGGTTGGGAGACTGGGTGCTAGACATGAGCTGAGGTCCAGGCTAGGCACAGGGAGCTGACAGCTGCAGGACATGCTAATTGGTCTGGGAAGGCCTTTGGAATCTAGGGAATTGGCTTTCTGAGCTGAGGCGGGGTCCAGGCAAGGAGGCAACAGGCTGCAGGAATCACAAAGGGACCGGGGACCTCCATGTACCCAATATCTAGGTCTCATCAGTCGGAGAAACATTCTCAGCTCTTGGTGACCTTGTCCTCCCTCAACACGGTACTCACTGCATATGGACTCATTTGACAATTGCCACAAAGGCTTTGGCCTCAGAGGCACTTTAAGGATATAACAGTAGGAAAGGGAGGCTTGGGGAGCCAGAGAGTCACCCACACAAAGCCCCACACGTGTTCCTAGCAGAACCAGGATACACACCCAGGCTTCCTGAGGCCACATGTCCTCCCTGTGGCTGCCTGGTCATTCCCCTTCACCTAGCAGCTGTCTTGCTCCCATGTAGAACAGCAGGGCCCAGCGGCCACCTGCACCTCGCCATTTCCTCCAGCTCTGTGCTAGAAATGATGCAAGCAGGAAAATCATTTGCTTGTGGACCTACTATGTGTCAGGCACCTGCTGAACAGTAGCATTTGATGCTCTCGACGGCCTTAACAGGTCGGCACTGATCTGTTGATGCTGCAGTCGAGGAGCTTTAGCTTAGAGAGGTTAAATAGCATCCTCAAAGTCACCCAGGTCATGCTCTGCTTCTGGAGGGGCTGGGATGCAGCATGGGAGTGTGACCTCCTGCGCACGGACTGCACGGGCCGCCTCGCAGCCGGCATGGTGAGGTGAGATGAGTTGAGGTAAGCTCGCAGCTCCTTGGTGCCAGCCCTTCCACAACCAGAGCTGGGCGGCAGCAGGCTCTTCCCCAGCTTACCTGGGCAAGAGAGTGAGGACTGCACGGCTGGCGAGTGATACATGGAGAGTGTTGCCGCCTGCCTGACAGGCAGAAGATAAACAGCTCCCCGTTAAATCTCGCTTAATGCTGATATTTATAAATTTATTCAGCTTGTGTTTACCGAATCAAGAGAATGCCTAATAACATAACATGCTTCATCTCACATGTTCCTACTAATGAGAATGCAAGTATTGCTTTTTTTTTTTTTTTAACATTTCATTTGCTTTCCACTCACTCCACCCTGTTCTGTTGTTGTTGGCTTAGAGTTTAATCTGTTGCTAAACACTGGGAAGTCTGGGCTTCTCGGGTGTTAGTGAGGAGAGAGCCAAGGTGGGTCTGGGGCAGTGGCTGGACCAAGGCCTCCAAACTGTGCCCTGTCCTACATGCAGTGCTTGGTGGACATGGAGTTGGCATACCCAAAGGATGGGCCATACTGAGGGAAAATGAAAGTCCTGGTGTCCTCTGCTGTATTTTGGGGTGGCTTCGTGCATTGGGTCAGGGTTGCAGTATTTGGGGGCTTCGGGACAAAAAATTTAGAGTAGAGCAGTGTCCTTGGCTTTGGACAGACAGGAGGATGGACAGAATGACCAAGGAAACATAAGCAACATTTGTGGGGTGTGGTATAGCTGGGTGTGAGGATGAGTGTGTGAGAGGGGTGGAGGGCTCCGTCTCTACCTTTGTTTAATCTGCTTACTGAGTTATTGGTTTTGTTTTTTGTTTTTTTTTAAGAAAGCCTTTCCCTGGCTGCTTATCGCCCCAAGGTCAGCTGTGCTGGCTGCTGCAGGTTCAGTTCTGGGATACCCAGGGCAGTCTTCACCAGGCAGGAGGAGCCATCGGAGTGGGGCAGGGAGAGATGGCAAAGAGATCAGCAAAGCTCATGAGGGTGTTTGGAAATGCATTTGGCAAAGAAGTGATGGTGGAGTGAGATGAGATGGTCTGTGCTGGGCTTCCTTGGGTGGGGTGGGTGGGAGAGGGGAATGAGGGTGCCTGGCCTCAGAGGCCAGGTGGACAATGAGTCGAGTGGGGTTGGGGGGCACCAAGTAGAATTCTGGAGCAGGGAGGAGGAAGGCCGCGGAGAGGCTGTCCAGTGAGGCAGGACCAGGATGGGGGCACACAGGGGACGGGAGAATGGAGGGAGACTAAGTCTGATTCAGGAAAACAAAAACAGAATCTGGGACGAAGCAGTGGAGGAACTGAGACGGGGTGCAGGCCTTCCACAACCTTTCCTTCCCCATCCCACCACATCCTCTGTTTTCCCAGCTCCACATCTTCATACTCTATATCCACCCAGCACTAGATTTTCTTTTTGATGTCTTCTTTTTCTTCTCCTCTCCAACAGCTGTTCCAGTTCCTGCAGGCCACCGCCCAGGAAGAAGGGATCTTTGGTGAGTCCCAACCAGTCAGCCCAGGCTCCTGCAGGCAGTGGTGTTTGCTGGTGGCTGCTGCCCCCTGCCGGACAGTGACAACCCAACTCTAGGAAGGCGGGCTGCAGAGTAGTCTTCTGTCCAGTCGGAGATCTATCCCTCCCTGGGCTTCTTTAAACAAGAGGAGAGAAGCCTGTGCCCAGTGTCTCCCTGTCCTCCCTACCTAGAGCCTTCACTTCTCTCTTCTTTCCAGAGTGTGCAGACCCAAAGCTTGCCATCAGTGCTATCTGGACCTTCAGAGACCTAGGGGTGAGAGGAGCCAGTGTCACCATCTTCTGTCCCCCTGCTCCCACCCCAATAGAGTGGCTCAGGGAAACCCAGCTATGTTCCCATCACCCCACAGGGCTGGCCTGATGGTGCCTCATTAAGACCCTGGGATTTACTTGGTGTCTTCCAGCAATAGACGTGGTGATGGGTTGGAGAAGGTGGGATGGTTTCCTGCCTCTTGGTCTCCCAAATCACTGGCTCATCCTTCTAGGTGGGGTATTGGGGCTGCTTTGAGGCAGCATTTGCACTCAAACACTGAGGCCTAAGGGGTCAGAGGTCTCAAGGCAGGTTTCTGGGGGACAGGCCTGGCCCCTGGGCCATGTGGACACAGTCCCTGTGGTGAGTGCACTCACGGCCCATCTTCCATGGCCCAGGTTCTGCAGCAGACGCCGAGCCCTGCAGGCCCCAGGCTCCACCTGTCCCCTACTTTTGCCAGCCTGGACAATCAGGAAAAACTAGAACAGTTCATCCGGCAGTTCACTTGTAGCTAGAACTGTGAGAAGGAGCCTGTGCTGAGACTTCTGAGCCCCAGAACACAGCTGTGTCCTAGAGCCAGAAGATGGAGAGGAGGCTGCAAACCCTTAGCTATAAATATAATCATTGAGGCTTGATTGTCCCTTGCCATCTCTTGCTTTTTCCCTTCTTTGATGTGATAAACAAGGGGACGACACGAATTGTCTTTTCCCCAGCCCAGCAGCATCTTTTTGGCATATGTGTGTGTATTTGCTCTCTTCTTCCCCAGTCCCACAAAATGCCCCAACTTGTCCCATGAAACAAAGCCCAAAAGAAGACAAACAGCAGAAGCAAAGCTGCTGCTTTGACCTGACGAATTTATTGAAGAGAGCTCTGTCCTTCTCCCTTCTACCGAGAAGAGGCGGCTTGCAGGGCTGGCACCTGTCCACACCTGTCACTGGGCCTTTCCCTGGGCTAGGCTGAGTGGGAGCAGATGCCCTCATCCTATGTGCAGGGCCTGTGCAGGAGCCATCACACCACCTTGTTGATGATGACACCTAGTTCTTCAATCTCACACTGGACTTCATCCCCCTTCTGCAACAGAGCAGGCCATGACAGTGTCAGCCCTTCCGTCAGACACACATACACAAGCCTGTACTTCTCAAGTCTGAGGCAAGCCTGCCAGGCCTTTGGGGCCCTTGCTCTTTGCTTTTCGCTAACCTACCTTGAGAAAGACAGGAGGTTTCCTGAATACACCGACACCTGGGGGGGTCCCAGTTAGGATGACATCCCCTGGGTAAAAGGTAACAAACCTGGATCAAAGCAGAAGGACCCGGTGAGACCAGGGGCTGGCTGAGGTGGCCACAGCCAAAGATGGAGGGCTCAGGTCAGCCTCCACATGTGTGGCAGGTGAAGCGGGGCTGGCAGGACAGCCCCTGTCACTCACTGGGAGACCCAGGCTATCAGGTCCTCTGTCTTGAATACCATCTGGTTGGTGTTGCCGCTCTGGACCACTTCCCCATTCACTCGGCAGCAGATCTTTAAGTTGTGTGGATCTGAAATGCAAAGATGGTACCTTGGAGTTATCCCTTTTCCCCCTCAAACCCCCCAATATTTTACAAACACAACTGTAGGGGTGCTTCGTGACTTGGCAGGTGAAAGGGCTTCAAAGTGCCCACATTGACTCAGTGCTCTATGTTAGAACTTTCTGTATAGACATTGGCCTTCTCAGGCCTCCCCGCATCCCCACCAAGAGCACCAAGCAGTAGTAACAGGGATGGGTTGAGAGGATGTTTCAGACTCTGAAGGGGAAGAGAAAAATGGCTAGGGTTTTTGCCTTGAAAAAAATAAGGGCATCTGTCTACAGCATAGGATGACACCTGTAGATTGACTCAGCAGGGCCAAGCGTGGTGGCTCATGTCTGTAATCATAGCACTTTGGGAGGCCAAGGCAGGCGAGAACTGATTAAGCTCAGGAGTTCAAAATCAGCCTGGGTAACTTAGTGAGTGCTTGTCTCTACAAAAAATAATAAAAACATTAGTCAGGCGTGGTGGTGCGTGCCTGTAGTCCCAGCTACTCAGGAGGCTGAGGCGGGAGAACTGCTTGAACTCAGGAGGTTGAGGCTTCAGTGAGCTGGGATTGGGCCACTGCACTCCAGCCTGGGTGACACAGTAAGACCATGGCAAAAAAAAGACTCAGCATCTATAAAGCAGTGAGGCAATGGTTCTAGCCGGGACAGAGAAGCCTCGTGTACTGGATGCTGGCAGGGGATGGATTACTGTAAGAACATCCTGGCTAACCAGCACTTTTTACTGTTGGTGGTGGTCCTAGTGTTCTACCCCCCTTAAGTAGAGCAGCTGAAACACAATTTAACTTTGCTGAGGACTCTGCATGGGGTGCTGAGGCACTGGGGTCTTTGGTATCCTGGCATGGCTGGCCCATGTGGACACCCCCCACCTCCACCACAGTTGTGGGTGGCTGTGTAAGAGGCTGCGCTCTGCCCTCTGGGGCACTGCCCCCATCCTGGCGCTGTATCCTGACTGTGTGTGGTCAGTGCTGTTCTATTTCCACAGTGGCTGGGTGAGTCACACTGGCTTTCATCTCCTGTAGTGTGGAAAATGCCTTGGCCTTGGGATAACTATGCTCCATGATGCTCAACTTAGATTGTTTCAGAGGTGGCAGCCGCAGGAAGCCCGATCCACCCATCAGCTCAGTGTTCTTTGTAATTTACTTCACGCATGCAGTTTCACATCCTCTGCAGTTGTGTTCCCTCTAGGGGGCTTGGGAAGGAAGCCCATGGGAGAACTCGTGGCTGAGGATAAGAGACTTGCCCTGTATGGAGTCAGCAGTGAAAGGGCGGCCAGGGAGGGCAGGTGCCACATGTACCTGAACCCATGCTCCTCCCTGAAGCGCTGTTCATCTGTGCAATGGTAGGTATAAGGGGGCAGGGACCAGGGACCTACCTGCTACACTGTCCTTGGTCACCAAGGCAGGGCCCAGAGGGCAGAAGGTGTCGAAGGTTTTTCCCAGCAGCCATTGTTTCCCATTACGTCTCATTTGCCAGTCACGAGCACTCACGTCATGAGCCACAGTGAAGCCGGCCACGTGGGCCATAGCATCTGTGGCCTATGGGGGCAGGGGATTTGGCCATACAGGAGGTTAGATCATGGGTGACACCAACACCTATGGCAAGGGATCTCTAAGCTGTTATCCCATGTTAGTAGCCAGAGCCAGCCAAAGGTGGGTGAAGGGAAAGGCAGTGTCAGGGAGCAAGGAGGCTGACTGCTTCCTAGTGTCAGGGACAGCTGGCACCGTGTGTTGGTGAGTGAGGTCAGAACTAGGAGAGGCAGGAGCTGGGGCCTCTGCTGCACTCTGGACTGGGAGCCCACCCTTTCCACCTCACCTTGATGTGCTTGCCTTTCTTTCCAATGACCACGGCCAGCTCCACTTCCCAATCTACCTCCTGTAGGGTGGGAGAGGAACAGTGAGCTGCAGTGGCTTCAGGGCCCACTGTCCATGCTGAGAGGCTGCACACCATGCTGAAGGGCCTCAACCTTTGTCAGTATGGCTTCGCTGCCATCCCATGTTTGCCATCACCACGAACCAGAGCCCAGTGAATGACAAGGGAGGTGTGACTTGTAGACCCATACATTTTGGGCAGTGGCAGACAGCATCATGGGATGCAGGCACAGGTCCCCACACCACTGACTGCAGAAGAGCAACACGTGTCCAGGGCACTGAGTTTAAAAGTCACTCTGGATACTTTTAACAAAGGATAAATACGAAGTAATATCCCCTAGCAATATGTAACCCTACTGTGTGTCAGGCACTGTTCTAAGTGTTTTAATCTATTAACTCCCACAAAGGACTTGAGTAAGCAATTCACAAAAAGGTAACGGACATGGCCACAAAACATGAAGAAATGCTCAGCCTCTCCCATAATCCATAAAATACACTATAAAATAGATATAATTTGGCCTTTAAAATTGGTGGCTCTTTCTAATAATAACCAGAGTTGGTGTAAGTACACCCGACATCCAGATGTTGGTCTCTAATACCACTCCCCACTAAGGAGCACTGGGTTCCTTGGGGAAACGGCCAATTCCAGTTCCAAGACAGACAGTACATGATAAGCCTAGAACATCTTGGCCAGAAAGCTAGGATATACTAAAAGTGACGGGAATGGAGCCAACTTGAAGGCCCCTCACTGGCCAAACTGAGGTCACCTAAAGAATGTAAATGATGAATTACAAACAATTGAGTAAAAACAGAATTCACAGTGATATTGAAGACAGGAATAAAAAGGAGGGAGGCAGCTTTTCTTCATAGAAGAATGCCAGCCAATAAAAACAGAAGGCATGATTGAGAAGTCATTGATCTTGTCTGGGAGTGGTGGGTCACGTCTGTAATCCCAGCACTGTGGGAGGCCAAGTCAGGTGGATCACCTCAGGTGAGGAGTTCAAGACCAGCCTAGCCAACATGATGAAACCCCGTCTCTACTAAACATACAAAAATTAGCCAGGTGTGGTGGTACACGCCTATAATCCCAGCTACTCAGGAGGCTGAGGCAGGAGAATCACTTGAACCCAGGAGGCAGAGGTGTGCTGAAATTATGCCACTGCACTCCATCTGCACAATAGAGTGAGACTCTGTCTCAAAAAAAAAAAAGGTCATTGTTCTCTAACCCCCAGTGCAATAATAGATTCAGTCAGGATGACCACAGGATCCCTGGATGAGATGCTATGGGGCAATAAGATAGTTATGTGATCTCAAACTACCACCCATGGATTGCTTATTACAAAAATAGAAATGCATCTTCACAATGGAGGGACCTAGTGAATGTCAGCTAAACCAAGTGGTCAAATTCTGGGACCACTGACATGAGCCTCCCAGTGGGATACGATGGAAAATGTATAACATCTGCTTTGTAGATCTCTTGATAAAAATGCTTACCCTGACACTAATCATGAAGAAACAACCAGACAAACCCAGAATGTGAAACATGCTATGAGACAACTGGATTCTTCAAGGAAAGGGCAGGGGGTATTGTTTGAGAGCAGGAGTTGGCAAACTATGGCCAGCTCAACATCTGCTATAATCAACTTTGATTGGAAACCCATCATTCATTTCTGTATCGTGGTTTTCACACTATAACAGCAGAGTTGAATTGTTGCAAAACAGAACATATGACACGCAAAGCCTAATATTTACTAATTGGCCCTTGATATGGTTTAGCTCTGTGTCCCCACCCAAATCTCAACTTGTAGCTCCCATAATTCTAACGTGCTATGGGACGGACCCGGTGGGAGATGACTGAATCATGGGGGCAGGTCTTTCCCGTGCTGTTCTCATGATAGTGAATGGGTCTCATGAGATCTGATAGTTTTAAAAATGGGAGTTTCTCTGCACAAGCTCTTTTCTGCCTGCTGCTATCCACCTAAGATGTGACTTGCTCCTCCTTGCCTTCTGCCATGATTGTGAGGCTTCCCTAGCCACGTGGAACTGTAAGTCCAATTAAACCTCTTTTTTTTGTAAATTGCTCAGTCTCGGATATGTCTTTATCAGCAGCATGAAAACAGACTAATACAGCCCTTTAAGAAAAAGTCTATGGAACCCTGTCCTAGATTGAAACCACTAAAGAGATATAACTGAATACAGTGTGTGGCCTTGGTTGATCATGGAGCAACAAACGAAGTAACCAAATTAGAAGTTATCTTTGGGGAAGTCAGCAGTACTTCCGATTGGGAATTGGGGCAATTGGATTTCATATTAAATATTATTCAAGTTAATTTTTTTGGTTGTGATAATGGTGGGATGGTCATGCAAGCCATTGTCCTTATTCTTAGAAGATGCCTATTTACGTTTTTATGACTAAATTGTCTTAATATTTCCAATGTGTTTTAAAAGGTCCCCTCCACCCCATACCCTGCAAAAAAAAAAAAAAAAAAAAAAAAAATGTGTGTTTGCCATGTGGAGGGCAGGGAGAAGACAAGGGAGAAAAAGGATATATGGCCAAATGTTTACAATGAAACCAGGTGGAAAAGTTATCTGAGTGTTCACTGTATTATTTTCCCAGCTTTTCTATAATTTTCAAGACATTTCTAAAATAAAAATCTGAGAGAAAAAGTAACCAGTGTTAGAAAGGGTATATACACTACTGGTGGATGTGTAAGTTGCTTTTACAATTTTTTAAAAGGCCAATTGGCAGAATTTTTCAAAAATTTTGAAATACTGCCTATACGCTGACATATTTAAATTCCAAAGGGTTTATTCAAAGGAAATAATAATGTATTAATGGACATGCAAAGCCTTTTCCACATAAGGATGTTTACTGCAACATTTATTTATAGAAGCCAAAAACTAGAAACAGTATCCAGCAGTAAGGTACTCAGGAATAAACTAATCTACATAACAAACTCCGTGGTGTCAGGGCGAATACTTAATGGCATGAAAAAATGCTCCTGATGGAGTCTTAAGTAAAAGGTAAGTATATGTACAGTATAAACATATACAGGAGCGGAGAAACACTGGGAAGGTAGACAGAAAAACATTAATATTCCGAGCCATGGGCAGTGGGATTATGGGTGACATAATTTTTTAATGTTTATCTCTATTTTATTATCTACAGTGAAGGTGCATTGCTTTTGTAACCAGGAAAACACGTACATTAACTTTTTTTTTCCAAGGCCAGTGTTACTACTGTGTGTACAATCCTGTAGAGTTTCTGCTGAATGCGCTATTGAGCGAGAGGTGGCTCCAGTAGGCTCAATACTGAGCTCAGAATGCCCTTGTGATGGGCCCAGTGACTAGGGAGGGCAGTGGGGAGACACTGACCTGGCTCTGTGGTGGGAGGACCACCTCATCATAGGGCCCCACGATGGAGCTGGCAAACTTGCTGAAGATGATGGGCTCCTTGGGCACGGGCACGTTCTGTTCTTTGCAGTGGTCCACATAATTCATGCCCACACACACCACCTTATCTGGTCGTGTGACTGGAGCCAGGAAGGTTACCTCCGACCGTGGTAGGACTGGCAACTGGGCAGCCAGGGCTCTGTAGAGACCAGAGCAGGTGAGAGGGTCTGGCTGGGAACAGGTGGGCAATCCCGGGCAGGCTGGGCAGATCCTGCAGCAGCTACAGGTTTTGCTTTTTGAAATCTATTTCCTAGCTCTATCAACCATCAGAGTCAGTGTGAAAATCACTGACTATTGTCCTTTGCTATCAGAGCAGGGCTTTTATTTATCCAGTGTTGATTTCCTCTCCCCCTTAGGTAACTCATGTCCATGTAAAAGATACAAACTGGAATACATGGAAAGGTTTCCCTTTCCCCTTCCGGTTACCCCGTTCCCCTGGCTCTTCGCAGCTACTCTATGGATATTCTTCTCCCACCCTTTTGTATGCAAATGATAGCATACTATTTACATCTTTTAAAAAAACAACTGATTTTGGAGATCTCTGCTTAACAATATGTAACAATACATAGAGAGTGTCCTCTTTATTTCTTGTGGCTGCATATTACTGCTCTATAGAGATATACCCAAGTCCCTAATGAGGGGCATGGAGATTTCCAGTCTTTGCAGAATATGGCAATATGGGAACATACTGTTAATACTGTGAGCTGTGAAACATTTGTATTTTTTTCCATTTTAATAGATGAAAATGACATCTTAAAGTATTTTTAATTTATTGTTCATCAGCTCCTTAGACCAGATTCTATAGGGGTCCAGGCTTCAGGGACACTCTCACCTAATCTAGTCCAAACCCAGGAACCAAGTGTCTTATAGAAAACCTCCTTGCAGTCCTCTCTCCTTGTAGGAGCTGGGAGTCTATATCACTCCCCCAGCTGCATAAGATGCCTTTTAGGACCCCCGGGCCCAGACCCGTCAGTCAGTCCAGGACTTCATTCCCAGAGGAGGCAGTGTGATGAAGTATAGAGTCCTGGTTCCAGCACCACATGTATGGCCTTCAAATTGTTAATCACCTCCCCTAGCTCTCAGTTTTCTCCTCTGAAAACTGAAGATGTTATTATGTAAGATTTCTAAGGATCTTTTAAGAGAACGGGAGAAAAGGAAAGGTGGGGTTACTCTGCTCCCTTGCAAAAGAGCTACCTGCTGGTGCTGTTTCCCAGAGCGGGGAGGGTGCAGGGGGACCAGGGCAGCTGCTTCAGGGCGATGCTGCCCACTTACTTACCTTCTTGCCACTGAGAGGGTGGCCTCTCCCTGCTCTAGGAACTGCGTCATCGTCTTCGGGAGTGTGGGGTCAAAGGCATTGAGGTTGATAACCCCTCCACCATTCCCTGTCTCCAGGCCCAAGTGAGGCCCCACCAGGTGGGGTGCCCGGAACTGCACTAGTCTCATGTCTCTGGAGGGTTGAAAGGGCCACTTCTGAGCCTGCAGCAGAACTGTGAGTAACCTTCTTCTACCAGACACCAGCATCAGAGCCTGCAGAGAAAAATGCAGGATCCAGGAGACAGAGGATCCCAGAGCCATCATCAGGTTCCCTGAAATTCCTAGGGCTATAGCCCGAGGCCCTTTGCCCCATCAACCGTTCCCTGCATACCACACGGGAAGTGGTCCAGGCTTGTATTTTACCTGCTATACTTCATAAGGTGAAACTTTTCTAGAGGAGCAACTACTACATGCTACGCAGTAAGTCCCAGGGATTCCAGCGTTCCTTCAACCAGTGCTTTCTGAAAGTTCCCACTGTGCTTGGCTCTGCTGTAGGTATTGGGGAAACAATGTAGGTGAAACTCAGCCCTGCCATTCTCCCTGCACAGGTCACAGATGTTAACAACTGACGTAAGATTCAGCTATCAGGACTAATGCTGTGAAGATGGTCAGGGGCTCTACCCTTCTCTAGTTTCTGGAGGAAGTGATGTGAGCTGAGCTGGGCTAAATGAGCAGGACCAGGAATTAGCTGGGTGGCAGCCCAGCATGGGCAAGTGACGCTGGTGAAACTGGCTTCACAGTGGCCATAAACAATTTTTTAAATGCTATTTTGGTCCTGTTAACCTCCTACTTAAAATGGTTTCCACTGCTCACATGATCAAGCTAGAACCTCTACCAGGCTGTCCCAGTCTTCTAGGAGCAGCGCCCCCACCTGCCTCTCCAGATAATAATTATTTCGTTTCTCCTGATAGAGAACAAGTTGCCTGAGGGAAGAGGCTGCAGACAAACAACAGGGTCTGGGCCTGACAGCCATCACTTGTCATCTCCCTGGGTCCAGGGCACATGTCTGTCTCTTTCACTGCCCAGCACTGTGCCTGGTGCACAGAAGGCTCTCAGTGACTTTCTGCTGAATGAACAAATAAGTGACAGAAGCAGGGGCTTGACATTTCACTACTTGGGAAAGCTTAGTGCTTGTTAACTTCAGGAGACATGGCTGTGCCTTCCCACAAGGGCCAGTTGTAGTGGCTCATGCGTGATATCCCTAACAATTTGGGAGGCCGAGGTGGGTGGATCACTTGAGGTCAGGAGTTCAAGACCAGCCTGGCCAACGTGGTGAAACCCCGTTTCCACTAAAAATACAAAAAACTCGCCGAGTGTGGTGGCAGCCACCTGTAATCCCAGCTACTAGGGAGGCTGAGACACGAGAATCGCTTGAACCCAGGGGAAGGAGGTTGCAGTGAGCTGAGATCGCGCCACTGCACTCCAGCCTGGGTGACAGACGAAGACTCCATCTCAATTAAAAAAAAAAAAATCCTCAGGGCTCAGATCCTGTTTTGAGTCCAAGGCTCCACTTAAAGACAAACACTATTCTCTTGTTTTGTTCTTAATCCACGTCTGGCCTCTATTCCTTACCACATGGTGCCTTCCCTGAATGGTTCCTTGCTCTTACAACAAAGGCGGTATTGTACAGCCTTCTATGCCCAAAAATGTGGAGGCAGCTGATCCCCAGACTCTTGGTCCTCACCTGGAGATTCAATCTGCCTTGTTCAGTTGAAGATTCATTAGACTTAGGTCACCACTGTTGTGGCCCACCAGTTTGACTAGAAAACCGAGGGCTTTGACTTCTCTGCCCTGCTGTCTTACACAAGCACCAACTGTGCCACTGTCAAAAGGCTGTTCGAGCCAATGTGCACACACTCAGACACTCCACATGCTAACATAACAGTAACTGCTGCCGCTGAATGCCAACTATTAAGTGCTCTACCTACAATGTCTGATTTAATTCTCGACAATTGTGGAAGGTAGGTACTGTTAGCCTCATTTTACAGATGAAACAATTAAGGCTTAAAGAGGTTAAGAGATTTGCCCAAGGTTACACAGTCCTAGAGCTAGGAGAGGAAGGAGCTGGGATGTGAATCCAAGTCCAGGTGACATGAAGTCCTTGGTTCAGAAGCTTGTAATGCAAGCAAAAAAATCCAGCTTCAGCCCCCATCCCCCTACCAAGGCCATTTTAACCCAGAATGTTGTGGTGAGAAGTGGGGACCTTCCATAGGAAATCCTCCAAAGTCTCTAAAGATTGTAGTGAGAAGTAGGGACCTCCCACAGGAGATCCTCCAGAGGCCGTAACTGCTAACAGACATGCGTGGGGAAACTACAGGCGCCCTCTGGCTGTTGCCTCAGGGACGAGGCTGGTTACCAGCTCTCCAAGAGAACCCCAGGCCCCACTGACTGTTCCCTTCCCACATGACACACACATGCAGGTTCATTCCAACCTTACAGCAATCTCCTCAGGTAGAGCGCCCTCACTTTAAAGAAGAGGACACTGAGACTCAAAGGGATGATGTCAGGTGCCCAAGGTACTAGTCAGAAAGTGGCCCTGGGGCTTCTGCAACAACCACTATATCACACAGCCCGAGCTCAATCCAACTCTGCAAGAGTCCATAAGCAAAGGGGCGGCGACATGAGGTGGAAACAGTAGCCTCCATCAAACAAAGCCTGAGACATGGGTGTGCACGTCGGATTCCATCCCACCGTCCACTCGCCTGGAACCCGTGCCGGTCCCCCAGTTTCCCCATATGCCCAGCTCCAGCCCCGACAGTTAGTGAGTGCTCACACAGGTCCGCCCCGTCTGTGTGGTCAGAAGCGGCTGGGGATCCGGTACTAGTTCTGCGCTCCGCGGGAGACCGGCGCCACGGACACCCTTCTGGCCTAGACCCAGCCAGGCTCGTCCTACCTGGCCGCGGCGGCCGATCTTCCTGCGCTGTAGGGTTAGAGCTCGCGGGGCCGAAGGTCAAGGGCGGCGGGCGCCTGAGCACTGCCACCAGTGACCGCAGCCAGCCGGGGAAATGCAGCAGCTGCTAACCCAGGGCCACTCGGCCGGATCACCCGAGAGAAAAGCGGGCGCGATCCTGTGACGTCACAGGCAATGGCCACTAGCAGGGCGCCAATCCCGGAGGGGCGGGCCCATCGTGGGGCGGGCGGCTCCGGCGGGTCTTCAGGCTACGGGTTCAGCCAGGCGCCAGCCGCGTTCTCTGGAGACGCTCTCTCTCGGAGGGACCCTGCACTTGCCTGAACTCGAGAGTGGGCGCTGCCCGAAGGTTTGTCCCTGGGCGCTTCGCTGGCCTCATCCGGTCTCGGCCTTGTTCTGGGCCTGGCGCCTTTCCCATTGTTGGGGAAAGTGGTCTAGGAGACCAAGGCAGCGTGCTGGGTGGCAGAGAATGATTTGTGGCTTCTGATTCTGACATATGTCGTTGAGGAGGGGAGGGATGACTGCCCCCGTTTTACTTATGGAGAACCTGGGGCCAGAGCTGTTTTCCCAGGGTGACACAGGCGGTGAGTAGTGGAGCTGGCATTCCTGACCCCAAAGCGCAGCGTTTCCCAGCCACTCTCCGCAGCCAGGCCTTCACCTGCACTGCTGGGCGCAGGTGGGGAAGTGGGGAAACGGGACTCCATCCCCTGCAGAGGGCAGGCGTGTAGGGAGTGGCAGCTGAACTCCACAGACAGCTACTGCTCAGCTCTTCAGCTGCCGACTTTGAACAGTGTGAGGGGCTCTGTACAAGTGGCCCCCACATTACTCAAGGACCAGATCATCAAGAGCTTTACTTGTCCCACGAAGGAGTCTGGACCTTGTTTACGTGCACAGGAGACCGCTGGAAGGTTCTCAGTGGCGTGCCATGTCCCGACTTCTATTTGAGAAGTTTTTCTCTGGCCACCCGTCTGAGGAAAGGTGTCTGGGTGGGTGGTGCGGTTGAGAACAATGGTGGTGCGGTGCGTGGTGGAGAAGGTGAGTGTCCAGAGATGTTCAGGAGGAAGAACTGACAGCTCTGAATGACAGGAGGTGGAAGTGAGAAGGAAGGAGGTACAAGGCCAACTCCTGGGTCTCTAGCTCGGTAGGTGCAGGGCCGTTCATGGAGACAGGGCTCCTGGAGGAGCAGCGGGTCTGGGGAGAGGATGGTGAGCTCCGATTTGCATGGGACATCCAAAGGGCATTGAACGGTGGGCAGTTGGAGACATGGGTCTGGAGCTTGGGACTTCAGCCTAGCTTGCAGAAGGTCACCACAGATATTGAAATGGAACCTATGGGGGTGGCTGTGATCAGGGGGATTCGCTGAGGAGAACCTGGCACAAGGGTTTCACTAAGCCATAGCTCCCAAAGACTTTCTGAAAAGCTAAGTTACAGCCTGGAAGAAAATATCTGTAAAGGCTATATTTGATAAAAAGACTTGTATCCAGAATATAGAAAGAATGCTTAAAAGTCAGTAGATAAAATCAAACAATTCAATTTTTTAGATGGACAAAATATTTGAACTGACATTTCATCAAATAAGATATACAGACAGAAAATTGGGACATGAAGGCTGGGCGCAGTGGCTCACGCCTGCAATCCCAGCATTTTGGGAGGCCGAGGCAGGCGGATCACAAGGTCAGGAGATCGAGACCATCCTGGCTAACACAGTTAAACCCCATCTCTACTAAAAATACAAAAAATTAGCCGAGCGTGGTGGTGGGCGCCTGTAGTCCTAGCTACTGGGGAGGCTGAGGCAGAAGAGTGGCGGGAACCCGGGAGGTGGAGCTTGCAGTGAGCCGAGATCGTGCCACTGCACTCCAGCCTGGGCGACAAAGCAAGACTCTGTCTCAAAAAAAAAAAGAAAGAAAAAATTAGGACATGAAAAGATGCTCAACATCATTAATCATTAAGGATATGCAAATTGCAAGCGCAATGTGACACCATCTCACACCTACTAGAATGGACAAAGAAGACTGATTATACCAAGTACTGGCAAGAATGTGGAGGACCTGGGATTCTTGTACACTGCTGATGGGATTATAAAATAGTACCACCACGATCGAAAACCATTTGTCAGTGTATGAAGAGAATTAAACATACACCTACCATATGATGTAGCCATTTCAATCCTGACTATTGACAGTATTGAATTTTACCTTAGCCCTTTGCTTCTAGAAATAGTGAAGGTTAAGGAATCCCACCACTCTTTTGTTCCAGAAAACCCCCTACTGGAAAGAACCAGTGACTTTCTATATAACCTGGATAAGACTCCCAGATGCTCCCTTGTTTATCTGTGACCAGGCCAGACACAGACCCTCTAAATTCCCATTCTTGGCCTCATAAATGATTAGCTGGGCTGCTTGTCCCACAGATCAATAAGAACAAAAGCCTGTAACCAAACCTTGGTTCAGATTCTCTCCTTTTCCAAGCCCTTGAGCTTTGGCCCACCCACAGCTTGTGCCAACCCGCAGCCCTCCTGAGGTTCCCTCCTGAGAACAGGCTGTCCGCAGGGTAAGACCTCCTCGATCGTGACACTCTTGCTCAGCCCACTTTCCCATAACAGTTCTTTCTAGCCACGTTTACGCCTCCCTATACAAGATCAGCCCTTTGCCTAACCTCTGAGACACTTGCAGATCATATGGGAAGCCTGCGAGTGGCCGCACTGCAACGTTTCCCTATTGCAATGGTCACCCCCACAACAATCCTTTGGAATAAATTCGCTCCTTATATAATCCAGATTTGTTTTTTTGTTTTATAGTAATTACCTGAGAAATTTAAAAAAAATGCTTATGCAATGGCTTATACAGAAATGTTCACAGCAGCCTTTTTACAAAATCCCCAAACTGGAAACAACTCAATTTTTCATTAACAGGTGAATGTGTAAACACTCTGTTATAGCCACACTAGGGAATACTACCCAGCAATGAAAAGGGACAAATTGTTGATGCAACATGGATATATATCAAGATAATTATTCAGAGTGAAAAAGAGATTAAAAATGAGTACATATGGAATTATTTCATTTGTATAGAGTATCCTTGGGGGGTACTTTCCAAGACCCCTAGAGGACGCCTGAAACTGCAGATAGTACCAAACCCTACATCTGCTACGTCTTTTCCTATATATACATGCCAGTGATCAAATTTAATCCAGATGAAGTTAACCTGGTGCTACACGGTTGCTGTTCAATCAGAATATGTTTCTGTTCACGTCTTCCACCCACAAATCTAATGCCTTTTCCATCCTAACTAAGTGCTTCTCACACACTGTAGCCATAACTTTTGCAGTTTGAGGTGCGACAGCAAAACTGGCACAAATTTCTTTTTCCTTCTTCACAATTTCATGGATAGAAGATTCGTTCTTTCTGTAGCTCTTAGCAACCTCATTATGTGATTTTTGTTTTATTTCCTTAAGTCAGGAGCGTTCCCATAAAGGAAGGCTTCTCTTTGGCATATCGGAAATGCCGACACCACTCCCCTTTTGCTCTGGGGCCATTATGAAGTCAGATGATGGTGCCTTGCACAGAAGCACTGCGGTACCACGACAGTGGATCTAATCACGGAGCCAGCTCATTGGTGACTAAGGGGCAAGGAGGGCAGACGTCATGGAAAAGCTGAACAGAGGAATGATTCTTGTCCCAGGTAGGATGGAGCAGGACAGTGCAGGATTTCATCACAGTACACAGAGCAGCACACAATTTAAAACTTATGAATTGCTTATTGCTGCAATTTTCCAGTTAATATTTTTGGGCCATGGATGACCTTGAGTAACTGAAATTTCAGAAAGCAAAACCATGGATAAGAAGGGACTACAGGCCAGGCGTGGTGGCTCACACCTGAATTCCCAGCACTTTGGGAGGCCAAGGCGGGTGGATCACGAGGTCAAGAGATCGAGACCATCCTGGCTAACACGGTGAAACCCTGTCTCTACTAAATATACAAAAAGTTAGCCAAGCGTGGTGGCGGGCACCTGTGGTCCCCGCTACTTGGGAGGCTGAGGCAGGAGAATGGCGTGAACCCAGGAGGTGGAGCTTGCAGTGAGCCGAGATTGCGCCACTGCACTCCACCCTGGGCAACAGAGCGAGACTCCATCTCAAAAAAAAAAAAAAAAAAAAGAAGGGGCTACAGTACACTAGAAATGCAAATGAATGTGTAGTGACAGGAAACAGGCCAGTGGTTGTTTGGGTGTAGACACCTCCTTGGAGAAACTGCTTGTACCTAGGACAAGAGATGGTGGAGAGCTGGACAAATCCAGGGTTGTAAAACAGAGATCATAAGACTGATGGAATGGAGTCTTTGTGGCTTATAAATTATGAAATTATAAATAAGACTAAGGCCATGCCAGGCAAAAGTCACATACCCCTACACTAAAATAATAAATGTTCTAACTTACCAATTGTCAGATGCTAACTGATGCCCCCAGACTCCAGACTCCATTCCACAAAGCATAACTACAGGTTTGATTGAACAAGAGACTGACTTCAGTAATTTTCTCCTGATAAGACACCACTGACCATGGGCTGGTTCTGGCCAGTTTATAGAGGCTGCGCACTGAGTACCTTTGTGTTCTTTTTTTTTTAAGGCAGACCTGGCTCTGTTGCCCAGGCTGGAGTACAGTGGCATGATGCTGACTCACTGCAACCTCTGCCTCCTGGGCTCAAGCCATCCTCCCACCTTGGCCTCCCAAGTAGCTGGGACCACAGGCACACACCACTGCACCTGGCTAATGTTCTTCTACCTTTTGACCTATAGAGCCTAATTTTAGGCATTTAATGTTATGTTTCCACCCCAAAGTGAACATGGGTTGTATGCAACACACAGGATTATTCAGTTGCATGTGTTAGGATCCCCTCATAAATATTCATAAGGGTCTCATAACTTACTGAATATGTATGTATAGTTCCTGTCTTTGGGCATACACCTCAGCCTCTCCGCTTTTTCCTCTGAAGTGCCTGCTTTTGGTTTCTGCTAAAGGCCACGTTTCCCCACCTGTGGGATGTCCATCCTGCAGGTGGCAACCCTTTCTAAGAGATAAAGCTCTCCTGGCTAAATTTCTACATTTTGTGACTTTTTCCATTGACAATGTGGCTGAATAATCAAAGGGGAAATAAAAGCTTTTGAACCCTGCTTTCTCTATGGCCACCCTTATGATGTGGGTTGGTTTTGCCATGAATTCTTTGTCACTGCCTCAATGCACGCCCAGCCCCACAGGCGGCTTGCTCCTCTCTCTGCCTCACCCTCGCTCTGGTTGGTAACTCGCATGTTTAACAGAGAAAACAGAAGCCCTCACTTGGGGTGAATGCCCTCCATTTCCTACTCCCATGCCCTCAGACCCTCCACACCGGCACCTGCCATGTGCTAGCCCCGCTGATGAGGAACGACCCCTTTCCAGGCCTCAAGTCCTGTGCAGGAGCCCCTGCACCTTGGTTGCCTTACACTGAGAATTACCCCGTATTCCTCTTGAGCAGGGCTCTGCCTCTTCTGCACGTCCTTCCCCCATGCTCAGATCTCTCTATCTTAAACAAAACCAAGCAAAACTCTTCTTTGGCCCCACTTCCCTCCAGCTGCCCCTCCCACATCGCTCACCAACCTTCCTTGGAAAGTCTCCTACAGGAGCTTAATTCCCATATGAATCTTCGCTTTGATTTCCTTGTCTCCCATTCATTCCTCATTCATCCTGATCTGACCTTTGCCCCCATCCTTCCACTGAAACAAGTCTTACTTAAGTCCCCAGTGATTTCCATGGTGCTAAGACCAAAAGACACTTTTGTTGTTGTTGTTGTTGTTGAGATGGAGTCTCGCTCTGTCACCCAGGCTGGAGTGCAGTGGCGCGATCTCAGCTCACTGCAACCTCCGCCTCTGGGTTCAAGCGATTCTCCTGCCTCAGCCTCCTAAGTAGCTGGGACTACAGGGGCACCCACCACCATGCCCGGCTCAAAAGACACTTTTTATCATTACCTCTAAGCACTCTTGGCCTCTCTGGGCCATTTCCCTGTGCTTTAAATACTGCCTTCCCATGGCTTCCCAGCAGAGGTGACTGGTTGCCCTCCAGTATTCTTTCTTTCCCTCTTCCTCAGCAGTAAAACACCATTTATTTGCTAGATATGTGGCTGCATAGAATAGAGAGATTCATTTCTCAGTCATGCTTTGAGGCTACATGAGACCATGAGAGTTAGTCTGGTTAGCAAGATCTAAATAGAAAAGTTTGGGAGTTAAAGGAATTATTTAAAAAGAATCCGCAGTCCCTTACTCTTCACCCTTCTTTCTTTCTGCTGGCTGAAATGTGAATGTGATGGCTGGAGCATGAAGGGCCATCTCTGGCCTTGAGGTGACAGGTTACCGGAGCTAGGAGCTGGATCCCTGAGGATTGTTGAGCTGCCAAACCAATGCCAAACAATGCTCTGTTGGCCTTTTATGCAAGAGAGAAAAAACAAATCTATGGTTTTAAAAGCTACTATTATTCTGGATCCCTGTTACTTGCAGCCAAACATAGTCTCTATTGATAGGTCTTCCATCATATCACATTGTCTTGAATTTTCCTCCTCTATCTCAGTCATTTTTCAGACTCACTCTCCTCCATCCAACCTATAAATGTTGCTGCCTCTCAAAGCACGGTACTTATGTCTCTTCTCACTCAGTAGGATCCCTCAGGCCACATTTTCACAACATCAACTACAGGCTTGATGGTTTAGTTGCCACGTACAGAAAGAAGACTCACATGTGTCCATCTCCATAAACTCAGCTGTTTATTGGACACTTTCATTTTGATGTCTCAAAGGCACCACAAGCTCAACATGAACTCATGATTTTTCCACATCAAATGTGGTCCTCTTCTGTATCTCAGAGGATGTCATGGCATCCTCTGACCATCCACCTGGGCAGACCCCAAGCCAGAATTCAGTCTTTGCCGTTTCCCCACGTCATTCCCATTTGCATCTTCACATCCTGGCAACTTTACCTCCCCACATCATCTGAACCAATAGACTTCCCACCATCCAGGCCAAGACGCTATTTGACCCTGCTGGCTGCACTCCCACTATGGCCTCTGTGGTGATTTAAAAACATGTCCTCAAATTATTTGACATGTCTTCCATGTCCATTGCCTTTATTGCGGGCGGAACCTAGCAATTCACTTCTGACAAGTAGAGTATGGGGGAAGGACCCTGCATTCCTTCCACAGCTAGCCTGTCAGCCTGCTTGGCTGCTGCAAAAAGTACCATAGCCTGGGGGGCTTAAACAGCAGCAATTTGTCACCTCAGTTCTGGAGGCCAGGAGTCTGAGATCATAGTGTCGGTGGGCTGGGTTCTTCTGAGGCCTTTCTCCTTGGCTTACAGGTGGCTGTCTCCTGGCTGCCTCTGCACATGGTTGTCCCTCTGTGCACACATGGCACTTGTGTCTCTTTATGTGTCCTAATTTCCTCTCCTTATAAGGATGCCAATCAGGTTGGATTAGTGCCCACCCTAGAGCCCTCATTTTAATTGCATTACCTCTTTAAAGGCGCTATCACCAAATCCAGTCACATTCTGAGGTACTGGGGTTAGGACTTCAACATGTGGATGAGGAGAGGGCACAATCCAGTTCATCACAACTAGGTTCTAATCAGTGACCCAGCTGCCTCCTGGCTCTCAGGACAGTGCATCAGTCTAGGTCTGATCAGGAGAGAGAAATCACACAGGGATTGGAACAGACTGAGTTTAATACAGGGAAGTAGCAACTATGACAGGGGATTGGAGCCATGAGGGATAGGCTGGTAACAAGTAAAGAGAACTCTAAGGACTAAGGAAGAACTAGATATAAGGAGCAGCCAAGTTGGGCGTGGTGTTTTATGCCTGTAATACCAGCCCTTTGCAGGCCAAGGCAGGAAGATCTCGTGGGCCCAGGAGTTTGAGACCAGCCTGGGCGACATAGTGAGACCCTGTCTCTACAATAAAAAATAAAAAAATTAGCCAGCCATGGTGGTGTGCATCTGTGGTTGCAGCTACTCAGAAGGCTGAGCTGGGAGGATTACTTGAGGCAGGGAGATTGAGGCTGCAGTGAGCCATGATCACGCCACTGTACTCCAGCCTGGGGTACAGAGGGAGACCCTGTCTCAAAAAAAAAAAAAAAAAAAGCAGCCAAACTCCTAAGATACAAGGAAGCACCCAAGGAAGAAGCTCCCACCCCACAGACCATGAGAGCCAGATCTCGCTGGAGACGGCAGACAGGATGCTGTAGTTTTACACTGGTGAAACTCGCTGGAATCTTGCATCTATTGTAGCAACCATATTTCCCTTGGAACCAAATTTTCCCCTTGGTCATCAGGACCCATCGCTGCAGCCACTGGATCGACCCATCGCTGCAGCCACTGGATCAACCCTCTTGTTTTGCCTGTTGATTCAGTGGCATAAGGAACCCAACATGACCAGGAAGCAGTCTTAACTTCTCTGTCTCCTGGGGGAAGCACTGTCCCTTTGAGTACTAATATCTCCAAGCCAGCAGAGCTCAAAGTGGCCAGGACAAGAAACAAAACTGCTGTAAGTGAGGTTATTAGATGTACTCGTGAGAGAAGCACTCCCGCTTCTTATAGTCCATAGACGATGCTGGGCAGGGAAGTTGAAACCCTCTAGAATATGTGTCCTATCGGGGAAAACCTCTGCCTCTTCCATGATGGAGGAGGTCCAGTGTAATCAACCTGACACCAGGTGGCTGGCCAGTTTCCATGGGGAATGGTGCCATAGCAGGGACTTGACATTGGTCTCTGTTGTTGGCTGACTGAGTCTGAGCAGTAGCGTCAGCCAGGTCCACCTTGAGAAGGGGAAATCCACATAGTTGAGACCATGCATAGACCCCATTCCTGCCACCATACTTTCCGCCATCTCTTACTCCAGACAGCCAAATATACTGCTTAAAGTTCTATCTAATGGGAGGACTTCCTTCACCACTGCCCTTCAGAGTCATCCCTGAGTGGGGCTGCCATGTGCAGTTTGTCACTTTTGGGTGGTATAGGCCGATTGTACAGATCCATTAGTAAGTCTTGCTTGAGTTTCTTCTTCCTCAGTAAACTGATCCTAAAGAACATGCAGAAAGCCATAGGCAGGGATGGAGGGAGAGGAAGCAATGCAACTGAACTTGCCATCAAAAGAACCTGAGCCACCTGCTCCTGCAGCTTAGCTATCCCCTCCCCACTGCCTGAGCTCCAGCTCTTATCTGCCACTACCACTTGATGGCACGTCCAGCTTATGACTAGGTGGGTCAGACAATACAGATTGTTTTAGGAAGCTCAGGCCATGTGGTCGCCTGACAGCCCATGGTTAGGTTTTCAGTCTTTACCAAAGCCCAACAGCAAAGCAAGAGGCTGTTTCTCAAAATAAGAGTGATTGTCTCCAGGAGACGGTTTAGACTGGCTCCACAATCCTAGCAGTCCAGCTGTGATGGTTCTATTAGTGCCTTCCAGAGGCTCCACAGCTCATGCCTATTGGCCATGAACACTCCAACTATCAATTGACTTCTGCCTCAGCTGCTATCTAATTGCAATCGGCTTGAGAGACCGTGCCAAGAATCACCTAGTGGGCCCAGTCAAGCCCCGGCCTTGTGACATGTGATAAAGCTCAGTGGCTATGTGGCAATAGCTAAACAGAATAGCCTCCTCTCTGGTTTCTCTGCATCCACTCGGGTCCTTTCCAATCTGGTGTCCATGTTTCAGTCAGAGTGGGGTTTTCAAACACCAATTTAATTTAATACTCCTCAGTGGCTCTGTGCTGCTCTCAGGCTGAGGCCAACACCTTCAGGGTGGCTCTGCCCTGTGGGCCTCTCCCATTTCCCCAGCATTTGTGCCTGGGATCTGGCCACAGCCCCTGGCAGTGCTGTCTCCCTTCCATCCCTCACCCCTTTCCCCAGCCCCTTCCTCCTCATCCTGCAAGCTGGGCTCAAAGGCTGCTCCCTGGTGGAGCACCCAGGTCATGGCGCCTGGCCCAAAGCTCTCATCAAACCATAGGCCTCATCTTCCTGATCATGACATCGGGTGTAAATTTATACTTTTCATAGGATTTAATTTATTAACGTCTTGTCTCTGAAAAAGTATAGGCTCCACCAGGGAAGGCTTTGCAGGTATTCTGCTATTTTATCCCCATTCCCTGGCACAGTGCTGGGTGCACAACTTATTTTTTGTTGGTTTTTGTTTCAATGAATGAAGCAATGGGCAGACGGGGGATCGGGTGGGATAGATGGGATAGATGGTTGTCCCTGCCAAACAGTGTCTTGTCGCTTTTTCCACATCTGCAGGGGCAGCAGGAATGGGGCCCTGGAGTGGGCAGGGAATGGGGTGGGGGCACGGTGGGGGTGAAAGGAGGAGACCAGTGATTCTTCTCCTCTGGGGCCCATTTGCTCTGCCCAGAACACACTTCTACCTACTTGGGAAGTTTTCTGCTGGGAAAGTTTGTCAACAAAGCAAGAAACTTGCGGATTTCTAAATCCTGGTTGGCTGTCAGGAAATAACGGATGCCTGGCTCCTTGGGGCCTTATTTTTAGTTTCTGGATGTTTTACTGTATTTAGTGATTTTTCAAAACTGGGAAAAAGTGCCACCTGGCGTCACATGCTGTGTTCCTGGGTTGGGACACAGCCAGGAGAGCTCGGGAGAGGAAAGTACATGGAGGAGGGGCTGGGCTGGGGTGGGTGCCCAGGCTGAGGCCCTCCAGTGCAGGCAGCCTGCCAGCAGATATATCTCTAAGAGCCTTCAACCCTGGTGTAACCCCACAGCTGGCCTCACGACCCCAAAGGCTCAGGGCCCTGTGCCTGGCCCCTCCCTGGGAGCCCTGCCAGGGCCTCCCTCCCTGTGACCTTCACTTCAGCAGCACTGGCTGAGTCTTGCCTCCCCACTGGCTCGCATAAGTGAATAGTCCAGCGATTGGAAGGAGGTGGCTTCAGGTGCAGTTGCAGGGCTGATGCTCTCCCAGGTTTTGTTTCCTCTCAGTGAGGACTTCCCTTGCTGGCTTCCTTCCATGGCTCCTCACAGTGACAAAATGGCAGCAACAGCTCCAGGACTCACACCTTTGCAGCTTCAGAGATGGGGGAGGAGGGAGCATCTTTCCCAGCCTTCCCAGCAAAGGTCTCCCTGGGCCTTAATGACGATAATCAGGTCATGTGCCCGCCCCTCCACCAATCACTATGACCCGAGGGGGGCAATGCACCCAGTGGCTTAGGCCTGGCCTTGCTCTTTTTTCCTTGGAGGTGAGGGCTGACTCCAAGGCTTCATGGATGGAGAATGGAGGAGGGGTCCCCCAGTGAGACTGGGGGCTACTGGCAGTAGAAGAGGGAGGAGGCTGGGGAGGCAGAAGAGTGGTGCTCGGTCAGGAGACCTTCCTCCTTGCCCTCATGGTGCCCAAGGCCACAAGCAAGAGAGAAGTTCCTGGGGGCCTTTTATCTCAGGCAGAGGGATGGGGTAGACATAGATCCTTTATCCGTGGAGGGTTTGATTATGTTCAAAGCTGGTCAAGAGCTGAACAGAGGGAGCTCTGTGCACGGGTCAAAGAGCAGGAGCAAAGGCAGGTATGGCTGGGCCTGGTGAGCTCCAGAGAAGCTGGGTTTCCTGCTTGAGGAACAGAGAGAACAGAAAGGTGCGCAGGGCTGGCATGGAGCCCAGTGCTAAGACTGATGGCCCTCGGTGGCCAGGCAGCAGTCGGGTGGGGGTGGGCAGGGGAGGCAATGGTGGTCCACTGAGTGCTGCCACCACCACTTAAAGATGGCTGCACTCTGGCGCTGTGCAGGAGGAGGCTGACTCCCTTCCAGGGCCACACAGGGCCTTCCTGACAGGTCCCCGCCCGCTACACAGCCCCTTCGCCAGGACCTCTCAGCTCTGGCCAAAGGCGAACAAGACCCGTATGTTCCCCTTCTAGATCCATGAGATGTTTGAGTGGCGGGGGTGTGGGTGGGGTGGGGAGAGTTTCTTCCTGGTACCATCTTGGCCTCACACAGGCATGAGGTTACTCCTGGCCATGCTGGCTCTGTCACCGGCCCTCAGATCCCCTTCCCTGTGAAGCAGGGCCCCACCTCTCCCCAGCCCCCAACTCTCTTTCCCAATCTCTGACCCCTGTGAAGCTCACCTTGCAGGGAGCTGGACTCTGCACATTCCCTTGGCAATCAGGTGGCTGGGACAAAGTCCAGGCCACCGCAGCTGGCCCACACATGACCAGTGATTTCCTCTCCAGGAATGCCCAGCCTTTGGTAGGCCCCTAACCCAAGGGGCTGGGACCCAGGTGAGAGGGCCAGAGGGCTGGGGGAGGGCCCAGTACCTACTTTGGGCTGGCAGCAGTGCCTCTGGACTTGGGGGCTTGTCTGGGACACAGAAGGTTGATGAGGGCAATGAACAGATCAAAGAACCACCTTTGGAGGAGGGCAGAACTGGGTCAGAGAGGTCCTCCACAGTAGGTGTCAAAGCCTTACTCACTCTAGACAACTCCGCCTGGAATGCGTCTGCCAGAAAGTCAGGGCAGGTGATGGGGATCAAAGGCTCCACAGTGATCTGAACACATGGGAGACATGTCCCACACCAAGGAAGGTTCTGCTCACTCCTATTCTATTCACAGTTCTAGGGGATGTATGTGCCATCCATCGCATCCCCACAAGTGCAATCTCCAGCCTGTGCCCTGAGGTCACTTCCCGCATCACCCCATCACCATCAGGGCCTGTTCTCACTGCCTTCTGCTGTCCCCACAAGACTTGAATTTCCTGACAGCAGGAACTGCGGCCTCTTCCGTGTGGACTCAAGATGCAACTGTGCCCTGTGTGTGGAAGGTGTTTAATAAATGGAGAATGGCACCTGCCTTGCCTAGAGCTGGGAACACAGCGCTTGGAAGGCGTGGGGAGTGAAGGTCAAAGCCTCGCCCGAAGCAAAGACGCAATGATTAGGCTCAGGGAGGGCGAAGCACTGTGCAGCCTCGGGAGCCTGGGAGGTGGCTGTGAACTTGAAGGACGGTGTTGGTGTTCCTGAGGGTTCGGGGCCACGGGGCACAGGTTAGGGACCACAGAGTCCCTAGAGAGTGCAGAAACGTCTCCACCTCCCTGGGGCAGGCCGTGGTCCTGCCAAAGTCCAGGTCTGTGAGCCTCATTTATCTGCAAGGGTCTCCTTCCGTGGGCTCCTGGAAGGCCGCTGTCTCCTGCCTTCCGGACCCGACAGGGGCCTGTGAAGGGTGTGAGTGGGGTTCGCAAGCTGTCTTCGGTCCGGTCCGGAAAGCCTAGCGGGTCACGTGCAGGCTTCTTAGGAGCGCCCCGGGGAATTAGGCCGGGGCACGCGTCATGCCTGTCCCCAGCACCCAGCTTGGTGCACTCGGTGCGCTCGTTACTTGATACATTCAGTTTTGGGGGCAAACCATGTGGAGAGTGAGGCAGAAATAGGAACGTGTATTTGGGGCTGTGAAGGAAATGACAAGCTCCCTCCAAGGAGCTTCCTCGGGCCGAAGGACTGAAGGAGCTGGAGGCCGCGGTGGGGCCCAGTCGCCCCCTGGCGGTCAGTGGGGGACGCAGCACTCGAACGCCTCACTCCTGTCTCCTGCGAAATCTCTCCTGCAGCCGAGAAGCCTGGGACCTTCTAAACCCGAGCGGCCAATTCTCTGGAAAGCTGTGCTACAGGGCACAACGGGGAGGGTGTGGGCACGCTGGCCACCGTCTCTGGACCCGCCTTTCCCACCCTACGCTGTCGAGAGGGCCCTTGTTGGGGTGAATGAGACAGGCCAGGCCCACGGGTGCCAGCGCCAGCTCTGGGCCCTCTTCCCTCCCTATTTCCGCGCAGTGAGAGTGGCCTGCTGTGGCCCGATGGCCCAGACTACCCCTCCTCAGCCTGCTGGTCCTCACACGGGCCTTGGGGTTACCAGGAAAACTGGGGACCAGCACGGATTTGTTTCCAATACCTGGAAACTCCTGAAATGTCTGTCCGCTCTCTGATGGCTTATGGGTGTGAGTCACCATTTCGTAAAAAGGGAGAGATGCAGGCACACGTCAGTGGCTAGGAAGGAGGGACGCCCGTGTTTATTAAGAGACGAGTAGATGTGCATGCGAAATCATCACACCAGCCCTAGCAGAGGAGTTTTGTGTTGTCGTTGCTTATTTTACAGATAAGGGAAACCGAGGCTCAGCAAGGTAAACTGACATTCTCAAGATGACACAGAAAGTTCCCGAATGGAAGCATTGCCCTGCGCCCTAGATGCTACAAGGCTTTAGAGACATGGCATATGTCAAGCAGTCACCTGGGATGTGGACTGGGGACACAGCTCTACTCTGTCCTCAGGGCAGGGTGAGGGGAGCAAGAGGACTCCCCTGCCTTTGCCCCTTTCCCACCCAGACTTCTGCGTTGATGTCTGGATGGGAGCCGCACAGTGCTGGCTCCCAGAGCGGATTGGACCAGCCCCGACCCTGTCCCATGGGAAGCCAATCCATGGGCCATTGAAAGGCTTGGCAGGGGAAAGACATGCCCAGCAGAAAGGGCCATCTTCAGTCCAGTCAACTCCTCTGGGGGAGGTGGGAGTGTGCCCTAACGGAGAGAAGATGCTGCACATGACAGAGAATCGAGGCAGAGGGCAGCCGCGTTTCGCAGAAGCAGTTCTGGGGCAGGGAATGGTCCGCTCCCAAAAGCCAGGCCATGAGATGGTCCACCCATTGCTGGAGCTGGATGTGGTATCTGAACATCCTGTGCTCATCTAAGCCGGATTCTGTAATGCAGGCTCTCTCCTTGTGCTTGTTTTACAGATGAGAAAACCGAGGCATAGAGAGATTGTGTGACTTGCCCAAGGTCACACAGCTGGTGAATGGTGAACTGGGGTTTGTGTTGTGGCAGATGGGTGACTATGTCACAAGGGTGCGTGGGGAGCTTCTGTCTGTCCTGTGTGCTTGAGGCTGACGCAAGAAGCATGAAGGGCGTAGAGAGCAGTAAATATTGAGGGAATATAAAGAAATGCAATGTTACTTGCAAAAATAGTAAAAAAAAAAAAAAAAGTATAATTTCCAAAAATAGCTAATGCAATATTTCTAGCGCCATTGCTCTCCCAGACTTTATCACTTCCTCATCAAGAGATGGAGACTAGTTCTCCTACACTCAAAACTCAGTAGGACTTCATGTGACTCTTGTTGACTAGAACGTGGAAGAAGTGATGCAGCTTGACCTCTGAGGCTAGCTCATCAAAGGCAATACGGCTGGTGCTTGGTTCTCTCTTAGGACACCTGCCCTTGGGAACCGGAACCTAGCTGCCACATTGTAGGGAAGCCCAGGCCACATGGAGAGCCCATATATGTTTCCTGCCAACAACCCCAACTGATGTTCCCGCTTACTGCCAGCAGCACCGGCTATCACGCATGTGAGTGAGTGAGCCTCACTTCTGCCATGTTCTATTCATCAAGACAGTCACATGAAGTCCTACTGAGTTTTGAGGGCAGGAAAACTAGTCTCCATCTCTTGATGAGGAAGCGATAAGGTCTGGGAGAGCAGTGAGGCTAGAAATATGGCATTAGCTATTTTTGGAAATTATGCTGATTTTTTTTTACTATTTTTGTAAGTAACATTGCATTTCTTTAGATTCCCTTAATATTTACTGCTGTCTACACCCTTCATGCTTCTTGCATCTTGGAACTTTTAGCTGGGAGATCGCCTTGCTTCCACATGAAGTAAAGCCCTTTTCTCTATTATCTATTGGTGGCAAAGTCTCCTAAGTTATTTATTTATTTATTTTTTGAGACTATGTATTTTTTGAGTCTATTCCTCCCCAGACTGGAGTGCAGTGGCACCATCTTGGCTCACTGCAACCTCTGTCTCCCAGGTTCAAGCAATTCTTCTGCTTCAGCCTCCCTAGTAGCTGGGATTACAGGCACTCGCCACCATGCCCAGCTAATTTTTTGTATTTTTAGTGGAGATGGGGTTTCACCATGTTGGCCAGGCTGGTCTTGAACTCCCGTCCTCAGGTGATCCACCCACCTCGGCCTCCCAAAGTGCTGGGATTACAGGCGTGAGCCACCATGCCACATTGAAAATATTTTATTTGCCTGGTGTAAAATTCCAGGTTGGTAGTTACTTTTCTCTTGGCAAACTGGACATGCCATTCCCGTCTTTCCGCATCACTGTCACTGAGGAGAGCTGGCAGGCAATCTGTCTCTGGCTGTCTTTGCCATCTCTTTGTCTTTGGTGTTCTGCAATTCACCGTAACATGTTTAGGTGAGTTCCCTTTTATCTCACTTGCTTAGAACGTGTTTGGATTTCTTCAATCTGAACTGGTGAGTTGGGGAACCCTCCTCCTCCCTCCTCCCAGGCTTTCATTCTTGTCCCTTCCCTGGCATTGTCCTCACAGGGCTTATACTTCTGAAAATAAACACCAGGAGATGTGTTCAGGCAAATATTGCTTTCTTCTGCCCCGTGACCCTCACTCTCCAGCCAAGGGGACACCCAGAATGACTTCCTGGAACTGGGAAAGAAAAATTATCTGGGGGTGAAATACACATGGTGCCTCAGGAAGAAGTCCTCCTGCCCTGTGGGGTCTGTGCGGAGGCTGCAGGGCTGGCGCTTCCCATGAAGGCCACAAAGGCCCACTGTGTGCATCTCGGCCTCACTCGGCCTCAGTGAGGTCACACTGTGAGCCTGAGAATTTGAGCGGCATTCTCTGCCCCCAGAGCCAGCTGTCAAACATTTACCAGCACAGCACCAGGCAGGATCCACGGCTAATGGCAGCAGGGGTGGGAAGAGCTGAGCTGAAGTTCAGAGCTAGGATAAAGCCAACAGGAATCCCTCTCCTTTGTCAAGTTTATTTTATTAAAATATACAGGACTGAATATTAGTGGATGCTGAGAACAGGAACCACCCTCCCAGGCCGTGGCCAAGGGAGACGCTTCTGCCATGCAGACATGCGGCCGGTCTGTGTCCCAGCGTGGGAGGCAGACCCCTCCTGGTTGGGCTGTGCAGCCAGTCTGGCCCCAAGGCCAAGGCCGGCAGGGGTGTGGTGGTGATGCTCTCCTGAGGCCTTGGCCTTAGAGGCAGAGTGACACCAGCTGGGAGGGCTGGGCAGCGGGTGAGGGGAGGGAGAAGATCCCTGAGCCAGGGAAAGCTGATGCCCTCCTGGAGGCAGAGGCCCCCAGTCAGCCTGGAGCCTGGAGCCAGGCGTCCATGCAGCTCCGCAGGGGAGGCCAGGCTGTGTGTGAATGCCGAGGGGCCCCCATGGCCTCCGCCATACTGCCTTTCCTCTGAGGGCCCTGCTCACCCTGGGGCTAGCCTCTTGGGGCACACGGGGACTCCCCGGGCCAGCCCTGAGTGGAGCTGGGCTGGCTGTGATGGAATGTATTATGTGGGAATGTTCCTGGAGGGGCCATGCGGCCTGGGACCGGGTTCCTTCTGGGTGAGGCCCCAATCAGGCGGGAGCAGCATCTCTCTCCTCCTGGGGGTTTCTGCTGACCACCCAGCCACAGCCCTCTCAGCCCTCACCATTGGCTCCAGCTTTGGGCTGGCATTCTCCATCCCCAGATGGAGGGGACAGCCAAGCAGAGTCCCCAGGGTTTGTGCTTTTGAATGTTGGTCAGCCGGGCTGGGCTTTGGGGCCCCACTGATCCCAGGCACAGAGCAGACCCCCAAGGCCTCTTCCCCAGGGCCACCATATTGGGGCTACTGGGCCCAAGCCTCAGCCAGCAGGAGGGCCTGGCCTCCGAGAAGCAGTGTGCTGGGCTCCCACTAGGGCTGCGCCTGAGCTGCTAAGGAATGCTTGTGCTTTTTGTGCAAGGCAGAGGGACGGCGACACTGCTTCAGGAGAGGGGGCTCAGCCAAGCTGCTGGGCCATGGGAGGGGCACTACAGGAAGAGGAGGGACACGCCCCTTCCCAGACTCCTCTGAGCTCTGCCCCGGGCTCCCTGGCTGCCAGTCTCTGAACCACGTTCCTCCCGGGACCTAAGAGGACCTTGGAGGGAACAGTCTGTGCTGGAGGGTGTGTACAGCCCCACCCACTGCATTCCCACTGAACCAGGACTGGGGCAAGGAGAGGCTCATCCCACCCTGTGGAGCTGGCAGAGAGTGCCCTCAGATTCTCCACCACGACCCAATCCCTAAACTTGAAATCCCCCGCCTTCCTGCCATGGAGGGAGAATGGGGCCCAGTGGCCCCTCACCACTCAGGCTTGCCCCACAGTGGGTGGCCTGGTACCCAGCTCTTCCAGGTCAGTGGAGTAGCAGGGGATCCTGGGACCCCCAGGGAAGAATTTCCAGAAAGCTGCAGGCTTGGCCTCCATTACCCCCTCTCCCCCCTGCCCCCCAGCTGGTCCCTCTGGGGTCCTGAGGTGAGGGGCTTTCTAGAAGCATAGGTAGTGGGCAGAGAGTGGCTACGGGGAGGAGACCAGGGGAGCCTGGGGCCGGCCCACTGTGTGGCAAGAAAGCAGAATGGAGAACGGGACGAGGTGGGCTCACACCGGAGATTGGACCCTCCCCTGCAGGGGCACTCGAGCCCCTTCTTGGTGACATCCAGCAGCTGGTGGCCTGCAGACCTGCTCTGTCAGCCACTCACCCAGAGGCAGCCTCGCCTCGCTGGCCTGGGAAGGGCTGGCTGGGGCTCCTGGACTCGGCCCCTAGCCAGACTCAGCCCCTCCCTGAACTCTGTCCCCTCTGCCAGCCCAGATGAATGGCTGTGTGTGTGTGTGTGTGTGTGTGTGTGTGTGTGTGTGTAGCAATCTGTTCACTTTTTGCAAATCTATTTTTTAAAAGTTTCTTGGAGGCTGCTCCTGGCAGGATGGAGGTTTCTTGGGGGTGGAGGTGGCTGTGGCCATGCACTCCTTTGGACGTGTCCTAGATGACATTCTCAAACAGCTGCATGGAGCTCATGATGTTCTCATCCTGCATGGAGAGAGGAAGGGAGGCCTTCAGGTGCTGGGTGGGCTCCAAATCCGACCCCCTTGAGCAGATTCCCGCCAGGGACTCGGAGCCTGCAGCGACTGCCTGTCTGTCTGTCTTATTGGGTGCAGGGAGCTGGGGGACAGGGAGGTGAAGTAGCTGGTCCGAGGTCCCCAGCTGGTGAGGCACAGCCTGTCTTCAACCCCACTCCTGACTGCAAGCCCATCTGGGATGAGCTGATGAAGGCGATCCCGGCTGGCCTCCAGAGGAGGTGGGCGCTAACCAGGACTGCTCTGGGAGTGGGGCAATAGAGGCGCTGGAGGCCCAGCATCCTGCCCCCTGAGGTGCTCTCTGGAAGGGCCAGCAGCAACACTGCGGAAGCTCTGGTGCCTCCCCACGGTGACCCTCTCCCTCTGGCTGGCCCCATGTCTGCCCCTAACTTGAGGTTCTCCAGGGACTGGGCTGAGGGAGGGTGTGGGGGTAGTGGGGGGATGCTGTGGGCTGCAGGGGTGGGTGGGGAGGAGGAGACTCAGACAAGAGGGCAAGTGGAGCTTGGGGCTGTCCAGGAGGTGGCAAGGGGCCAAGGACAGCTGCCACATCCTGGACTGGCAGGGGTGGGACTGGGGTGAGGGAAGGGGCAGACGCTGCCAACCACCCACCTCCGTGTAGAGCCTGCAGAGAACTGTGGCCCAGCCTCCCGTGCCACCTACCTTCTGACAGGCCTCCAGGAACTCTTCAATGGTCACTACCCCATCCTGGTTCCGGTCCATTTTCTGCAACCCAAGCCATGCCCAAAGTGAGTCTGTGCCCCAGCAGAGACAGCCCCGCCCCTGGCCTGAGGACGCAGAAGTCATGGGTGGGTGGATGGGCGGGTGGGTGGATGGGCGGGTAGGCTCCCTCCACTCTAACTTGTCCCCTGTGACTACTCTGGATCCAGGCCACATAATCCACCCTTCATAGCCACCTCCCAACCAACTGCTGAGGCTCCAAGCATCTCCCCACTGCTCCCCTAGGCCAATTCCCTGAGCCCTCCTGGGCTTGGGTTTCCCAGAATTTGTCCCCATGCTCATCTGACCGCCTCACCTCCCTGAGAGGCAGCCAGGGCAGAGGGAGCAACTGAGTCACAGGATGGCCCATGTCTAGTGGCCCCAGCAAGTAGGAGGCAAAGCCTGCAGCCCCTGCAGCCGCCATGCATACAGGTGAAGGCCCCCAACCTGCTCCTCTCCCAGAGCGTCTTCCTGGAGGAGCCACACAGCTCTCAGGAGGCATGGAGCTCCGGCCCAGGGTCAGCTGCCTCAGGATCCCCAGCTCTGGCCCCCAGATGAGGTCCACAGGGCAGAGCAGTGGTGTAGTTCACTTCTCAGGGGTTCTGACAACCAGCCAGACTGGAGGGGCAAGTTTAACCTCCTCATGGGGAGTAGGGAGGCTCAGAGGGGCAAGCCACTTGCCCGGGGTGGCCCCAAAAGCGAGAGCCCCTTCCTCTGCCAGGCTCCCCTCCCTAGGCAGGGCTGGCGCTCGCTCACCTCGAAGAACCTCTCCACGTGCTCCGCCGGCGCGTCCTCCCGCAGGATGGGGTAGGTGTGGCGGCCCATCATGTCATAGATGGACTTCATGATGGCCAGCATCTCCTGGAGGGGGAGGCTGGCATGAGCCTGCTGCAAGGCCGGGGTGGCTGTGAGGGCCCAAAGGGAGCGGGCGGCATCCAAGGGTGCAGGGCACCTCCAAGGCAGTGAGTGCGAGGGGCCGGACGAGCTGGAGAGAGAAGCCTGTCCGCTTCCAGGGCACCCAGAGCGAGCTTCTGACTCTAGGGGAAGCTCATCTCCCAGAGAAGTGGGAGATGGATTGCTATGTGCTTATCTCCAAAATGTGACGCGGCAGCAGAAAAAGTGCTTGGACCAAACAAAACCTGTCTGTGGGCCCATGTGCGAGGGCTCCCCTCTCCACCCATGCCTTAAGGGACCGCACTGCCCCCTTCACTTGATGGGGGCCAAGGCCAGGACCTCTGGCTTCTCCACTTAAATCTCCCCGAGGCCTTTTGTGTAAGACAGTATGACCGAGAACACTTGCTGAGCTGGACCGAGATGTGTGGTACAGGGTACCTGAACCCACACTCCACACCGGGGTGTCCAGGACCGAGCCCAGGAGAGGAGAGCCCACTGGCTGCTGTCCCTGGGGCCAGTCTCTGGATGGACAGCGGGAGAAGACAGGTGGGCAGCAGGAGCAGGGAGAGGAAGAGCGGCGGGAGGGGTGGAGCAGCAGGAGGGGAGGAGGGGACAATCCCTGCCCCCAGCCCCCTACTACCTCTTTGGTGATGTAGCCATCCTTGTTAATGTCGTAGAGATTAAAGGCCCACTTGAGCTTCTCGTGGACTGTGCCCCGCAGCAGGATGGAGAGGCCAACCACAAAGTCCTATGGGGAAAGGAGAGTGTGGGGCGTGACATCCAATCAATGCCCAGGTTCTAGTTCCAGTTGCTGTGTGGCTTCCACTGAAATTCACGCCTCCAACAGGCACAGAGCCTCCCTAAGAGACTGACGGCATCCATTCAGGTCAGCACAGGGTGAGTGTGTGCCCGTGTGTGAGCGCATGCACGGGTGTGCACCTGTGTGTGTGAACTTGTGTGAGGGTGTGCACCTGTGTGAGAACTTGTGTGAGGGTGTGCACCTGTGTGAGGGTGTGCATCTGTATGTGTGAACCTGTGAGGGTGTGCACCTGTGTGTGCACCTGTGTGAGTGTGTGAACCTGTGTGAGTGCATGCGCATGTGTCTGCATGTGTGGCAGGAGTGGCATGGTAGCTGATACTGATGCCAGAGAAAGATATTCAAATATATATGGTGTCCTAGACCCATTTAATGCAGTGCTGCCGCTGGAGACGCCTGGGGTACTCTTTTAATAAAGGAGGTGCTCTATGTTTATTCTGCCAAGCATCTGCATGGCAAAGGTGCTTGAAAACTTCCAGATTAAATAGCTAGAGGAATGATGCTCAGCTTTTTGTTTGTTGTTGTTTTTAGAGACAGAGTCTCAGACTGTCACCAGTCGCCATCATGGCTCACTGCAGTCCCAAACTCCCAGGCTCAAGCGATCCTCCACCTCAGCCTCCTGAGTAGCTGGGACCACTCGGAATAATCCATGCCTGGCTAATTTATTTTATACTTATAGAGATGGGGTCTCGCTATGTTGTCCAGGCTGGTCTCCAACTCCTGGCCCCAAGTAATCCTCCTACCTTGGGCTTCAGAAGTGCTGGGATTACAGGTGTAATCCCAGGGCCACCTCGCCCAAACCTGGTGCTCAACTCTTGAGTCATGACATGCTGTGTGTGGCCATCGCCTTTGGCATGGGAAACTTTACTACTAATATGACAGAATATGGCTGTTTAAATGGTTTCCATGTGACAACTTCAACTGTTTTGTTACAGCAGTTGGTAGAAAGCAGGTTTTCCCCCTACCTCTTGGAAGGTTTAAAGGTGAAACCCTCCCTGCACCCTGGGGTCCTCCCAGGCTACTCTGAAAGAAAGGGGTGAGAAAGGGGCTGTACCAGCGAAGTGGGACAGAGGACGGTCAGAGTGCAAGGGACAGGGCCATGCACCAAGGCCCCGAGGCCCCTCAAGTGTTAGATTTTCGGGACTGGAAGAAGTCTGTACCATGAGAGAGACAGAGACAGAGGAAAGCGATTTGGAAGAACAAAAATTATCCCAGGAGAAAAAAATTTGACAACAACTATTAGGTTCAGAGATTACAAATCTTCCATCACTAAAATAAGAATAGGATGTCCCAAAAAAGAGGTAACTGGAAAAAAGAAAGAGCTCTTGGAAATTAAAAATAAGAAAGCAAAATGACAGACTTAAAAAGAAAGGTTGGGAGAGCAAATGGAATCTTCCATGAAGTGGAATGAGAAGGCAAATAGCTGGAATATAGGGGAGAACAGAGGATAATGAGAGTTGCACTCCAGAGGGGCCAATGCTGGGACACAGGCAGTTCGGGAAGAACGGGAGAAAACAGAGGAAAGTGGGTAGGAGCAATCAGGAAAGACGATTTCCCAGAATGGAAGCAGAGATTTCCAGTGTCCACCAAGGCTTGGCACAATGCATGAAAACAGCCTGCAGTTTAGCTGCAAGCATAGATCATGGTGAAATTTCAGCAAATTGGGTGCAGAGGATCCTATAAACTTTCAGAGAGGAAAGCAAAGCCAAACAGAAAAAGCAAAATCGGGACCCATCACGGGTCAGTGTCAGCAGGGGCACCTGCTCTGCAGCAGCGCCTGAGGCAGGAGGCCCAGGGAACGAAGCGACCCCCAACTTTGAAGGAGAACAGCTCCCCCTGGGGGTGCTGGTCCCTACAATGGATCAAGCAAGAGTAAAAACAGAATAAAGACACTCCCAGGTGCTCAAACGCTCCAAAGTTACAGCTCACATCCTCTTTTATAGGAAGCAGCTGGGCAGTAAGCCCCTGAACACACAGAGAGTAAAGCAAGAGAAAGGCAGATCAGGGATCCCAGAACCAGAAGGCCCAGCCCAGCAGACAGGGGAGGAAGCCCCAGAGGGCACCAGGCCCCAGCGAGGATGGAGCTGTGGGAGGCTGGTGGGGGGGCCTCCTCTGGCAGATGCCGGGCAACAGGTTCAGATGACTGGAGAAGGGCCTGGGCTTGAATGAATAATGAGGTCACAGAACACAGACAAACTAATCATCAGGACCAATGTTAACCGTAGGCAAAGGAAAGGAAAAGATCATCGCAATGGACAACAAGCCTCAGCGAGGGGTCCAGTTCACAAATCAGAGTAAACCAAGGCCTTATCCAACCTGAAGCCTAGAGTCTGTTGGAAAGCTGAACTCCTGGGCTCAAGCGATCCTCCCACCTCAGCCTCCTGGGGGATGGGTGGGGGGCTGGGGGGACGGGAACGTTGTATGTCTGAGGGAGTCCCAAATTCTCACTTGTGGCAGGGGGTGGAAAAGTGGAAGCAAGCTTCTGGGGGACATGGAAACAAGCACAGGTGACTGGCTACAGCAGACAAGGTGGTGGTCACCTGCTGGTTTTCCAACGTGCACCCTGCGAATGTGTTGGACTCCAGTCATGTGTGTGTATAACTGAAGACAATGAATATATATATATATATGTGTGTGTGTGTATATATATGTGTGTGTGTGTATATATGTGTATATATATGTGTATATAAATATGTGTGTATATATGTGTGTGTGTGTGTATATATATATATGTGTGTGTGTGTGTGTATATATATATATATTTTGTTTTTGTTTTTGAGATTGAGTCTCACTCTGTCACCCAGGCTGGATGGAGTACAGTGGTGCAATCTCAGCTCACTGCAACCTCTGACTCCTGGGCTCAAAGTGATTCACTTGCCTCAGCCTCCCAAGCAGCTGGAATTATAGGCACCCGCCACCATGCCCAGCTAATTTTTTTTTTTTTTTTGTATTTTTAGTAGAGACGGGGTTTCGCTATGTTGGCCAGGCTTGTCTCAAACTCCTGACCTCAGGTGATCTGACCGCCTTGGCCTCTCAAAGTGCTGGGATTGCAGGCGTGAGCCACCGAGCCCGGCCAATGAAAATATTTTAAAGAAGCAACACCCAGGTGTGGTGGCTCACACCTGCAATTCCAGCACTTTGGGAGGCTGAGACAGGAGAATTGCTTGAGGCCAGGATTTCAAGACTAGCCTGGACAACATAGTGAGACCTTGCATCTACAACAATTAAAATAAAAAAATTAGCTGGGCATGGTGGCATGCACCCGCAGTCCCAGGTACTCGGGAGGCTGGGGTAGGAGGATCACTTGAGGCCAGGAGGTCGAGGCTGCAATGAGCTATGGTGGTGCCACTGCACTCCAGCCTGTCTAAAAATAAAACAAAAAAAATAAAAATTAAAAAACAAGGAGAAACATTGTTATATTTCTACTATGCCCAAGTTTAGGGAATAATAATCACTGAAGCTTGGGCATGGTTTACACAGTAGTGAAGATTCTAAGTTATCCCTGAAGCCCTGGGTCAGACAGGCCTTCCTAGTGGGTAGCAAAGGCGTGGAGCACACCGTTCTCCTGGGGACCCTGGGCAGGCACCGCTGTCCTCCACCTTATCTTCAGCTGACATGGGCCCCTCAGGTGGTCTGTCTGTCTGCTGCGGAGAAGCCCTCATGTTCAGCCACAGAGCCTGCTGCTAGCAGCTGAGGAATGTCCCTATGCAGTATCCCTTAGCCTCTCTCTGTGTGTTGGCTACAGTAGTGACAGTACTAGGAGATGGTGGGAATGTCCTGTTAGGCCACTGGCTAGTCTCCATTCATAAAGGTAATACACAGATGACCCCAAGTCCAGCCAGCCCATGTCTGAGTGCACGCTGGTTCTAAATTCCTTGGCCATACACAGTGCAACCATGGCAAGTTGTAACTCCATGCTCTGAATGCCAAAGTGTAGGAACCCTGTCACATCCACAGCCTCTGTTCTACGGCTGTCCCCATGGCAGGGGCTAGGCAGGGTGAGGGCTCCAGTGACACAGCATACTTCCAGGTGAAGGTGCACAAGAGTGCACAGGAGGGTCTCCCGGCAGAGCCCGGAGCAGGTGCTCAGCGAGGGGGTGGGAGTCGCATGTGGTTGCTGGGCTTGCAGGCTGCCCTCACACGGCCCTGGATGCCGCTTGGCCACTGGCACATGGAGCAGTTTACTGTCGGGGGAGGTAACAGAGAAGCGGCCGCACCTCCAGATGCCTGCCTGGCTGCCACTTCCAAACTGGGCCTGACTTGATCCTGGGCACTGAAGAGGCCCCAACAGTCTACGGAATCGTTTTGGAAGCTCTGCACGTCCTGGCAAGCCAGATGAGTTGCACGAGAAAGGCCCTGGTGGCCAGAGCGTTCAGCAAATCTGTGTGTGGCGCTGCTCACCTGGGGCTCCCTGCTGCTGGCAAATCCCAGAAGGTCCGTGGGGATGGGAGCAGGAGCCACTCCAAGGTGGGGTGTGGGGATGGCATCGCCCGCTTGGCTCTGTTGAGGTCTGTGTGTTTTCCGATTTGGTCTTTTTGGTTATTCTTTTTGGTGAGCGGAGGGAGGGTATTACCTTTTACCATATCAGTAAACTGTAACTAATATGCATCTTGTCTCTAAGAATATACAGAAAGGGACAGAATCATTGCAGACAGTGTCATGCAGGGTTGCCTTGCATTACAGACGCACGTAGGAGGCTCTGAGGGCTGGCAGTGAGGATGGCCCGGTGTTCTCCAGACTAGATTTGGTGCCTCCGTCCCTGGCAGGATCCTTTGTGACCACTGGGATCCCAGTCTGTGGGGCTCCCAGGATGGGGCCATGGGGGCTTGTGCCCTCCTCCTTCCCAGAGCAGAACACTTTGAAATCGAGAAGTTCCTCAAGGTAAATGTACCTGCGTGAAGCCAGAGGACTTCGTTTCACGTGCAGAGAAGCTGCAGAAGGCCCAGGAAGATGCCAGGGATGAGTGATCTTCTGAGAAGGTGCCCAGCAGAGGGGCCACAGCACAGCCACTGACAGACCCAGCCCAGAGGGCTGCCACCTGCTTCCTTAAAGGGCCACAAGGCTGTCCCTCAGGACAGCGAGGGTGATGGCCACAGGAGGTGAGGGGCGACTGTGACCTTCCTGAGCACTGCCATGAGCAGGGGCTCTGCCGAGCCTCTCAGTCATCTCATTCCTGAACAAGAAAAACCACTCGCACCCCGCCTGCTCCCTTACACCGTTTCCTAAAGATGCTTTACTGCCTGAAGTGTCAGGTGCCTCTTAAAGGGCACCCCAGGAGAGAGGGGCAGGGAAAGGACCTTGAGTCCTCCCTGAGGCTCCTCCATGCTAACCGGGTGTTTTCTGTGTGCTGTGGGGTTGGTATTTCAAATCTGAAAACAAGATTTGAAAACACGGTCTGCTTCTATGTGCAGAGCCCTCAGAGTGTGGCTCAGAGTCGAGGGGTCCTGTGGTCACAGGGCAGGCGGGGAGCGTCAGTGTGCCTGGCGGGCTTGCGGCATAAAAATAACCCGCGCAGCTTATCGACAAGTTATTATTACCCCGTGTGGCCGGGGCCTTCTGGCCCCATGTGCTTCTCTGTGCTTTCCTGTTAGCTGCCCTTAGCCCAGTGGAAGCCAAGCTGTCGGGGTATCGATCAAGCCGGCTCTCAGAAAGGTTTTCCTCCCCAAAGCGGTTTCAGCTTTTCGCCTGCAGCTATTTTTAGAGGCTTGGGCTCCGCAGATGGGGCCTCTCTCCAATGATCCTGTGTGGCGGGGCTGGGGAGGAGCCCAGGCCAGGACCCCACAGGGAAGCTGTCTGGGTGGGGGACAGGCTTCTCCTTCCGCCAGTGGGTAACACCAGGCTTTGCTCTCAGTGCCCAGCTGGGATGAGCCCTGGAGGCTGCTCCGGCTGGGATGTTTTCTAGATATTTTTGGCCTATTTTCTGGGTAACAAGGAGTAAATTCTGAAAATGGAGGTCTCACATCCCACCGTCAGCAAACCAGGCCTCTGAGTTAAGCCCTGATCCCTTTGAAAATGCAAATTCCCGCTGGGTCACTACCACCCGTGTGTGTCTCGGGGGCTCCCTTGACCAGGCAGAGCTGGATGCAAACTCTCAAATGGAAGAAAAGGCTGAGAACGTGGTGCCGGCCCAGCAAAGTCAAACACCCCAGAGCTCACTGGCCCAGGGCCAGCCACATCCACTCATTCCCAGGGTGACTCACAAGATCCTTCCCACCCAGGACCATGGCTCTCTCGACAGCCCTGACAGTGACGCCAGGGTAAGGATTCACTCCTGCAACCACAGGGGCAGGACACGTGGGAGGAATCCGCGAGGACCTACCTCAAAGTGGATGGCCCCGTTCCCGTCCGCATCAAAGGCGTTGAAGAGGAAGTGTGCATAGGTGGTGGCATCTGGGGAGGGCAAGGAAGAGGCTGGGGTGTGTCGGGGCTGCCTGGCGGCTCATCTCCCACCCCAGGCAACCCCAGCTGAGGGTGCTAACTGCGTCCTGGCTTGGAGTCCCTGTTTCCCACGGGACAGGGGCAGCACCAAGCCTCCAGGATGCAAGGGGCAGCAGGAGGGTCCCCTCCCTCCACACTGGGACACAGCAGGGCTGCCCTGCCTCAGACTCACCTCCCTGAGGGAAGAACTGCGCGTAAATGAGTTTGAAGGTGTCTTCGTCCACCAGGCCCGTGGGACACTCCTGCAGCAGGAAGGCACCCCCTCAGCCCTCGGCCACCCCCAGCTCCAAGCCCGACTCTGCATGGTGCCTGGCTGGCCTCTCTCCACCCCCTTGGGGGCTGCCTGCTGCCTGTGGCACTGCTGGGGCCCCCTGGCCTGGGTTGTGGAAAGCCTGGGTAGAGGTGGGGTGAGAGGGAGGAGGGGTGAATAGGAAGGGGGTGACTGCTCCCCCATACCCTCCTCCTCTGTACCAGCAGCAAAGACACGGAGGGAGGAGCATGGCGGCCTCAGCGATGCCCATTCCGGAGCCTGCCCCCGCCACACAGCTTTCCCACAACACATAAGCCCCTTAAAGGCCCCTGGGATATTTACTGTGGCATGGAGAAGTTTCCAGGTCTCCCTGAGCCAGGGTCTCCAAGGCCTCTCCCGGGGGAATGGGGAACACTCACATTCTTAAAGCCCCTGTAGAGAGACTGCAGCTCCTTCTTGGTGAACTTGGTCTGGGCCTGCAGCTGGTCCAGCCCCTCTGGCTGGTGGCGCACCGTGGACAGCTCCAGCTCACTGTCGCTGCTATCTGGAGTGGGACACAGACCAGAGAGTGTAAGGCCTGTAGCCCTGCTCCTCCATCTTGCTCCAGTGTGGCCAGGGCATGGGCCAAAATAGCAGGTGGAGGAACTCTCTTTGCATGACTACCATGGACAGCCACACAGGCTGTGCACTGCACAGAGGGGGTGTGACTGAGTGGCCCACACAAGAGCTGTGCCTCTGCTTTCCTGCCCCCCACAGGGCGGGCCTCCCCATCGCAGCCCCTGCAGTGTGCCCCCCTGTCAGCCGCACAGTGGGACAAGGTGGGAGCTGCTCTTGTCCTAAAGAGGCACTGAACAAGGGGATATAGGAGGGGGAAAGACAGCAAGACAGGCATGAGGGACACTTGAACTTCAGTATCCAATTCCTAGACCACTTCCTCCATGTGGCCCTCCCTGACTTTCCCCAGGAATGGAGAGGGTGCCTCCCTTGGCCCTCAAGGCCTAAGGCGATGCTGTTCAGCTACAGTTGGCAGAGGGGTGTTATTCACATCTGGTTAGGAGGCTAAACCTCCAGGGCTGTGGGGGCAGGGATCAGACCTGTCCTTTAAAAACAATACACAAACTTGGCAGGGTGCGGTGACTCACACCTGTAATCCCAGCACTTTGGGAGGCTGAGGCAGATCACGAGGTCAGGAGATCGAGACCATCCTGGCTAACACGGTGAAACCCCGTCTCTAATAAAAATACAAAAAATTAGCCAGGCATGGTGGCGGGCGCCTGTAGTCCCAGCTACTCGGGAGGCTGAGGCAGGAGAATGGTGTGAACCGGGGAGGCGGAGCTTGCAGTGAGCCGCGATCGCGCCACTGAACTCCAGCCTGGGTGACAGAGCAAGACTGCATCTCAAAAAAAAAAAAAAAAAAAAAAAAAACCACAAACTTGTTAACTAACCATGGCTACATTTGAGGGGGAGGTGCAATTTCAGGTGATTTTTACTTTTTTATTTATGATTTTAAAAAACATTTTCCTAATTTCTTTTGGTGTGACATGCATCACTTTTACAATGCAAAATAAAGCTAGGGCTGAAACAGCACTGAGTGCCCACACCTTGCTGAGCAGCATCCTCGCATAATTACAGAGCGCCACCTTCCCACAGACCCAGGACTCATGGGCCCCGCTGCACCGTCGCCCTGTCTCCCCTGGGCCACACAGAATGGTGGTGATCCATAATCACCCTCATGGCTGGTACTCTGGTGCTGGCTGCTGCCTCTCCCACTGCACAGTGAGCTCTTCAGGGGCAGCTGTCCTGCACAGCTCATCCTGTGCCCGTGGTGCCTGGCATGGTGCTGGGCACTGGTCCTGTGCTGAGCTTGCTCCATACCCAGGCCTCTCCCGAGAGCGTGGTGGGAAAGACAGCCTGCACTGCCCACTCACACTAACCACAAGAGCACCCTGAAAGCTGCTCAGCAATTGGGCTGTTTCTTTGGTCCACACATGCTCCCCATCTCCAAGATAACTATTTCATACCATCCTTCCCCTTAAGTTTCCAGTATCTCCTCTCCCATCCTTACCCTCAGGTTGCTTCCCACTTCACTGAGAAGACACAAGCCATGGAGGAAAACTTCCCCAAGCCCTCACCCCACACCTACCCACCTGCCTGCACCTGGCCCAGACGTCTGCACGCCTGCCTGCTCCATGGCTGAACTGTGCCTGCTCCCAGCAAAGGCAAACCTGCCACTTGTGCAGTGGGTCCCGATCCCTCTCACCTACTCAGGCAAGCGGTGCCAGCCAAGTCTCCCACTCTTTCCTCATCACCTTTTCCCCTCTTCTGGATCATTCCCATCACCATATAGACATACTGTAGTATCTCGAATCCTTAGTCATATTAAGTATAGGCAAACCCTGTAAACCAGCATCCCACGCCAGGCAAGCATCCCACATAGACTCTTCCCCTGCCCAGGGGCCTGCACAAGGATGCTCACAGCAACAGCATTTTTGGCAGGAGAGTTGGAGGCAACTCAGGGGTTTATGGCAGGCAGGATGGGTAGGCAAAATATGGAGGCTGCACACTGGGGAGAACTGTGCCGTGGAGCAGATGTACACACAGCAGCGTGGATGGATGGATGGATGGATGGATGGTAAGAATCCTTTGATTAAGAGGCAGACTTTTCAGACTGGAAAAGCAAGATCCAATTATATCCTGTTTACAAGAGGGATACTCCTAATACAAAGATATATTAAGGCTGGGTGCTGTGGCTCACTCCTGTAACCCCAACACTTTGGGAGGCTGAGGTGGGTGGATCACCTGAGGTCAGGCGCTCAAGACCAGCCTGGCCAACATGGTGAAACCCCATCTCTACTAAAAATACAAAAATGAGCCGGGTGCAGTGGCGGGCACCTGTAATCCCAGCTACTCAGGAGGCTGAGGCAGGAGAATCGCTTCAATCCAGGAGGCGAAGGTTGCAGTGAGCCAAGATCGCGCCATTACACTCCAGCCTGGGTGACAGAGTGAGACTCCATCTCAAAAAAAAAAAAAAAAGATTTAAAATAAAAGAATGGAAAAACATTAAGAAAGCTGGATGTTTTATAATGATACAAGGATTAATTCATCAAGAAGGCAGAATAATCTAAAACAGACATCACCTAGTAACAGAGCTTTAAAATACCTAAAACAAAAAATTCAGAACTAAAGAGAGAAACAAAAAAGTCACAATCATAATTGGAAGATTTTAGCACCCCTTTCCAGTAAATGGTATGACAAGTGACGAAATAAAAGGTTTGAAAAACACCATCAACCAATTTGACCTAATTAATATTTATAGAACACTGTATAATTGTAGATACACATTCTTTTCAAGAGCATATCCTGAGGTTACCAATATATATCAGATGCTGGAACACAGACTCTTACCACAATGGTACTAAGTTAAAATTCAGGACAAGATATTTAGAAAATCTCAAGTATTTGGAAATAAACAATACATTTCTAATTAGCTCATAGGTCAGAGAATAAACTGCAAGGTGATCACATTTTGAGATATTTTGAATTGAATGATTAAAAAAACAGAGCATATCAAAATTTGCTGGATGCAGGTAAAGCTGGGCTGACAGGGAAATTTATTGCTTTCAATTCCTTTATTAGAAAAGAAGATAGGTGTAAAAGCAATGACATAAGCTTCTAGATCTAAGAGTCAGAATCTAAAAAATGCAGAGCAAATTAAATTCAAAGTAAATAGAAGAAAGAACATAATAAAAACAAGAGTAGAAATCAATGACAGGCTGGGTGCAGTGGCTCACGCCTATAATCCCAGCACTTTGGGAGGCCGAGGCAGGTGGATCACTTGAGGTCAGGAGTTCAAGACCAGCCTGGCCAACATGGCGAAACCCTGTCTCTACTAAAAATACAAAAAAAAAAAAGTTAGCCAGGTGTGGTGGTGCACACCTGTAATCCTAGCTACTCAGGAGGCTGGGGCATGAGAATCGCTTGAGCCCAGGAGGTTGGAGATTGCAGTGAGCAGAGATCACACCACTGCACTCCAGCCTGTTGACAGAGCAAAACTTCGTCTCAAAAAAAAAGAAAAAAAAATCAATGACAAATATAAGCATAGCCACAAACCTTATAATAAAGTCATTAAGAAACTCAAGTCACAGGCTGGAAAAACATATCTCCAGTATATGTATCTGACAAAGGACTCATTTCCAGAATACATAATTAACTTCTACAAATCAGCATAAGACTAATAACTCGATTTTGTAAACAGGCAAAAGACAAGGACGTGTCACAAAAAAAGATATACAACTGGCCAATAAGCACAGGAAAAGGTACTTGAAAGGACATGTGAGAATTCATGCAGTGATGGGAAAACTGGAGTACTGGCTCAGCCAGAGTGGAGATACCTCCCTAAGCATCTCAGGTGTTGGCTGAAACCCCAGAAAAGCTATGCTTTAGGACTGTGAACCACATCCTTGAGTAAGCGCATGCTCTAGACCCAATGACAAAGTCAAAACAAACCTACTCTGACAAAGCCTAAAATAAAGTCTGTGAAGATCACATGAGTTGGCCAATAATTTAACTACATGCCAAACCAAAATTTGTTAGCATTTATATTAAAACAATATAATCCATTGCCTACACTATCCCTTTCACAATGTCCAACATACAATAAAAAATAAAAAGACATGAGAAGAAGCAAGAAAATGTGACCATAATAAAGAGATGAAGGATAAGCAGAATTATTAGACTTTTGTTAGAATTATTAGAAAAGAACTTTAAAACAACTATTATCAACACTTTGAAAGAAATAAAGAAAAGAAAGCATAATAGATGAGAATCTTAATAGAAAAATTAAAAACTATAATAAAAGAACAAAATGGAACTTCTAAGCTTGAACAAAACAATACCTAAAATTAAAAATTCACTGGATGGACTGAGTGCAGTGGTTCACGCCTGTAATCCCAGCACCAGAGGCTGAGGCAGGTGGATTGATTGAGCCCAGGAGTTCGAGACCAGCCTGGGCAACATAGCAAGACCCTGTCTCTACAAAAAAATTGCCCAGGCATGGTTGTGTGCACCTGTAGTCCCAGCTGCTTGGGAGGCTAAGGTGGGAGGAGCACTTGAGCCTGGGAGATTGACGCTGCAGTGAGCCATGGTCATACCACTGCACTTCAGCCTGGGCAGCAGGGCAAGACCCCAGCTCAAAAAAAAATAAATTGAAAAAATTGAAAAAAAAAGAGAGAAAAGACATAAGCTACCAACATCAGGAAGGAAACAAGGGAAATAAGTACTAACTTTCCAGACATTAAAAGGATAAAAAGGGGATATTATGAACAAGTCTTCACACACAAATTCAACAACTTCTATAAAATGGACCAATTCCTGAAAAATTACAGACTACCCAAATTCATCCCAGGTGAAAAAGATAACCTAAATAGTCCCAACCAATATTCTTCATGAACACAGGTGTGAAATTTCTCAACAAAATATTAGCAAATTGAATCCTTTGATGAATAAAAAGAATAATACACCACACCAAGAGGGGTTTTCCAGGAACATGAGGCTGATTCAATATTTAAAAATAAAACAACATAATCCACCACATTAATAGTCTAAAAAAGAAAAAAGCACATAATCATATCAATTGATGCAGAAAAAGCATTTGACAAAATTCAACATCCATTCATTAAAAATAACTGGGAATGAAAGGGAACTTCCCCACATTATTAAAGAGCATCTACACAAAATCTATAGTTAACATCATTCTTAACGGTAAAAAACAGAATGTTTCCCCCCAAAGAAAAAAGGTCAATATACAAAAATCAATCACATTTCTACAGATCAGTAATGAACAATTAGAAATCAAAATTTAGGCAAAGGTGTCTCCAGAATTTCAGTGGCAGTAAGATCCAAGAGTCTTGCTCCGGTCTCTTTGATCTGTTTTGGAGCTAAACAGGGAGAGGGAAGGATGGTGGGGGCTTTTTGTGCTACCTGGAAGCTGAGGGACAGTCAGAACTCTGATGACGACATGAAGGGTCATCAAAGGTGTAGGCTTTGCCACTGGGCAGGTGGAAATGTGACCAAACCAACAGTGATTATCAGTCAGGAAGGAGACAAAGTGGTGAGCAGGACTCAAAGCATATTCATTCACACAGAGACACCACTGCTGATGACAGACACTGTACACTGGTAGAGTATGTCTGTTGTTAGCCTGGATGGAGACAAAAGTGTTCACATACAGAAACGGGATGGCAAAGACACAAATTTTGTAAGAGAAATTAAGGATGGCAAAATGGTTATGACTCCCACTTAATTTTTTTTTATTTCCATAGGTTATTGAGGAACAGGTCGTGTCTGCTTACATGAGTAAGTTCTTTAGTGGTGATTTGTGAGATTGTGGTGCACCCATCACCCCGGCAGTATATGCTCAACCCAATTTATAGTCTTTTATCCCTCACCCCCTCCCACCCTTTCCCCAGAGTCCCCAAAGTCCATTGTGTCATTCTTATGCTGTTGGATCCTCACTTTTGGTGACATAGTTGCTGTTTGCTACTATGAGAAGGCATAGAAAACTACCTGGCTGGGAACTGGAGAAGATCTTCAGCTTTTCTGTTTACTCAAGTCTCAGGGTTATTCTGCTATTACAGTACAGCTGATCACTAATTAGAAGGTTATCCTTAGCATGGAAGTAGAAAATGGTGACTTAAAAACTTGTTACTCCAAGCAGCTAGCCTAGTTTGTCCTGCAACTTTATCATGTTTTATAATTTGCATTAAAATGTTAAGTAACAGGCCGGGCGCGGTGGCTCATGCCTGTAATCCCAGCACTTTGGGAGGCCAAGGCGGGTGGATCACCTGAGGTCAGGAGTTCGAGACCAGCCTGGCCAACATGGCGAAACCCTGTCTCTACTAAAAATACAAAAATTAGCCAGGCGTGATGGCAGGCGCCTGTAATCCCAGCTACTCGGGAGGCTAAGACAGGAGAATCGCTTGAACCTGGGAGGCAGAGGTTGCAGTGAGCTGAGATCGTGCCATTGCACTCCAGCCTGGGAAACAAGAGCGAGACTCCATCTCAAAAAAAAAAAAAAAAAAAATGTTAAGTCACTTTTTTATATAAAGAAGTGAATGGATTTTGTAATTTCCTTTGGAATGCAAATTAGAATAAAAATCTTACACACAAATAAAAAGACAGAACTTAAAAAACAATACCATTTACAATTGCTCATCTCACAAATGAAATACTTAGGTATATATCTTGCAAAACATGTATATAATCCGTATGCCAAAAACTACAAAATGCTGATGAAAGAAATCACGGAGGATTCAAATGATGGAAGAAACATAACTATGTTCATGGATTGAAAGACTCAGTGCTATAAAGATGCCAGTTATCTCCAAAATGATTCACAGATTTCATACAATTCCTATCAAAATCCCAGCAAGAGTTTTTTTGTACATACAGACAACATGCTCTAAAATTTATCTAGAAAGACAGAGGAACTAGAATAGCTAAAATAATTTTGTGAAAGAAGAATAAAGATATTGGTTTTTTTATTTTTATTTTATTTTATTATTTTTTTAAGACAGAGTTTGGCTCCGTCGCCCAGGCTGGAGTGCAGTGGCATGATCTCAGCTCACTGCAACCTCTGCCTCCCGAGTTCAAGTGATTCTCCTGCCTCAGTCTCCCGAGTAACTGGGACTACAGGCACGCACCACCACACCTAGCTAGTTTTTGTATTTTTAGTAGAGACAGGATTTCACCATGTTGGCGAGGCTGGTCTCGAACTCCTGACCTCAGGAGTTCCTGAGTGATCCGGCCACCTCAGCCTCCAAAAGTGCTGGGATTACAAAGATATTGTTAAATAAAAAGGTAAGCACAGACTGGGAGAAAATATTACCTTTGCAAACTGCATATCTGACAAAGGATATACAGAATATATAAAGAAGTCTCAAAACTCTGCAGTAAGAAATCAAAGAACTCAAATTAGTAAATGTCAAAAAACCTAATCAAACACTTCACTATAGAGGATAAAACGCTGATAAAATAAGCACAAGAAAGAGGATTAGCATCATTTTCCATTAAGGAAATGCAAATTGAAACCTCAGTGAAATACTGCTATATACCTATGAGAATTGCTTACATAACAAATATTGACAATGTCGGGCGCTTGCAGTGGGGGGATGCAGAGCGACGGGAACCACTATATGTTGCTGGCAGGAGAGAGAAGTGGTACTGCCATGCTGGAAATCACGTTGCCACTTTCTTATAAAGAGGCTCTTCCCATAAGACCCAGCAATCCCATTTCTGGTTATTTACCCAAATGAAATGAAAGCTACTATATTCAACTTTAGGCAAATGTTTAGAGCAATTTTATTCAAAATTGCCCCAAACTGTATATACAAATGCCCTCCAACTGGTGAGTGGATGAGCTGTGGTACATCACACAAGGAAAGATACTCAGCAACAATACGGAACAAACTCCTGACACACGCAAAACATGAATGAATCGCACATGCAATGACGTGAAAGAGTCCAGACTCCAGAGGCAGATCATGTCTGACAACATCCATGGGACAGTCTGGAAAAGATAAAAGGACAGAAAATTACAGGGAAAGAGAACAGATCAGTGGCTGCCTGGGGGCTGACTACCAAAGAGGCAGCATAAGGCAATTTTTTGTGGTGACGACATTGTTCTATATCGCCAGGTGCCCGGTGTGGTGGTGCACACCTGTAGTCCTACCTCTCAGGAGGCTGAGGTGGGAGGACTGCTTGAGCCCTGGAGTTCAAGGCCGCCATGAGCTAGGATCACACTACTGCACTCCAGTCTGGGCGACAGAGACCCCATCTCCAAAAACTAAGTAAGTAAATAAAAATTAAAATTAAATTAAATTAAAATAAATTGTTCCACATCTTGATTGTGGTAATGGTTACATGACTATGCATGTATCGAGATTCATAGAACTAGACAGCCAAAAAGGTAAATTTTACATTAATTTAAATTAGAAAAAATGAGAATACTTAGCTATGGGGAGGAGGGAAATAGGGGTGTAAAAGAGGAAAAACAAATGAGAGGCTGTAAATGGGTCAAGGCTGATGATATCCCATGAACTACAGAGTAGGATGAACTTAATCCTCTTTCCCGAGGGCCAAGAAACAAAATAAGACAGAAACTCCAAACCTGCTGCTATTTCTTCCATTAAAAACAACAAAACTCCTTGACCATATTTTCCCCTAAGCCTTTTTCTCACCTCCTGTAACTCCCTGCCTTCACTTCCTCTCCTCCTGTTCTCCCTCAAACTTACTCCACTCCAAGAAAACTGCTCTTACAAGGATCGTGGATGATCTCCATGTGGTCAATATTGTAATTTTGATTTAAAAAATGACATAAGGGGCCAAGTGCGGTGGCTCATGCCTGTAATCCCAGCACTTTGGGAGGCCGAGGCGGGTGGATGACCTGAGGCCAGGAGTTCAAGACCAGCCTGGCCAACATGGCGAAACCCCGTCTCTACTAAAAATACAAAAATTATCTGGGCACAGTGGTGCACGCCTGTAATCCCAGCTACTTGGGAAGCTGAGGCAGGAGAATTGCTTGAACCCTGAAGGCGGAGGCTGCAGTGAGCTGAGATCATGTCACCGTAATCCAGCCTGGGCAACAGAGAGAGACTCTGTCTCAAAAAAAAAAAAAAAAAAAAAGACATAAGGACAAGGTGTTAATCCATTCTTGCATTGCTAGAAAGGAATACCTGAGACTAGGTAAATTTTTTATTTTTTTGAGACAGGGTCTCACTCTGTTGTCCAGGCTGGAGTGCAGTGGTGCAATCACAGCTCACTGCAGCCTTCCAGGCTCAGGTGATCCTCCCACCTCAGTCTCCCAAGTAGCTGAGACTACAGGCACACACCACTATAACCAGCTAATTTTTTTTATTTATAATAGAGACAGGGTTTTGTCATGTTGCCCAGGCTGGTCTCAAACTCCTGGGCTCAAGTGATCCTCAAGACTGCATTATTTATAAAGAAAAGACGTTTATTTCACTTGTGGTTCTGCAGGATGTACACAAAGCACAGTGCTGGCATCTGCCTCTGGTGAGGGCCTCAGGAAGCTTCCAATCGTGATGGAGGGTGAAGAGGGAGCAAGCAGGTCACGTGGCAAGAATGGAAGCAAGAGACACAAGGGAGGAGGTGCCAGGCTCTTTAATGTATTATATAAATTGTATAAAAGTCAGATTTCACATGAACTCATGGAGAGAACTCACTCATTACCATGAGCATGGTGCTGGGCCATTCAGGAGGGATCCGCGCCCGTGATTCAATACTTCCCACTAGTCCCCACCTCCAACATTGGGGATTCATTTCAACATGAGATGTGGGGGGGGACAAACATCCAAACCATATCAGAAAACGCAAGAGTGAGAGTGAACAACGTATGCCTAATGCCACTTTTGAACACAGATGCAAAACCCTAAACCAAATGTTAGCTAAATGAAGCCAATGGCATTTTTTTAAGTACATCATGATCAAGAAGATTTTATCTGGAAGAACATAAAGAGGAAAAATCACATGAAAATCTTAATGCAGAAAGGGCATTTGATAAGCTTTCATGTCTATTTATAATTAAAATAAACGATGACCAAAAAAAACTCTCAGCAAACCAGGAGTCAAAGGGAAGTTCTTTAACGTGATTTGCTTATATTTGCAAATCACATATTTACAAAAAAAATTACAGAAAATATTGGATTTAATGGCAAAAGCTTAGATACATTCCCTTTAATATTTGGGACAAGTTTGGCCACAGTCCCCACTAATCAATGTCCTGCCAATGCTCTTAGGAAATTTAGAAAAGAAATAAATAGTGTACGAATTGAGAAGTAAAGGATAAAATTAACATTATTTAGATGATAGGGTCCCCAGAGGGACTAAAAGAATCAACAGACAGGAGAGTTCAGTAAGGTTGCCAGATATAAGATTAATCGATACAAAAATCAATAGCAGTTCTCTACACCAGTAATAACCATCTAGAAAATATAATTAAAAATACCAAGATAAACACTCACAATAGCAATAAAACTAAAGAGTATCTCTAAGTAGTAATAAAAACTCAAAGGACCTCTACATGGAAAGATATTCTGAATACATGAGACATTCCATCTTATGGCCACATATTAATGTCATTTCTCCCCAAAGTAATCTGTAAGTAAATTCAGTGCAATTCCAATAAAAAATTCAGTTGGATTTTTTTTTTGGAAAGCTTGATAAACACACACTGAAATGTATATGGAGAAACAAACAATTCATAAAAACCTAAAAAGAAAAATAACAAGGGAGGAGTTTCTCTCAGACACTAGTACATGTTGTATAGTCATTGTAATAAAAATTGTATGGTTGGTACAAGAACAGACAAACGTACCAACAAACAGACCAGAGAGCTCAAAAAAGAGAGTGAGGTGTAGGAGGGAATTTCATGAAAGCTATGGGAAAAAAGGTCAGAGTGTTTAGTAGATGGTGTTAGGAAAACTGGATCACCACATAAAGAAAACAATCTAGACTCCTTCCATATCCCACATGCAAATGTAGGTTCCAGGTGCATTAGAGACCCCAATGTGAATGGTAAATGATAGAGCTATAATAAAATGTAAAAGAGCCTCCTGTTAACCTAAGATTCTGGACAGATTTCTTAAAACTCCAAAAGCTCAAACCACAAGGAAAAAAAAGGATGAATCTGATTACATCAAAATTAAAGATTTCTGTTCAACAAAGGTCAGAGTGAGACACTCAACAGAATAGAAGAAGATAGCGTAGAGTGTTCACAAATGATGAAAGAAGAATCTCTAGAGCAGGTATCAGCAGAAAGGGAAACCAGAAAGATGGATACAAACCCAAAAGATGGCTCAATTTCAGTAATAAACAGGAACACGTAAATTAGCATGAGAATGCAGTACCTCCTAGATTGCTAAGAGATAATAATAATGAAAAAATAAGTTTTTTTGGCAAATATGTAGATCAATGGTAATTCTGAAACACTCTAGTGCAGGGGTCCTCAACTCCCTGGGCCGAGGACCAGTACTAGTCGGTGGTCTGTTAGGAACTGGGCTGCACAGCAGGAGGTGGGCGGCAGGTGAGCAAGTGAAGCTTCATCTGTATCTACAGCTGGTCCCCACTGCTCGCATTCCTGCCTGAGCTTCACCTCCTGTCAGATGAGCAGCGGCATTAAATTCTCATAGGAGCGCAAACCCTACCGTGAACTGTGCATGCGAGGGGTGCATATGCAGATTTCTGTTTACTAGTGCATAGGATTGAACTGTGTCCCCTCAACTTCATCGTTGAAGTCTTAACCCCCAGTGTGACTGTATTTGGAGATAGGGTCCTTAGGAGGTAACCAAGGTTACGTGGGGTCACAAGGTTGGGCCCTTATCCCATAAGATTGGTAGCCTTATATGAAGAGTAAGAGAGGCCGGGTGTGGTGGCTCATGCCTGTAATCCCAGCACTTTGGGAGGCCGAGGTGGGCGGATCACCTGAGGTCGGGAGTTCGAGACCGGCCTGACCAACATGGAGAAACCCTGTCTCTACTAAAAATACAAAATTAGCCGGGCATAGTGGTGCATGCCTGTAATCCCAGCTACTCGGGAGGCTGAGGCAGGAGAATCGCTTGAACCCAGGAGGCGGAGCTTGCAGTGAGCTGAGATCACACCACTGCGCTCCAGCCTGGGTGACAGAGCAAGACTCCATCTCAAAAAAAAAAAGAAAAAAAAAAGGGTAGGAGAGACAGCTATGTCTGCCTCCACGTGCATGCAGCAAAAGGCCACATGAAGACAGAGCAAGAAGGCAGCCGTCAGCACACCAGGAAGACAGCCCTCACCAGAAACTGACCCTGCTGGCACCCTCTTCTCAGACTTTCTTTCCAGAGCTGGGAGAAAATACATTTCTGTTGTTTAAGTCCTTCAGTCTGTGTTATTTTGTTATGGCAGCCAGAGAAGACTAAGACATCTGGTATATTGTTGGTCTCTCCCTCTACAGGGTGACCGCAGCAGGGATTCGGGTCTCCTCGCTGCCGTACCCAGCCCTGGAACAGTGCCTGTGCATGGGAGGTGCTCTGGAATGCAGGCTGGGTAGGATCCTCCCAGCTATGTTTCCTAGGGTGAGTTTATGGAGTACTGGCGTGGGCTTTAATTTTAATGTCTCTAGGCAGAGCCTGCCTCCTGCAGATTGTCCCAGGCCCCAGCATTCCCTGATGTTTACACCTGTTGGGCACAGAGTGGGCAGGAGAATCAGAGAAAAAGAGATAATATTCCAAGACTCAGGTCCAGTGACAGCAGGTGAACTGGGGTCAAGGGCACCCGGGCATGGAGTCTAAGGTGAGCCAAGGCACATGTGGGCATGAGAGCTATCGAAGGGTCCAAAGCAGAGAAAGGGTTGTCTGATTTCCACTCCAGAATGGTCACTCTGGCCACAGGGTGTCACAGTGACGTGAAGAGAATGGAGTGAAGGGAACTGGCGGGAGGTGTCAGGAATGAAGAAGCCAGAGTTCCTAGCTGCTGACTTGACCAGGATGGGGCAGGCAGAGTCCAGAATGACTCCACATTTCTGACCTGGGAAACAGGGTGACTGCTGGTGTCATCCACCAAGACATGGAAGAAATTACCCAGAAATGGAAGAAAGGCAAGAAGATGGCTGCATGGCTTTTCAACGTAACATTAGAGCACTGTCTATAGGAAACTTGGGCTTTTTACTATTGATCAGCGCTCCAGCTCTGTGTGTTTAGATGTTAACTTGTAGAAGACTGCTCAGGGCAAAATTGTGATGCCAACGAACTCAGCCATTTCCCTTTCTACCTCTCCCCCAGCGTGGCTCTCTTCCTCCTTCTCCAGGGGCTAGTCCTGGGCCACCTCCTCCCCATCAAAGTCTCCATTTGCTGTGGTTTGAATGTTTGTCTCCTCCAAAACTCATGTTGAAATTTAGTCACCACTGTGACAGTATTAAGAGGTGGAACCTGTAAGAAGTGTTCAGGCCATGAGGGCCCCACCCTCACGAATGGACTAATACCATTATCACAGTGGTGGCTTTGCCCCCTCTTTCTCTCTCTCTCTCTCTGTCTCTCGCTCTCTCTCTCTCTGTCTGTCTGTCTGTTCTTCGCCATGGAATGATGATTCAGTAAGAAGGCCATCCCCAGATGCCAAGCCCTCGATCTTGGACTTCCCAGCCTCCAGAACTGCGAGCCAATACATATCTGTTCATTATAAATTACCCTGTTTGTGGTATTCTGCACAAAACAGCCTAAGACAGAAAACTGGTACTGAGAGTGGGTGTTGTTATAACAAATACTTAAAAATGTGAAAGTGGCTTTGGAACTGGGTAGTGAGTAGAGGCTGGAAGAGTCTGGAAGAGCAGACTAGAAAAAAGCCTGTCGCCATGAACAGAACATTAAGGGCTCAGAAGATGAGAAGAGCTGTAGGAAAAGTCTGAAACTTCCTGGAGATTAAAGTGGCTGTCATCAGAATGTTGGCAGAAATATGGATGGTGATGAGGTCTCAGAGGGAATTGAGGAATAAGGTATTGGAAACTGGAGAAAAGCCCATCCTTATAGTGAAAAGGAACTTGGCTGAATTGTGTCCACACCCAGTGGCTTTATGTTTATGGAAGGCAGAATTTTTTTTTTTTTTTTTTTTGAGACGGAGTCTCACACTGTTGCCCAGACTGGAGTATGGAAGGCAGAATTTAAGAGTGATGAACTGGGATACCCAGCAGAAGAAATTTCTAAGCAAAATATTGAGGTGCTGTGTGGTTTCTTTTAATATCATATAGTAAAATGAAAGAAGAAAGAAATGACTTAAAGACAGAATTTATCATGAAGGCATTTCAGGATATTCCAAGCTGCCCCTCTCATCACAGGCCCAGAGCTCTAGGAAGGGAGAATGGTTTTAGGGGATGGGCCAAGGGCCCCCTCCAAGGACCTGCTGCCCTGGACTACCTTTGGGACTCTGCTCCTCACATTCCACCACAGTGCTCCTTGGCTGCCCCAGCTGTGGCTCAAGTGGGCCTGGGTGTGGCTCAGGCCACGGCTCCAGAGGGCAAGCAGTAAGCCTTGGCAGCATCCATGTGGTGCTAATTCTGCAGGCACACAGAGTTCAAGAGCAGTGGAGGCGTGGCTGCCTCTGCCTGGATTTCAAAGGCTGGATCAGACAGACTGGGGGTCCAGGCAGAGACCTGTTGCAGAGGGAGAGCCACTCCAGAGAGTCCTTGCTAGGACAATGCCTTGTGGAGCCACAGGGGCTGGGCTGCCCTTGAGACTGCAGAGCTACCAGCGTGACCGGCTAGCAACATCAACCTGGGAGAGCTCCTGTGGCTGCCGAGCCCACCAAAGCCATGGGGGTGGGGGTGCCCAGGGCCCCAGTGTGTGATGTGGAGTCAAGGAACATTATTCCCGAGTCTCAAGATTTAATGTTGCTCTTCATGGTTGGTTTTGGACGTACTTGGGACCAGTTACCCCCTTTTTTCTTGCCGGTTTCTCCCTGAATGGAAATGTCTATCCCACAACTGTCTCACCGTTGTATTCTGGAAGCATGTAACTTGTTTAAATTTCACAGGCTCACAGCTGGAGAGGAATTTGCCTCAGGATGAATCATGCCTTGAGTCTCACCCATATCTGATTTAGATGAGACTCTGGGCTTATGAGTTGCTGCTGGAATGAGCTAAGACCTTTGGGAGCTATCAGGATGGAATGAATATATTTTGTATGTGAGAAGGACATGAATTTTCCAGGGGTGGGCTGGGCAGAATGCTACAGTTTGAATGTTTGTCCCCTCCAAAACTCATGTTGAAATTTAGTTGCCACTGCAACAGTATTAAGAGATGGGACCTTTTTTTAAAAAAAAAAATTTGTTTGGTTTTTGAAAGGGGGGTCTGACTGTGTTGCCCAGGCAGGTGTCCAACTCCTGATCTCAAGTGATCCTCCTACCTCAGCCTTCCACGTAGCTAGGACTACAGGTGCACAGCATCATGCTTGGCAAGAGGTGGGACCTTTAAGAAATGTTTAGTTTACGAGGGCTCTGCCCTCATGAATGAACTAGTGCCCTTACTGCAGAAGTGGGTTTGTTACCATGAGAGTAGTTTTGCCCCTCTTACTCTCTCTTGCTCCCTGTGCCCTTCAGCCATGTGATGCTTTCCGCCATGTTATGACACAGCAAGAGGGCCCTCGCCAGATGCCAGCCCCTCCGTCTTATACTTCCAAGCTTCCAGAACTGTAAACCAATACATTTCTGTACAACAGAATTACCCATTCTGTGGTATTCTGTTATAGCAGCAGAAAACAGGCTAATACACCGTTGATAGCCAGGGGGGCTGCAATCAAGTTTGAATTCCTCTATCCAACAAGCATTTTGCCAAAGGAGTAAAAGCATGAGGACTTTTTGATGTTTAAAAGTTGTACAGCAGCCTGACAGACTACAAGCAGGGCTTTCTTCCCAGTGTGTAAAAGTCTCAGTCCAGGTCCTGTCCCATACCCCATGTAGTCCTCTCTGTGCAAAAGCTCAGCAAAGTGTCTCCAAATCTTTAATTCACTAAGCTGAAATGCACCAGGTACTGGGCAAGAGGCACTTTTTCGCCACCCCATGGGTGAAGCCTGTGAAACCTCTCTGAGCTGCACCAGTACCTCTGCAAAGCCCCTCATAGGCCTCCTGCAGCTTGCCACATAGGAGAGAAGCAGAAGCAATGGAAGATTCTCTAAAAACCTCTCGAGCCTATGTCCCCTGACAGCTGTCACCCATCCTGTTCCCCTCTGTGGCAAAACTCCAAAGAGGTGCCATGTTCCCCGGCTCCCATCCCTCCTGAACACACTCCATTCAGATGCTCCCCCCACCAGTACTCCCCAAAGCTGCTGGTCAAGGTCCCCTTGGTGCACTGCAGCACATTCATGCCCCTGTGTGACACTGCGCACGGCCTGTACCTGACACACACAGAAGCCAGGGGTGGACACAGCTGGCTCAGACAACAGCCAGCCAGTTCCAGCTCCAGCCACAGCAAGGCGAGGCCAGCAAGGCAGGGCACCAGGCTGGGGTGTGACTGGATCTGATATTTCCAAAAGTACACATGTGGTCACCAAGGGGAACACTCATGGCCTTCCTGACATAGATACTGCATTTCAATACTAATTTAATTTAATGATGGGAAGCCCTGGAATTCCTGCAGTCCTGGGTCCACTGAGAGCCTTGGTGTGGCCCTGCACTCATGACTTCACATGATACCCTCCTTAGTGACTGAGCACTGGGCAGGAAGGCTGCCTAATCCCCATAAGGCCTGTGGGGACCAGGGAAGAAAGCAGCCCTAACCACCGCCCCAGGGGTCCAGCCTCTAGACGACCGGAGCTCAGCTCCTCAGAGGCGCAGTTAGCCCTGGAATTGCCCACTGGTGCCTCTGGCTGACAGTCCATGAGGGCTTGGGGAAGAGGCAGGCAGGGCATCCAGCACACCATGAAATGGGGCTCCCTACCCCTGTCCCAGGCCGGGGATCTCAGCCTTCACTTAGTCTCTGCTGCTCAGGTCACTACTAAACCATAGGGTTCCACAGAAGGTCCAGGAACTGCCATGGGGTGAAGGGAGGCCTTTCGGGCAAGACTCCCTTTGAATCTGAGCTGAGCTGTCCCTTTTACCCATCAAGGGGCACTGGACTTGTAAGACTTATTGGAAAGTCTGTGGTGAGACTGCTGTGATGCTACCACCTGTGTCTAGGTATGTGACAGTAGAGCCGCTGACCTGGGGAGGGAGGGGCCTTGCCCAGGTTCCCAGCCTAGAGCAACATCAAGCATCCAGCTCCAGCCCACACTGTCTCCTGCAGAGGCCACCCACGCCGGCGAGCATGGCCCAGCAGTCCCTGGGCCAGCAGCCTCTGGGCTCCTGACCCTACAGGGCACGGGATGAAGAAAGCCCAACACAACCAAGTGTGGGCCACATGCATCTTCCCTTCCCACTAACTCCTAGGACACAGGTAGTGATGTGTAGCTGTGGGGGAATGTTGCCTGGGTCATTTCGGGCAAGAAGTAAAGCGAATGTACACTCCAAAAGTGCCTCCTCCTAGGCGTCATGCTACCTGACTTCAAACTATACTACAAGGCTACAGTAACCAAAACAGCATGGTACGGGTACCAAAATAGATATATAGACCAATGGAACAGAACAGAGGCCTCAGAAATAACACCACACATCTACAACCATCTGATCTTTGACAAACCTGACAAAAACAAGAAATGGGGAAACGATTCCCTATTTAATAAATGGTGCTGGGAAAACTGGCTAGCCATATGTAGAAAGCTGAAACTGGATCCCCTCCTGACACCTTATACAAAAATTAATTCAAGATGGATTAAAGACTTAAATGTTAGACCTAAAACCATAAAAACCCTAGAAGAAAACCTAGGCAATACCATTCAGGACATAGGCATGGGCGAGGACTTCATGACTAAAACACCAAAAGCAATAGCAACAAAAGTTAAAATAGACAAATGGGATCTAAGTAAACTAAAGAGCTTCTGCACGACAAAATAAACTACCATCAGAGTGAACAGACAACCTACAGAATGGGAGAAATTTTTTGCAATCTACCCATCGGGCAAAGGGCTGATATCCAGAATCTACAATGAACCCAAACAAATTTACAAGAAAAAAAAACAAACAACCCCATCAAAAAGTGGGCAAAGGATATGAACAGACACTTCTCAAAAGCAGACATCTATGCAGCCAACAGACACACGAAAAAATGCTCATCATCACTGGTCATCAGAGAAACGCAAATCAAAACCCCAATGAGATACCATCTCATGCCAGTTAGAATGGCGATCATTAAAAAGTCAGGAAACCACAGATGCTAGAGAGGATGTGGAGAAATAGGAACGCCTTTACACTGTTGGTAGGAGTGTAAATTAGTTCAAACATTGTGGAAGACAGTGTGGTGATTCCTCAGGGATCTAGAACTAGAATTACCATTTGACCCAGCAATCCCATTACTGGTTATATACCCAAAGGATTATAAATCATGCTGCTGTAAAGACACATGCACACGTATGTTTATAGCAGCACTATTCACAATAGCAAAGACTCGGAACCAACCCAAATGTCCATCAATGATAGACTGGATTAAGAAAATGTGGCACATATACACCATGGAATACTATGCAGCCATAAAAAAGGATGAGTTCATGTCCTTTGCAGGGACATGGATGAAGCTGGAAACCATCGTTCTCAGCAAACTATCACAAGGACAGAAAACCAAACACCGCATGTTCTCACTCACAGGTGGGAACTGAACAATGAGATCACTTGGACACAGGGCGGGGAACATTACACATCAGGGCCTGTTGGAGGCTGGGGGGCTGGAGGAGGGATAGCATTAGGCGAAATACCTAATGTAAATGATGAGTTGATGAGTGCAGCAAACCAACATGACACATGTATACCTATGTATCAAACCTGCACATTGTGCACATGTACCCTACAGCTTAAAGTATAATAATAATAATAATTAAAAAAGAAAGAAAGCGCCTCCTCCATGCCAGACGCTGCCTTACAAGCTCTGTGCACACTCACACATGCAGTCTCCACACCAGCTCAGGGCAGTGGGTCCTCTCACTGTGGACTTGGACCAGGGCAGCTGCCTCCACTTTGGGCTCCTGACACCTGTCCTGTAAGAGGCTGGGACACACACAACCATCTCCGGTGGTCCCCAAGGCCCTGCAGCTGTGGATGCATTCAGGGCAGGTGTGCCGGTGTTCAGAAAGGTCCTGACTCTGCCGCTCCCCGGCCCTCAGTTTCCTCGTCGATGAAACGAGCCTGCTCATGAGGACAAGATTGGGATATGCATAAAGTGCCCCCAAAGAGAGAGCATTCTCTAGAGGCTGGTTCCTATCACTGTCATCAGCATCCCAGATCTGGAAAGCCTGCTCAAGGAGCTGCACAAGACCTGAGGGACTGGCAGTTTACAAAGGGCACCAGACCCAGCCAGGGAACAGAGCACCCAGCACACCCACAGCATCACCACTGGCCCCAGCAAAGGTGGGAGAGGGTGTTGGGGGAAAGGAGAGCAAGAGAACGAGCAGGAAGGATCACAATGGCCCCTTGGGCCTGCTCCAAGCCAAGAGGTAGCTGCAGACCCAACAGGCCCCAAGGTCACCTTTGTAAGACCAGGCCCCTGGTAGTCCCCTTGGCCCCGCAGTTAGAGACGCTTTCAGGGCAAGTGCGCAGAGGGCATGTGCAGTGTTTGGGGTCACCTCCCAGGATGGAGGAGCAAGGGCAGTGGGCCAGACCCTGCACATCCTGGTTCTAGACATTCTCCTCTTCCCCATCACACCTCACACCTCTGCTGTCCCCAGACCCACAACCCAGTCTCCCTGCCTCCGCCCCAGCCAGAGGGACCCTCCCTGCAGAGGGCACCGTCCCAGAGCTACTGTAAAGGTAGGGCCAAGACTCCATGTTACCTGTGCTGCCTGGCATAAAACGCATGTCCAATAAGTGCGTGCTATGGTGGCATATAACTTACATTTACTGAACACCCGATGCTTGCCAGGCAGTGTTGGGCATACCGTGAGGCCCTAAGTATAGAGACACACGCCCCTGCTGCTCTGAGAAGAGCCCATGGCAGGGCAGGACAGGAACACAGAAAATCTGAGGGCAGTGTTATCTAACACAACCTGAGGGGGCAGGGAGAGGGCAAGGTCCGGGAGAGTTCCCAGGGGAGATGGTACCTCTGCTCCCCACCCCTCACTTACAGGTGAGGAAACCACTCAGACAGAAGTGACTTGTCCACGTGAAGTGGCACTCCCAGTCCTCGGCCAGCACTGCTTTTAGAACAGCATCCTCCACTTCCGTGCCACTGACATGGGGTCAGACACCTCTCTGTGCTGGGGCCGTCCTGTGCACTGCCAGATGGTGAGCAGCACCCCTGGCCTGTAACCCCCAGATGCCAGTAGCACCTCCCCAACTGTGACAACCAAAAATGTCTCTCGACGTTGCCAAACGTCCCTGCAGGGTAAAACTGCCCTTGGTTGAGAGCCGTGTGGAAATCTGAGCCGAGCTAAGAGAAGCCGCAGCCAAAGCCGAGCCTCATGCCACAGATGTGGTCACAAAGCTCTGGGTCGGGCTGCATCAGCCTCGCAACAGCACCCAGGCTCGCCCGCCTGCACCCACTTCTGCTTGCCCTCCCCTTCTGAATTTCTGAGATCTGAGTTCCTCTTTCAACTTTTCCAAAGTGTTTTTGGCTCAGCACCCCCTCTGGCTAAAGTGGATACTGGGAGGTATTATTATCCCCATTCTACAGATGAGGAAGGTGAAGCTCAAGGAGGTTAAACGTAGAGAAGTCACCTGGTAAGCAGGTGGCCAAACCGGGCTGGAACGGAGGGAAACCCAGTGTGCTCGACCAGGCAGGGCCTGCGGGTCAGGATGCCCGGCTCCAGCCCAATGCTGGCTGCCTCGCGCTCTGGCCTCTGAATCCGATCTGATCCCAGAAGGCCCTTCATGGGGGAGCTGAACTGGACCACACAGCCACATCCGATGAGGGGCCTGGTGTCAGCTGCTCTTCCTCTGGGATCAGTTGTGTGGGGAGTGCTGGGAGAGGCCCCCACCCAGGTTCTCTGCATGGAAAGCATCTCTTTCTCTTCCCAGGGCCTTGCCTCCTGTACAGTCTTGGCAACTCACTCACTTTGTGCATAGGGCTCAATCCTCCCACTAGGAGACACTCCTGCCCCAGCCAGAATCCAATCCTGCCCAGCTGGGAGGCCCTTACAGCCCCCCACCCCAACACACACTCTCAGTGTTTGCTCGCTAACCCATATGACTAATGGTGGGACTATAGGCATTGGGATAGAGTGCCAGGTTTAGAGGGCAGATGCCTGGGAACCCCCAAATCACTGAAGCAACAACCTGACAGCTGCACACCCTCTTCAGCCATGGACTGGAGGCCTCCTGCAGGGTGACCAGGCTGTTAACAGCTCCACACAGGAAAGCATCTGGCCTTCCTGTCTCCCTCCTGGACATGTCTGGTCACCAGTTGTGATGACCAAGGAAGGTCCGGCATTGCCAGTGGGTCAGGGCCCTGGCTGGCCCCCTGGCCAGCCCCTAACTGGCAACAGGATGTCCCTGAACTGGAAGGCAGGGGAGGAAGGGCTTGGGGGAAAGGCAAGGGAGGGAGGACTAGGGGAAATGGCAGGGGAGGGAGGGCAGAGGAAGTTTACAGGCCACTGGCAAATGTGGGGACACAGCACTGTGAGACTCCTTCGAGAGGTAGGGAGGGAGAGAGGGCTGGAGAGGGAGGGCTGGGGGGAAGGCTGGTCGGGGAGCATGGAGATTCCAGGAGGGGCTGCTAAGTCCAGTGCTGGGTCTTGTTCTCAGGTGACCTGGAGCCTGGATATTCGGGGTCCACAACCAGCTCGTCAGCAGCCTCTGACCCCAGGGTCACTCCCGCCCTCCCCAGCTACCCTTCCTCCCCTGGCCTCCAGGACACAGCTCTCCAGTGTTCCTGACCCTGCTCTTTCTCCCTGACCTGCTAACAAATGCTGGAGGGCCCCAGGGTTGGGCCCTTGAATCTGGTCCCCTTTCTGTCCTACCCACTTCTTGTTTGTTTTGAGACAGAGTCTTGCTCTGTTGCCCAGGCTGGAGTGCAGTGGCGTGATCTTGGCAAACTGCAATCCGGGTTCAAGTGATTCTCTTGCCTCAGCCTCCCAAGTAGCTGAAATTACAGACGCCCGCCACCATGCCCGGCTAATTTTTGTATTTTTAGTAGAGACGGGGTTTTACCATGTTGGCCAGGCTGGTCTTGAACTCCTGACCTCAAGTGATCTGCCCACCTCGGCCTCCCAAAGTGCTGGGATTATAGGCCTGATCCACCGCACCTGGCCTGTCCCACCCTCTTCTCTGGTGACTCCCCCAGTCTCACAGTGCTATATCCCTACATTAGCCAGTGGCCTGTAAACTTCTTTCTCAGCCAGACTACTCCCATAAATTCCTGACACGTACACCCCAACACCTCCTTCATGGCTCCACTTGGATCTTTTTTTGTTTTGTAGAGACAGGGTCTTGCTATGTTGATGAGGTTGGTCTGGAACTCCTGGCCTCCCGTGACCCTCCCGCCTCAGCCTCTCAAAGTGCAGGGATTACAGGCATGAGCCAGGGAGGTCCCTGCAGACCTCTGAGCCACAGAGCTATACGACAGTAAATTTGTTTTGGTTTCAGGCATGACATCTGTGGGAATCTGTCACAGCAGTGATAGAAAATACATCCCAAACTTACCAGGTCCAAATGGAGCTGCTGAGCTTCCCACAAACCTGCACCCCGCCCCAGGCTTCCCCATCTCAATAGATGGCCACTGCACCTTCTAGGTGCTCAGGCCAGTCTTCCAGACTCCTCCCTTCCTCTCATGCCCCACTGCAAACCAACAGCTCTCCCCGGGAAATGCATCTGGAACTGGCGACTTCCCCCAACCCCAATGCTGTCTCCCTCCTAAATGGCTGCAAATGCCTCTCATAGGATCTGCTTCCCCTGGTGCCTCGCACCCCAAGTCTGCTCTCAACACAGCAGCCAGTGGGACCCTGCGGAAATGCAAAGCCACTTCACTCCTCTTGTCAGGACCTTCCGATGGCTCCAGGTTTCTCCTACAGTAAAAGCCAATGTCCTTGCGGAGGTCCACCCCTGGCCAGGGCAGTAGTCTTCAGGCTTGAGTATGTCCCTAGCACCTGGAGCTGGGGAAGAGAGAAGCCGCTGGGCCCAAGCCCAGACTTTCTGAGCCCGCAGGTTTGGGGCAGGGGCCTGAAGATGCATTTCTACCAAGCTCCTGGGCTGCTGCTGCTGCTGACCCAGAGCCCCTGTCCTCGAAGGCCTTGCGCCCAACTCCCAACTCTGGCTTCAGAGTTTGCTCACCCCTGATGACACTGAACACTGCTCAGGAGAAGTGGCTGCAGTGACTCCCCCATGAAGTCACCCAGAGAAAGGCACTGATGGGGGACCCAGGACAGAGAGTCCCCCAAGAAACTCCTAAAAATCCCAGTGCCTGGGTTTCACCCAGAGATTTAGAGTTCGATGCCCCAGGGTGGGCACAGCGGGTATTTTTTAAAGTTCCCAGGTGATTACAATGATAATGTACAGCTGGGTAAAGAGCCCACTGGCCCCCCACCTCCACTGCCACCACTCCTCACTCACTCGGCTCCACCCACTTACCCTGATGACACCGAGCACACCCCACCTCCAGCCTCTGTGCTCTCTGCAGCAGCCCCCACCCCTGCTGCTCCGGGCCCCCTGCTCGGTGCCCATCCAGGCAGTAGCTCTCACAGGACCTGGCCTCAGGTTCGCCAGCAGGAGGTGGAGCAGAGGGGACAGGAGAAGGCTCCAGTTCTCCCTCTTGGTCAGCAGGTTCCCTCATGAATTTAACAAATCCTCCCCGAGCTGCTGCCTGGTGCCAGGCACTGTTCTAGGCACAGGGTGCTAACGTGACCAAGACAAAGTCCCTGCCCTCATGTGACCCGCAGCTGGGGGAGACAAACCACAAACTAATGATAAAGAAACTGAGATACCCAGTATCTTAAGGGAGTGACAAGGCTGTGGAGAAAAATCAAGTGTGTAAGGGAGTCTCTGCTCCTACAAGGAATGTGCTAGGAGCCAGGAGACACAGAGGGACAAGGAGGACCTTTATGTCACCAGCACATCAGGAATGCTGCCTGCCGGGGCCCACCAACACCCTCCACCAGCAAGGCTCCAGGGAGAGCCACAGGGGCGAGCCTTTGAACACTTTGGGAACGCAGATCCCCTTGAGAACCGTATTTCAGCACTCCAGGAAGAAGCACCAAACACATAATCTTGCCCATAATTTCAGGAGCTTTATGGACCTTCTGGGCTGGGACCCCACTGTGTTAAACATGGAGTGTCAGGCACCATAGCCCTTCAGATGCAGACCCCACCCCCAGCCCAGCCCTACAGGGTCCAGGTCCCAAAGCCAACATGAGATCCCCTTGATGGCCCTCGGGGCCGTCCCAGCAGCTCCAAGCTCTCGCACACTTGCCGAAGCAAGGCTCGTGGATGGCAGGCAGCTTCTTCATCTCTGATATCCCGTAGGTCACCAGGGAAGGAGGAATCCTAATTAAGCAGACAGGATGAGGACTGCTTTTCTGCCACCCAGGGTCTGTCACACTGAGGCTAGCCTGGCCTCTGGCCAGGCCCATGCCCTGCTGCCCACTGATTTGCCCTGGTGGTCAGGACAGCCATGCCACCACCCCGGGCTCAGCCCCCTTGTCCATGGATCAAGGGGCGAGCTTCCTGCTCCATTACTGCTCAGGAAAAGTGACTGAGGTGACTCTTCCATGAAGTCATCAAGGGAAAGGGACTGATGGGGGACCCAGGGCAGAGAGGAAGGCTTTTTGACTGCTGCATGTATTTCTAGAAGGCTGCATCCCCAGAACCCAGATCCATTAGTTCCTAACAATCCCCAGGGCACCATAACTCTGGTCTATTACAGATGAGAACCACGGAGGCTCAGAGAGGACAAGAGACCCCTCTGACTGCACACACGCAGACTTGGAGCAGAGCTGGGGCAACAGTCCCCTTCCGGCCCCCAGTGGCACTGAGGATAGCTCACATCCAGGCTGGTGGGACAGCCTGGGCTCCTCACAGCTCATCTGACAGTTCCTTAGACACTGCCTGGCCAATGGGAGCTTCCAGGCCCTCGGCTGGCTGACACCATTCCCCATCAACAGAACATCTGGAACTCACGACGCCCTCCCTCTGACGGGGGGCGGGGGGGGGTGTCTGAGTGAGAGAATGGCTGCAACCATGAATCAGTGCTGTTATTGTGAGTACCACTCACATACGCATTGCTAATATCCCTGATAAGCACGGCTCACAAAGCCTGCACATTTATTATCCATGCAAGCCCCACTGACTGGTTCAAGCCTGCCACAGCCCTAGGGAGCAGGAATTCTTATCAGCCCCACTTTACAGATGGTGAACTGAGGCTTCGACTGTTTAAGGGATTTTTACAGCCAGTTTATGAAGGTGACAGGATCTCAGCACAGGCCTGGCTGACTCTGAGGCTCTGAGCTCCCCCAACTGGATCAAGACCCCAGAACTCCAGGGGTATGAGTGGGCACATACCCACAGAAAACGGAGCCTCATGGGAGCCTGAATGGGGTTTTTGGCAGGTGGAATAAACCATCTGTCATCTTGTGCATACTGTCCACCTTGCAAAGAAACCTCCTCAGAAATCACAAAGGCAAACCTCACACTGCCCCCGACTGTGGGTGAACCCGCTGTTAGGAAGGTCTGAGGTACTAAGTGAAGTGAGGCTGGCTGTTGCTCCTGGCCACTGGAGGCCCCGAGGATCAGGGAAGAGCAATGGAGAGATCACAGCTTCCCTGTGCACCAGCCACCCCCCACGCCCACCCCAGGCTCCAGATGGGGAAAGAAAATGGGGCAAGGGGACAGGGGATGGCAATCCCTGCAGGAGGCACGGTCCTCTGAGGCACAGCAGCACAGGACGCTCACCCCTCCACACTCTGCCCCAATCCCAGCACCTGTATGTCCCACGAAGTTCCCTGTCACAGATTCCTCCTGCCAGGGCCAGCATCCGGCCGAGCGAAGGCCCAGCCTGGGCCACTTTCTCCCCCATCTCCAATCCAAAGCTCCTGGTGGCACCCCTCTGAACCACTTGGAGCAAGCCCGTTCTCTCTGGGCCTCATACACTCACCAAGAGAGAAGGTGTGGCAGAGCCCAGTGGCTTCTGAGGGGCATGTGGCTGTGGACTTTGGGAAAAGGGCCAGCCCTGGACATCGAAGGTAGAATGGAGGGAAGCCTTGCTTCCTGCCCCTTCCCGCACTCAGCAGCCCTTCGCAGGAACTTGGGGCACTTCCCCATGCCCGAGGGGCTGCTGGGCAGCTCCCAGGCAGGGGCAAGCTCGCTCTCTCTCATTCTCAGGCCTCTGGGTCTCAGTACTGAGAGTTGGAGCCCGGCAAGGTCAGCAGAGTGCTGGGGCAGGCAGGATGCCCATGTCCTCGGAGAGGGCAACAGGGACGAGAACAGGACGAGCTAGCCCCTTCCCCACGGCCAGAGGTGCAGGGCCTCTTTGAACAGGGGAAAAGCTACATCCCTGGCTTCAGGGTCCCCTTCAGAACCAGGTGTACCATGGAAGGGCCCCAGGGGGCCGTCAGTGTCTGATCCAAGTGTGGGTCTGTCTCCTCAGTTAATATTTTATTGAGACAGAAATGTGGCGCCTGCGGGTTTGGTTACTGATCCCATGGGCTTGAACCTTGCTTGGGGAGGGGTAACTGGATACCAGGTGCGGGGCGAAAGGGGAGGCCCCATCACAGGGCAGAGGCCTCAAATCTCTCCCCACCGCCGGCTGCCAGGTGCCCTGGGCTGAGGGTCCTTCCTGTCATCTGCACCCTGCGCCACCTCCCGCTACAGGGCGACCCAAGCCGGTGTGCTCACCAGGGGCGCCCGGACTGCAGGCCTAGGATGGCAGGAGCTGTCCGCTCAAGGTGTCACCAGGCGCCTCACTCACACCCAGCCCAAGCGCTGCGGCTTCGTCCCCTCTGGGGCTTCCTGGGACTACGTCTCCTTAGTCCCAGGCCCAACCCTCCGGAGCCGGGAGGGGGCGGCGGCCCAGGCCGCTCCTCGCCAGACCAGTGCACCCCGGCGTGCGGGTACTGGTCCCTCCCTCCAGACCACTGGTCTGCGGCGGAGGCGGCGAAGGGGCAAGTGGCCACGCGTTACCTTCCATGGATATGGGCTCCAGGATGCCGAACTGCTTGAGGACGGCGATGAACAGCAGCACCACCACGGCCATGGCGCACAGCTCCATGCCCTGGATGCCCATGGCAAGCCGGGCTGCCTGGGGCCCTGGGGCCCGGGCGCACCCCTCGCCCACGCGCTGCCTCGGAGGCACCGGGGCCCCTGCAGCCCGCACGGCCTCTCGGGGGCGGCGACGGCTCACATGCCCCCGGCAGGCGGGGCTGCTGGGTTGGCTGGGCCGGGGCCCCGTGGAGGGCGGCGGCGGCGGCGAGCGGGTCAGGCCGGAGGCTGGACGCGGGGACCGGACGCGGCGGCCGAGCCCGAGCGCAACTTTCCGAGTCAGCCGGCAAACTTCGAGGCGCGGCGGCGGCGGCGGCGCGAAACGCAGCGCGGACGGCCAGCGCGGGCCAGCGGCGCCTCCATGCCCGGCGCGGGCGCTGCGCCTCTGTCGCCCCCTCTCCAGCCCCGCGGGCGCCGGGGCGCGGGGGCGCGGCGGCGGCGGCGCGGCGGCGGGGGTCCCGGGCGCTCCCGGCCGCCCCAGCCTCCATCGCCGCTCCCCGCGCGCTCATTGGCCTAGGCGCGGCGGCCACTCCGGGAGGCGTCCCTGCGGCCCCCCCGCGCCTGCCCGGGAAGGGCGGAGGGAGCCGGCCCCGCCCCGCCCGGCACGGGCCAGCCCAGGACGGAGTCTGGCGCGTCGCCACCGCTGCTCCGCCAGCCCCTGGAGGCCGCGCGGTCGGCGGTTTCTCCCACGCGCAGGATGGGGGCCGAGGGGCTGGGGAGGGGCCGGGAGCCCGAGAGGAGGGGGCGGCGGCTGCGCTCTCCCGGGGAGGCGCTGATCCCGGCCCGCCCCGCGCCGCTGGCCCGCGCGGAGTCGGCGGCGGGGGATCCGGGAAGCCCTCACTCCCCGGCGCATTTCCCGCAACCCCGGTCCTCCGCCGGAGATTAAACTGGGCCCAGGCTGGCCCCCTTTGAAAATGCAGAAGTTGGTCTCCAAAGTTCTCCCGTTCTGGAAACGCGCGTGCACTCGGGGCTTTAGGGAAAGTGTGGGCTTTGGCCCTGGCGTCTGCGGAACAGAGCTTGGTCGCTGACTTTGCTGCGTGACCTTGGTCGAGTCACGGACTCGCAGCCGCCGCCGCCTGCTCCGCAGAGAGGGGGAGACGCCCGCCTTCGGGCGGCGGGGAAGAGCTAAGCGGATGCGGAGTGCCACGCACGGGCAGGGCAAGGGCATGCTTATTCGTTTGTGGGTGGCTTTCTTCCTGCCGGGTCTGGTAGAGGAGGGAAAGCCGCGAAAAGGAAGGAGAAAATAGGGGAGGACGAGGCGTGGCCGGGCGGAGCCCGGGGTCCTTGGAGCCGCGAGGCCGGAGACCTGAGCCGGGAGCCTGGCCCTCTGCTGCCCTCCAGCGGGCGCGGCGCACTGTGGGCATCCCCGCCGGACGGACTCAGCGCGGCAGCGCGGCTACGGCCCGCACCTCATCCTTCCCGCTGTGTTAGCCAAGGGAGAAATCCAGCTCCGCTCCACGCCTATAAGCGCGAGTCCTGTTTGGACTCACGGCCTGAGCAATTGCAGCTTCCATCTAGGGAGCCTCTGCCACTCACTCGGCCATTCATTCAGCTGATGTTGAGCGTAACACGGTGCTTGGTCCCAGGCACAGAGCTCGCTGCCTGGGTGGGGTGGGAGCCGCGGCGCGTGGCTGCGAGGGCCCCCTGGAGCGCGCCTACGTGTGCCAAGCCTTTGAGCTTACGTGTGATTCTTAAAGGGCTCCCCCCGTGGGCTTTCCTCTTCCTCCATTTTACGGGGGAGGAAACCTAGGCTAGAGGGCTAATTACGTGAGGGGCACAGGGACAGCCAGGCCTGCTGGAGTCCGGAGCGGGGACTTTCCCGTGACACCAGCCTGTTTCTGGTGGGAAATGACCGGGAGAGGGGCTGCGCAGTGCAGCTTCACTGTATCACATGCCTAGTTAAATGTCTGAGCCGTTGGCGTTAGTTTTAAAGAACTGTAAATGCATAGCTTTTAATTCTAGTTAATTGGGATGTGGTGATTCTCCACTGACCAAAGGCAAAAGTCCTAAGCAGAGAGGCTAACAATCCCCAGAGAAAACAGCTCTGTTGGAGCAGAGCTTTTAAGGTTAAAGAGCCTCCTGCAATGTAATTTACACACTTAAGTGCTGAACAAGATCCAGCCTGTGCCCAGGTAGTGCCGGCTCAGCCTCCATTAGTGACCTGTAAAAGTGTAGTGGTACATAACCCCTCTAAGCCTCAGTTTCCTCATCCATAAAATGGGAACAATAATCCAGCCTCTCCGGGGGCTTGAAAGGATGGAATGAGATGCAGGCTGGCACGTGGCAGGGGCTCCAGTGGCCCCTACAATGCACCCTCAGAGCTGCATGTGCCCAGCTTCACAGGGTGGCACGTGTCAGATGAGACAGAGAACTGAGCATGCAAAGGAGGCCATCTTGGGGGTCCTGAGGCTGGCCTCCAACCCTCTTCTCTGCCTCTGTTTCCCTGGATGCTTCTGAGCATCTTCCCAGTTCCCAGTGAGAGCTTCGATGACTGCCTATAAACCCTGAGCTATAAACAAGACATCGATCCTCTGGCTGTGCCGTGTAAAATATTAACAACGCCTAAGTGGATACGAGGCCTGAGAGCAGAGTATCCACGTGGCATTAGCCACCTGGGCTACGGGCCTAATGGATGGGGAGCTGACTCCCAGGCTCACTCACCAGCGTAGGCCCACTGAGGCTGGGCTGAGGGTCTTATCACACTCCCCTTCCCTGGGACTTGGAGAAGGAAGCCAGCAGGCGAGCCCTGAAGCCCCATGTGCCCCCCCCCACCCCGCCACCCATGAAGTGCCTTCCCAGGCGACTGTCTGCCCTGGCGTGCATTTCCTTGGTCCCCAGCACATCCCAAGTGCCTCCATGTGGCAGTATGCTGTGTATGGGTAGCACTCATTGCTTTGAGGAAAGCACAGGCTGGAGGTGAGGGACATGCAAAAAAACCTCTTCAGGGCGGGGAGTTAGGGAAGGACTGCCCCAGAGGTGGGGACAAGTTGAGGGGCAATGTGGAGGGAGCAGTTCACTGGTCCTTGGGGTGATTGGAGAAGGCTGGGCCCTGAGCCCTCTCCTGAAGTCCTCAGGATGACTAGGAGACAGGGGTGTCCTGCATCTTGCTCTAGTTTAGGAAGTTTTCAGAGGAAATTGCTTTGGGGTCGGGGTGGGGGGTCACTCCAAACCTGGACAGGCACCCCACACCTGAGGTCACAACCATGGCTGGAATATTGAAGCTGCCATCCAGTTCTGTCTCCAAGAAGCCAACCCAGATTCTACCAGCCCTGTCTTGACTGCCTTTGCCTATGAACTAGCACACACCTGCCTGGGCCACACTCTTCCTCCCTGCATTTTGGCTCTCTGCCCCGGCATCTTCCATCTTGTTACCACAGCTGTACTGGTGGTTCCCAAGGCCTGGGACTCTGTCAGTTTGACCGACATTCCCTGGATGTCCCATGCTAACTGTTCCTGACCACCTAGCTGCCCAGGGATTTCATGAGGTCTCCTGACTCATAAGGGCGGGTCTGGGCTGGATGCATGCTGTTTGAGGGACCCATTCCGTGAAAACAGCTCAGCACACTGGTCCAGTCCCAACTCTCCGGAGTGGGGCTGGGGGAGGCCTGCCTTATTCTAGTTTAGTTCTAATGCTTTCTACTGGGCAAAGCAGGCATTATTCAATTTATTTATTCTTCCCATATTTCATAGAAACCAGACAAGAATGCCCAGGAATGGAATTTCACACTCTCAAGGCTCCTCAAACTCAGCACCTCCAAAGCTGACCTCTTCATCCTCTCCCAACCTGCCACTTCCCAAGTCTCCCCATCTCAGCTGTTCAGCCAAAACCCTGGCTCTTACCTTGGAATATCTGCCTGTCCCCACCCCGTCCAGCCTGTCACCACACTCTCGCCCTGTGCCTCCTCGTCCATCTCTGCCCCACTGCCACCAGCCCAGCCACAGCATTGTTCTCCCTCCTGGACTCCCAACATGGGTCCCCAGTGCCTCTCCCCACCTCCACTGTGGTTCTCCTCCTACCTCTTCTCGGTTCAGCAACCAGCATGATCATCTCAAGACAAAAATCAGACCGTGCCCTTTCCCAACTGGAAACTACCAGGGGCCTCCTGGTTCAGCAATGGCCATGTTTGCCTGTGTGGCTGGTGACCACACCCCAATTTCCTTTCCCAGCCTCAGTGCAGTGACTTTGGAGGTTGGCTCAATCAGTGTCAATTTCTCTTTTCCACTCCATACCACCCCTCTGCTGCCACAGTGATTGGCTCAGGGATGGCCACCAGACGGGAGCCAGGATAGTGAGAGTCCTCCATGAGACTGGCCCCGGGGAAAAGCAGGCGATTATAGTAGATAAGTGGCCAGGCTGCCACCATGTGGGAACAGCGGGCCTGAGAACGGAGTCACCTCAGGAGAAAACACAGCTAAAAATGAAGACAAAGAGATCAAGTCCAGCTGGCAACGCTGCGTGCCCCATGACACATCTAAACCTGTATCTTTCGGACATATGAACCAATCAATCCGCCAACTGTGGCTTAAGCCAATGTGAGTTGAGTTGCTGTCCCCTGCAGCCAACAGGGTCCTAACTAATGCATTCTGCACTTCTCACGGAACAAAGACCACAGTCCTAAGAAGGCCCCTAATCCAAGCAGCTAAAGCACTTACTATGTACCAGGTGTTTCAACATGACTTATCTCTTCATTCCTCACAGTTCTGATAAGGTAGGAACTGGAAAGGAGGAAGAAGTTGAAGCACAGAGTGGTTAATGCTTTGCTTAAGGGCACACAGCTGATAAACCAGAGTCAGGATTTGAACCCAAGCAGTCCAGCTCCAAAGCCTGTGATTTCAATTCAACCTTGCCCCCCATGGCCGGGCCCCTCCTCTCTCTTTCTCGTGTGGCTGTGGTCACACTCGCAGCTACCAGAATGAGCCCAGCACTCTCTCATCTCAGGGTCTTCGCACATGCTCTTCCGTGAACTGTGAACACTTTTCCACCTCCCTGTCTTTGTCCAGTTTATGCCTCATCATCCTTGGGGTCTGCACTCTAATGTCACTTCCGCAGAGTCACCTTCCTAGATCTCCTCCATCATCAGTCTCCACCCCGCCCCCGTCCTTTTCCCTCCTTGCAGTTACTGCAATGGGAACATAGATATTTGCTTACGTGTTTACTTGTTTCTGCTCTCCCACTAGACTGCAAGCTTCCCAAAGGGACAGCTATTGCCTGCCTTGTATAAATATTTATTATAATTGATAGGGTTCACATGACACCTTTTCCCAATTGTTTCAGCACAGGATGCCCTGGTGTCACTAGCAAGAGCACAGGCCTGGGAGTCCAGGAGAACCAGGGCTGAGTTCCTGGTCCCAACCCTAGCCTGTTCATGGACTTGGCCACAGCACATTGCCTCTTTGAGCCTTCCTTTCCTCCTTGTAAAATGGAGTCACTTGGTGATATTTACCTGCCTGTTGCACAGTGGGCTATGGATATGAAAGCATCTCAAGACACGCAAGAGGGACTTTGTTTCTGGAGAGCCTGTTTCCTCACAGCCAAGACAACCTACGAAATGACACCAAGGGAGCCCAGCTATCTTGACCTTAGAGTATTGACCAAGCCCTCTGTATTAGTCCATTCTCACATTGCTATAAAGAAATCCCTGAGACTGGGTAATTTATAAAGAAAAGAGGTATATTCATCTCATGGTTCCACAGGCTGACCAGGCAGCGTGGTGCTGGTATCCTCAATCATGGTGGAAGGTGAAGGGGGAGCAGGCACATCTCACGTGGCAGGAGCAGGAGCAAGAAAGAGAGTGAGGGGGGAGGTGCCACACACTTTTAACACCCAGGTCTCACAAGATCTCACTCTGTATCGTGAGAACAGCTCCAAGTGGATGCTGCTAAATCATCAATGAGAAACAACGCCATGATCCAGTCACCTCTCACGGGACCCCACCTCCAACATTAGGGATTACAGTTCGACTTGAGATTTGGGTGGAGACACAGACCCAAACCATACCACCGTTGAATCAGACCCCCAGGGGCCGCACAGAACCCTTCCACACAGCCTCTGCTCTGGCCCAACTTCACATGAAATCTGGGAGGCTTATGGCTACAGGTAACAGAAAACCCCATTCCTTGGCTTAAATCATAAGGAAATGTACTATGTCACACATGGAAAGTCCAGCCAGAGGGTGGCTTCCAGGGGCAGCCAGCTTAGATGCAGTGGTATCAGCAAGAACCTGGGCTCTTGCATCTAACTACACTACCAGCTTTAGAGCATCTGCCTTAACCACAGCCTGTTCCCATCATGATCACAAAACAGATGCCTAATTCCAGATATCACATTCTGACATGATACTGTCCAAGGGGAGAAGAAACCGTCTCTTCCGGCATCTCTTACTGTGAGAAAGACTTTCCCATAAACTTCTCATGAAAAATCCCCTCATGTTTCATTGGCTACGATTGTGTCACATGCCATGCCGAAATTGCTGGCAACAGAAAAGAGGCCACCACTGTGGCAGAGACTGCCAGCTTGCCACCAAAACCCATTCTTCTCTCTTCTACAGTAAAGTCTTAGCTACACGTGTGACCATCTAGCAGGGACTGCATTTCCCAGGCCTCTTTGTAATTAGTGTGGATGTGCATTGTTGCCAAAGGAAGCTATGAATGCTGCTTTGGGGATGGAGGTTTTGTTGTTGTTGTTTGTTTGTTTGTTTGTTTGTTTTTGAGATGGAGTTTCACCCTTTTTGCCCAAGCTGGAGTGCAATGGCACCATCTCAGCTCACTGCAACCTCTGCCTCCCAGGTTCAAGTGATTCTCCTGCCGCACCTCCTGAGCAGCTGGGATTACAGGCATGCACCACCATGCCTGGCTAATTTTGTATTTTTAGTAGAGACAGGGTTTCGCCATGTTGGCCAGGCTGGTCTCAAACTCCTGACCTCAGGTGATCCACCTGCCTCAGCATCCCAAAGTGCTGTGATTACAGGCATGAGCCACCGTGCCCAGCCTGGGACGGAGTTTTTAAGACGGTAAGTGACTCTCCTACTTGTTCTCTCTTCTCTTTTCCCACTGGCTGGAACTCACACATGTTGGTGACCAGCCTCACTCATGCAGATCTTAGGGGTTAGGGGAGAACACAGCCACAGGGTAGAAAGGGCCTGGGTGCCTGAATGGCTGCATGGAACAGAGCCTCCCACCAATCTAGAACTCTCACCCAGGGAGAAAGGGAGAAAGAAATATACTTTTTTTATGCCTTAAGGAAAGAGATGAGATCAAGTAAGAGCTATCGATTTGGAAATAGAGGTGGAAAGAGAGATGGAGATACCAGGTATTGAAGGCTTATTCACAGTGTTGGAAAAGCCAATTGCTTTTGGACCAAACAGAAGAGATAAGACTGATGCTACTGGGTTTTGGGGGTCTCACTATTACAGCACCTGGTCTGACTTCATTATTATTATTATTTTCAATCTTTTTTTTTTTTTGACAGGGTCTTACTCTGCCACCCACGCAGGAGTGCGTTGGCACAATCTCACCTCACTGTGACCTCCGCCTCCTGAGTTCAAGTGATTCTCCCGCCTCAGCCTCCCAAGTAGCTGGGATTACAGGCATGCACCACCATGCCCAGCTAATTTTTGTGTGTTTTTTTGGTAGAGACGGGGTTTCACCGTGTTGGCCAGGCTGGTCTCGATCTCCTGATCTCAAGTGATCTGCCCGCCTCAGCCTCCCAGAGTGCTGAGATTACAGGTGTGAGCCACCGTGCCTGGCCTGACCTAATTACCACAAGCATGATGATCAGATCAGTCAGGCCTGGCTCCCCTTGTGGCTGAAGGAGGAGGGGGGACACCTGAAATTGGGGCCAAAAGCAGAGCTTGTAGAAGAGGAAGAAGAGAGGGATAGATTGGGGCAGATAATCAGCAGTGTCTGCACTAACTCCCAGCTCCTTATGATATTTAGGCACAGGGCCCAGAGCCTCATCCTCCACCCGCTGAGTCAAGATAGCAAGTAAAGAGCATCAGCTTCCTCCAAGGCAGGGCTTTACAAAGGCTCCAGGCTGTGTCCCATCGGCCTGTACAGATGGGTCTCTCTTTGGGTGGGGCTTAGACAAGTCAATGCTGCAAGCACTTATGAAGCCTTTTCTCTGGGGATGGGCCTTCGAGGGATCATTAGAAAAGTTCCTCAAACTCAAGAATACCTGTTGCCATTTGCTGAACGAGTACCTGTTAGGTGCTTTACACCAATATGTCTTGATTTCCTCCTCACATCAACCTCACAGATAAAGGAAGTGACATCATTTACCCCTGTGGCAGACAGAGACTTCTGGTTGCTGATTTCACGTCACCTCTCTCCTTCTTCCGCTCGAGTAGACTCCTTATCTTGTTGGAATTGCTTCTCTGCCTTTTGGTTAACATCAAGTCTAATTTCATTGGGGGCGACAGTGTTCTTTGCCACAGAATTACATTTCCCGGGGTCTTTATGGCTAGATGGCCATGTGATATAGTTTGGGCCAATGGGTCATAAGTAGAAACCACTGGGTAGGGCTTTTAGGAAACCATCTTTATGGCAGTGGGAAGGACTCAGCTAGCATACTCTTGTTGCCATTTCTCCCTCCTCATTTCTGGGATGGGCTTATGATGACTGTCCCTGGAACCATGAAAGAAGGACACAGGTTCCTGGGCTCTGATGGCTGGAGCTACCAAGCTAAACGTCTGGATTTCTCATTGCTTGAGAAAGCTAAACTCGTCTCATTTAAGTCGCCATAATTAGGTGTTCTATTTCACGAAGCTAACATCAACCTCAAATGGAGTCTAAGGTGGAGAAACTGAGCCTAAGAGATGTGCCCAAGTGTCCACAGCTGGTGAGAGGCAGAGCTGCGGTTTGAACTCAGCCTGAAGGCAGTGCCACAGTGACATGCTGCCCCACAGCCCCTGCCTCCCCACCTACCTCCTGCCCTGGCTGTGCCGATGCCTCGGGGCCTCTGCCTTGCCTGGTGTCTGCCTGCTCCTCGTGGGCCATCAGTCTTGGGCCCGTGTCTCCTCCCACAGGCCTAATACCTGACTGAGAAACATTCACTGTTTGTTCTCCTGCTTCCCCCACCACCTCCAGTTTCCCACACTGTAGCCCCGTGGTTGGGCCTGGACTTTCTTGGCCCCAGTCCTCATCAGCACCCCCAGCCTAGCTGCCCGCCTTTCTATTCTGACCCTGCTTATCAGAGAAGTCTAGAAGCAGAAAAGCCCATCATGAGGACAGCAGAGAGCTTGGGTGAAAGATGAGGGTGGCCTGGACTGAGGTAGCGGCAGAAGGACTGGAGAGGTGAGGACATCATCAGGGGGAAGTAATAAAGCCAACAGACCTTGGGCAAGTAACTTAGCCTCAACATCACTCAATGTCTGCAACTGTAAAATGGGAATGATAGTAGTGCATATGTCTCAGAGTGAGTGGGAAGGTGACAACAATTAGATGTATAAAGCACTTTAGAATAAAGCCTTGGTCCATTTGAGGTACTCAATAAGGGCTATAGCCTCAACTGTTATGGCAGAGAAAGGATTCATCTTATATCCCAATGACACACTCAAGAGACCTAGCAGGAACATAGACAAGTTTGAATAAATTTGTATTTTTAACCATACAAACATCATTCCCTCCCCCGCCCCCTTGAATCCAGGAAAAGAAGGTTCCAACCATGTTAGAGTAGGTGGCATCAGACTAATCTGCCCACTGAAAACAACTCTAGGACCTGGACAGAGTATGTACAGCAACTCTAGGAGGGCACTGGACAGCAACAAATCATTTCTCGAGGCAATGATCCTCGAGAAAAGAGAATCGCACTGAATGGACCCCGCAGTTTACTTCATCTTTATCCTTGAGTATATTCTCCAAAATGCTGGGCATACAAGGTCTCCTAGCACTGGCGGTCACACTGGATAAAGGAAATAGAGCTCAGAGTTCAAGGCTGCTAAGGCAGCTAACATTTGAGATGATGGGGGTCTGGAAAGGAGGGAGCCACAGAGAAAAAGTAGCCCCCAAAATCTGCACGAACAGATCCTTTGGGGCCTTGGCTAATTGCTAGGCTCTGCATTAGCAGGGAGAGACTCTGGAGTGCTTGCAGGAACAACTGCAGCGATGTTGAGAGCAGAGCAAAGATCCCAGGGGTCAGAGAGCATTGAGGAAATATGGAGGTTCAGGCCCACCCACGCACTGGTGAACACCCTGGGCTTTCTGTTGAGACCTCAGAAAAGCCATTTGTTAGGATTAAGATCACACCTTAAGAGAAGAGCTATACTCTATGAATAAGGCAAAAAGCTGAAACAGACCCTCCCTAACAAAGGCTAAAAGCAAACTTTGACAGGAACGGTGTGATTTGCCAGGAATTTAAATGCTCGCCAAAACAAAACTCAATGCTCTTTATAGGGAGGTAAGTAAATCCAGGGCCTGTATAACATATCACTCACAATTTCCAGCATGCAATAAAAAATTGTTAGACATGAGAAGAGGGAGAAAGTGGCTGATTATGAAGTCAATAGAAATAAAATTCAGAGATGACTCAGATGTTTAAGTAAGCAGATAAGGACATAGTTCAAAATAACTATGATAAATATGTTTTTAAAAATAGAAAAAAGAAATGGACAAAGTAAATGAAAAGATGTAGTTTAAAATTTAACAGAGAATTTGGATCTTGTATCATTGAAGGCTTGATCAGAGACGTGGAACCACTATGACTGATACGGAGTCTGGGCTTTGTTATAAGAATGAGACTTTGTATAGTTGTGGAAGCTGGGGAAGAAGTCTTATTGAGGGCTGTTGCCTCTGCATATGCCTGAAGTTGCTGTAGGTTGGCAGGACCAGAAAATGGGAAGAGAGACTGGACATGAAGTAAGATAAAGTGAGAACAAACTGGAACTCAAAAGGACAAACTAGAATCCACATCTGTCTCTCACTGCCCCCAAACCTGACAACATGGGTGACCTGCAAAAGAAGTTCACACTGTCTGTCACAGAGCTACAGTGTTCAACTAAAAATTATAAGACATGGCAAGAGACAAGGAAGTGCAAATACAACAGATGATAATAACGGAGGAACAGAGGAACAAAAAGGCATGTGACAAATAGAAAACAAGTAGCAAAATGGCAGTGTAAATCCTATCATACCAATCATTACCTTAAATGTGAATGGACTAAAAATGAATGGAAGAAAAAAACAGAAAAGAATTTAAGGAGGATATGTGGGTCGAAGTAAAAAAGTCTAACAAATGTATAACTAGACTCCCAGAAGAAAAGGAGAGAGAGAAAAGCATGGAATTAGAATTAGAAGAAATACTTAGAACTTGAATAAATTATGATAATAATTTTAAAAATAATTTAAAGAAATAACAATAGAATTTGAAGAAATTTTCCAAAACTGATGAAAGATATCATATCATGGGTTTAATAAGCTCAATGAACCCCAGGCAGGATAAATACAAAGAAAACCACAGGTAGGTACATCTGCTATGGTGTGGAGATTCTGACATGTGCATGGTCAAACTGCTGAAAATTAGAGGTAAAGAGAAAACCTTAAAAGCATCCAGAAGAAAAACAGACACATTGTACTCAGAGAAATAACAATACAAAAATGATGGTAGATTTCACAACAAAAACCACAGAAGCCAGAATACAATGGAAGAACATTTTTCAAATGCTATTGCTCAAAGAACAGTAACTGGCCATCCTGGAAATCTATACCCAGCAAAAATGTCTTTTAAAAAATGAAGGGTAAATTAAGGCATTCCAAGTTAAGTAAAAATTGTGAGAATATATCATTAGTAGATACATTCCACAAGAAGTACTGAACAGGTAAAATTTCCCATGTGGGAACCACATTCTGGGAATAGATCTTTTCCCATCACAGGAGCTGTGGGATCTCTTAGCATCTCAGGCCAGAGTCAGGACCAGTGATCTGAAAGGAAAGGAATTTCATGTTCTTAATTAAGTAGTTCTGGTTCCCATGGTTCTCATGGTCAGGAAAGACTTGGAAGGTAGGAGAAGACCAAGCTACTTGGCCAAGTGGGGACTTGACACATGCCCAAGTGTTACTGTGGTAGCAGGCCCCTCACTGCATAGCTCTGGGAATATTCTCCTTTGAGCGCTCAGTGACCTGTTTGATTCCCCCTTGGTCAGGGGAACGAATCTGTCTTCATGCCCCCATCCCCTTACAAGGTATATCCAAGTCCCCATCTGTTCTGCCAGAGGTCTGCAAGTATCTAGTAACATTGAACAGGCAATGGAAGGGGAACGTTTGAGGCCAGCTTGTCCTGTGAGCCCCTCACCCTGCTTCCTGGTCCCCAGTGATGAAAGGTTCCCATTTCCTCTCCCATGTGGAGGATTTCTCATCCCATCTTGTGTCTTTTCATGCCCCTACCCAGATTCAGTGCAGGGGAGCTGACCAGTCCCAGCATGGCAGGACTGGGTAAGGCCAGCTGTAGCTCTTCTCTTCATACTCTTAGAGTTTGTACAAGGCCCACCATGTTGGTTTGTGAGTTTCTCTGGGTAAATTTCTGGGTTTTGGCTGAACGTGGCTTTCCCACCTCTCTCTGCTGGCAAGAGGGGAGGATAGTGACGGTAGGGAGATCCAAGGCTGTGTGACCTCAGCTGCCTGGCTTCGCACCTCCTTGAGCCTCAGTTTCCTTCATCCCCAAAGTGGGGAAGCATTCCTTAACCCCTGCCCACCCTGCATATTGTCATGAGAACCAGGTGCACACATGCCCATGCAAGTGTGCTGTAAACAGGGTCCTATGGGACATGCTAACTAGTGCGGTGCTATTCTAACCCCCCCGCCAGTCTAGGCTGGCACCCTCTGCACAGAGTGTATGCAGGAAGCACGGCCGGCCAACTCAGAGCCTGTGTTCCCCTGGCACTCGCCCCACTCACACGGGTCATCAATCCTCATGTTTTATGATGCTGACGCAAAGTGTTCTCAAGTCACATCCTCGCTGGTGATCTGTGAAGATCTCTGAACATAAGCATTTCTTTGTTTGAACTTGAGCCGAGGGCCCAAGGGTGTCTTGGGGAATTTCCATCTGGGACGCTTGATGCCAGGATCTCAGCTTCTGCAGTGTCTTCTGACAGCTCAGAGAGGTGTGTGTCTTGCAGATGGCCTGTGTCAGCTGAATGCAGACGAATGACTTGGGAATCACAACCTTGGGGTCTGAGTCAGAAAGCAGCAGGGGAGCAGCCAGGGTGCTGGGCAGGAGTGAGACGCCCCCTATCCAAGTCCCACCTTTGCCTCAAGGAAGCTGGGAGGACTCAGCCACCCATCATGCCCTCTGCGTTCAGTGAGGGAATTGGGTAATAATAATGGATAGCAGCAGTGTCATTCATTGCTGCTTACCATGTGCCAGGCACTGTCCTAGGCACTCACTGACATAGTATCATTGAATCCTCACCATGCTCCTACGAGCTGTCACAATTGCAACCAACAGAGGCTACAGGACTTGCCCATACGGTCTCTAGAAGCATCAGGACTCTATCCTGAGCACGTGCTCTGAGGAGTCTCTGGAAACACCCAAGCATTCCCTTCTTCGAGGCTAGGTTGACCGAGGGCGGGCCCTGGTGAGGCCACCACAGGAGAGGAGTCAGGGTCCAGGGCAGTCTGTTTCCCGCAGCAGTAGTGGTAGAATGGCTTTTGATTCTTTTCTCAATCCGGAGGGATGTAAGATTTCAGAGTTAGAAGAGGCCTAGGTTCATGCATTTACTCATTTGACAAATACTTCCCAAGTCGACTCTGTGCCTGCCAGATGTGGCACTACATGCTGCAGCTGCGGCCCTGGCCTCAAGGAGCTTACACTCTAGAGGTGCAGGCAGATAGTCAAACAGTTATAAGGGCATGGCCAAGTCTGTGGCCGGGGATTTATCCTCAGAGCAAGGGAGCATTCGTTTGGTTTTTGTTTTCTCTATAACAACCACTCTAGCTGCAGCGTGACTGCATGCAGAGTAGGGGAGCTACAGTGATTTTACCCCAACTCCCATTTCACAGGTGAGACAAGTGAGGCCCAGCAGAGGCTGTCACAGAACTCACGCGAGACAGGGCATTTCACATTCACATAACTTTACATTTTATTAAGCATCTTCACATTTGTCTTGTCCCTTTGTCCCTAAGTCTGGAAGACCCCCAAGGATGTAATTGTGATTCCCATTTAACAGATGAGAAAATTGAGGCCCAGAGGGACAAAAGGTCTTCCCAAACACAGAGACAAAAAGAGGCAGGGAAGGCTTGAGAACCCAGGTCTGAGATTCCAAAGCCAGGGCTCTTCACCACCCCCATGTTGTCTTGAAAATATAAAGGGTGTATAGTAAAGGTTCTGAGAAGTTCTGTAGTGAAAGAATTTGTGTAGCCTCATATGACTAGTACTCCCCAAATGTGTTTGCCCACAAAATACCTTTCCACATGACACATATTAATATCCCATGGCCCACACTTGAAGACGAAATGAAATAATGCTTACATTTGTTCTCTTTAATATTAAGGAACACCTCCTCCTCTCCGTCCCCTCACCTGTTTTCTGGGACTCCTTTTAGATGAAAGATGAGCATGCTGAACTCTCCTCCATGACTTTTAAGTTCTTTTTGATATTTTCAAAATAAGAGATGGCGTTCCGCCATGTTGGCCAGGCTGGTCTTGAACTCCTGACCTCAGGTCATCCACCCGCCTCAGCCTCCCAAAGTGCTGGTATTATAGGCATGAGCCACCAAGGCGGGCCAGACTTATATAAACCTTAAAACAGTTGACTCAGAATAAAATCAGATCATCAATACGTTCTCCTGTTGGTACGCATCTGCCCCAGAGCGCCAGGGCCATTTGTGTGTCACATGCATGTTCTCGCCTGGCTCTGTGCAGTCTGGTTGAGGGCTCAGGAGGACCGGCCTTTTGCCTGTGCTCCTGGGCCCCTGGATTCCTTGGCCTGTGCCTCCTCTCTCTGTCTGAATGCTGAGATGCTGTATTAAGGCTAACTTGAGTGAACTTGCTCAGTCAAAGGGACCTGTTAGCCCTTAAACCAAACCACTGGAAGAGAACGGGGCGGGGATGACCAGAAAAGTCCGCTCACACCGTGTCCTTCACCTCTCACATGCAGACGCTGCATGTCAGCGTCCCTACTCAAGTGGCTTCTTCCATGTGGCTTCATGGTTGGCTACAAGAAGTTGCCCAGGCCTGCATGTCACAGCCTCTGCATCCCAGTCACAGGGCCTCCCACTGTCAAAATATCTGAGAAGGGATCTCCTTGGCCCAGCCTGGGTCGGGCACCTGCCCTGGCCAGTGGGTATTCCTGTCGTGACTGGCCAGCTGGATCGGGTAAGAAGCTGGGAGCCCTCGTGGCTACCGATGGCAGAACAGGATGTGGGGCGCTCTTTGGAATGTGGATAGGTGTCTTTCTGAACAGAAGAAACAATAGCAGCCTTCTGCAAATGTCCAAGCCAAGCTCTGAGGATGGGCGCAGGCAGCGGGAGCAAGGAGGCCTTTAGACATCAGCGTGCACGACTGGCTCAGTCCTGGGCCTCTTCTGCTCGGTCTTTTGGCTTCAAATCCGTCTATGTGCTGATGACCCCCAAATGTATCCCTCCACTTCCAACCCTTGCAGATCCCACCTGCCTCCTTGAAGCCTCTGCTAGGATCTCTTTAGATGTCTCAGACTTGAAATGCTACCACCAAGCCCCCTCCTCCCCTCACGCCAGGCCAGCTTCTGTTTTTCCCACCACAGTGAATAACAGCTTGGTTCTTCCAGCAGCTCAGGACAAAAGCCTTGGCCTGACTCCTCTCGTTCTCACGCAACAGACACCCAGGACATCTGCAAATCCTTTCGGTCCCATCTTCAGAGTGCCTCCAAATGTACCGCTGCTCCCTCCCGCCTCCGCTGCCACCCTGGACAGCCACAAATCCCTGCCACTCCCTCGCCTACCCCTCGGGCTCAGCCTCCACCCCTCATCAGCAGGAGGGGCCTCTCCTGCCAGCTCACCTCACCCTGAGCTCTGGCCCTTGCTGCCCCTCTGCCTGCCTGGACAGCTTCCCTTTCACTCTCCCTCACCCCTCGGATCTGTATTTGAACGCCATGTGCCCTGCAGGCCCTGCCCTAGGCACCCCTCCCTTCTTCCCAGTCCTAGGTAATTTCTGCAGCCCTATTCCCTTGCAATATATCGTTTACTCATCAATCTCATTTTATAGCCTATAAGCTCTAGGGGTTTTTATTCTGTCTGGTTCCCTGCTGTGTCCCCAGAGCCTGGGACATTGCCTGCCAGAGGAGGCAAGGAGACCCACGGCTTCACAATGGGATGTTCTCAGACCAGAGAGCAGAGGAGGGATCAGTGCCAGCCCAGTGAACTGGGATTGGGAGCCACAGCCCCGGCACCCTGGCTGAAAGGGCCCTCTGCATCGGTGGCCACTGGCTCCAGGCCAGCTGCAGTTCTAGTGACTGTGTGCCTGTCCTCTCACGCCCCTTGTGGTGTTTGTCTGGCTGTGAGAGTTTTACACTGGGCAGCTGCCCTGGGGGGTACGGACGGGTGAGTCTCCCTTAGCACCAATGTGTGACCCGGACTGGGCCTCGAGGGAGAGGCAAGTGAAGTTGGTAGTGGAGCTCTTGGGAGCGCCTGGTCACCCTGCCCTGAGAGCAGGGCTGGGACACAACGCAGTCCCCTAGACTCCACCCCATATGGGATGGCCCTCAGAGGCCACTGGGGAGCAGCCCCAGCCAGGAGACCTGGTGCCCAGGAGATGCTATAAATATTGATTTGGCTTCACCTCCACCCCCAGCCCTTGGCAGGGGAGGTCTGGGCTGAGGCCTGTCCAGGGACCCATTCAGAATCAGCCTCCCCTGTCACCTCGAGATGCCCCAGGTCCCTGCCCCTCCCTGCCCAGTATCACTTCAGGGCACCCTGGGGAGCCGCGGCCAGACCTTCCTGCTCCTGCCTCTTCTCACCCCAGCCCTGCAACTCAATTACTCCCAGCTCACTTCTGCTGCGGCAGCTGGCGGTGGCTGCGGCCGGAGGTGAGGGACGTCCTGAGTCCCTCCTAGAAGTGGTCAGAGGCAGGGCAGGGAGGCCAGGATCTGCAGCAGAAATGGGGAGAGGGGCCTCCGGCAGAGGGGACGAGAGGGGGACCAGAGCGGGGGCGAAGGCCCTGAGTTGGCATTTTCAGGTTTGCGTTTGGAGACAATTAGGAGTTGAATTATTAAAGACGCGCAGGGAAGAGCTGTTTTTAAGAAAGCATGAGTAAGCAGGGGCATCTCACAGCAGCACCCAGGATCGAAGGCGATCAATGGCCGTAATGGCTGTAAATATTTACTCGGCTTAATTGGGAACGTGCACGCCAGCCACAAACCTGACGCAGGGGTCCATGCCCAGCAGACCCCCGTCAGGCCAGCCAGAGGGCACAGCTTCAGCCTGCTCCCGGGTCCCCCCACTCCCGGCAGCCAGGCCAGCACTGTGTGAGACCAGCGGTGATGGAGCCCCAGCGGTGCAGGTGCCCTCAGGGCACGGGGTCTGGAGTCAGATACAGGGGGGCCCTACCAGCTTGATCACACCAGACAGGCTGCTTAACCCCCCTGTAGGATGGGCTAGTGATGCCCATGTCAGGGCATGTGAGCAAGCCCAGTGCAGTGTCCAGGGTGGCCAGTGCCCAGCGAATGCCAGTCCTGTTGGCCTGGGGCCTGGTGGTCCAGAGGTGGAGGGCAGGTATCAAGGGAGATGCATGGGCCTCTGCTCTTACCCCAGACCTTTGGCTTAGTCGAAGTACAGGATCAGCTTACTCTAGAAAGTGGGATGTTCTCCATAGGAGTGCTATGGGATAAGAAGGTTGTAGGGCCACTCTGAGGCTTGGCCCGCGCTGGGAGCCACAGCACTAACTAGGCACTTACTGTGCACGGAGTACTCCTGGGCTAATCGCCGTGTTCTATTTAATCCTCGAAGTAACCCAAAGAGACAATTTCTTCTCTCATCACAGCCCATGTTAAAGATGAGGAAGTGGAGGCCAAGAGAGGCATGGTGACTTGCCCAAGGTCTCTGCAGTCCAAGCCATCCCACCTTTCCTAGGAACCGCTGGGCTACACTGAGACCCATCCATTCTCTGCCCTCCCCTCCTCTGCAGCTCCCCTCTTCCTTCCATGGGTCACTGAGAGGAGTCCCTGGCCCCAGCCAGCAGCCTGCATTCCTGAGGGCATAGCTAAGGCCCAGCAAAGGCCAGAGCTCGGAGGCAGCTAGAACTGAAAGACATCTGACCTGTGTTTCTTCCTCCAAGGTGTGTGCTGGGGCACACTCTTCCCCACCCCAAGAGTCTGGTACTGGGGAGCAATGCCTGCTCAGGCCAGGCTCCCTGGCGGTCAGTTAGCAGATCTGACTGTAGACTGAGAATGCTGCCCTAAGAATAGCACCCGAGCCCCTCCCCAGCACACAGGGACGGCAGTCACAGACGACCTGAAGGCGGTGAGCACGCTCACACACACAGGAGTGTGCACACACATGCATGTGCCACACACATGGGTACACGCACCTAAGCAGGCACGCAGCGGCGTCCAGCCCACCCTCCCCAGATTCACCACTTCCTTTGTGAGATCAGTGCTTGGAAACAGCTCAGCTGCCCACTGCCCTCCCCACCGCTCTCCTCCAGGCGCTCAGACAGAGCCCACAGCCTCTCTGAGTGGGCCTCACATTTCCCAAGCGGGATACTGTGGCTCAGACAGTGTGTGGAGCAGCAGCAGCACTGCTCTGGGAGTTAGACCTAAACGACCTCAGACAGCTCACATTCTTTCTCCAGTCCTCAGTTTCCTCATTGGTGCCATGAGAGCTCAGAAGGTCTACGATGAAGGCCAGAGGGGCCGGGGGAGGGGGGAGAGTGTGCCATCATGTTTGGCCCATTTTCCCAGTCCTGGGGAAGCTGGTGGGGGCTGGGGGTGGTGCAGGCTTGCGTGTGTGAGATCCTCATGGTGAAGTCCCCATGGGGTGAGGCTGAGATAAACTGCACACGGGCCCTTGCCCCTGCTCTCTTCCCCTGAGAGGGTGTGGGGGCCACGGAGCCCCAGCTCTTTCCAGTACAGGCTGGCAGCAGGTCTGCAAATCTCCCCAGGTCAGGTCTGTCCCCGACAACCCAACCACAGCAGATTCTACGGCAAGTTTAGCATGGAAGTTTGGGGTGAGTGTTTGGGGTGAGATTGGAAGGGGACCTGCAAGGTGGGAGGCAGAGGGGAAGGCTTCCCTGGCTCCTTCTTCCCTCCCAGCTGGGCTGAGTCCTGCTGCGTGTAGCCTCTAGGGTGCCTCATGCTGTGTGTTGGACGGATAGATGGACAAACAGATGGATGGACAAACCATTCCCTCTCTCAGCCTCAAGCTCTTCCCCTGGAAGATGGGGGCGATGGTGACGCCCCCTGCAGGATTAGCATGAAGACTAGCTGAGGGCACAGGTGTGGGCACCAGCACCTGCCCAAGACAGAGAAGGTGTCCTGCCACTCCAGATCCCTCCTCACAGTGGACATCCCCTTGCTCTGGCCCCAGGAGGTGCTCAGAAGCCACATCAACTGTGGCTACAAATGAAAACAACAGCCACTGCTTCCGGTGCATGTAAGTGTGACAGAGAGTGTGAGTGTGCATGGTGACTGTGCGTGTGTGGGTGTGTACGTGTGTGCATGTGTGAGTGTAAGCGTATGTGAGAGTGTGTGTATGTGTGCGTGTGTGTGAATGTGTGTGAGTGCACATCCAGGGTTCTTAAAAAGCAGGTAGGGTGGCCTCAGCCACTGAGCTGGGATCCCTAAGTGCAAGGGGACAATGAGGTCCTGGGGATGGGAACTAGGGGCAAGTGATGCCACTCACTACAGACAAGGTGGGCATGGTTAGTGTAAGGCACCATCATCAGGACTCGCAGAGACCTTGGGAGTCGGCCAGTTGACCTAGGGTTCCTAGAATGGAGCTAGGTGGTGACCTACTCAAGCCTTCCTTGTTCCGTAGACGTGGCACAGTCTAGGTCTAGTGAACAGTCAGCCTTCAGTCCTCCGGCAAGAGAGTGACTTGTCCCGTGCAATCTGACTGGGCAGCCGGCACGTGCCGAGCACTGTGGTGATAAGAGGGAGCAAGTCTTCTGAGGAGGCGACCCGTAAACCGAGGCCTGCTGAGGAGAGCGGCCATGAGGTGCGGGTGCTGGGGGCAGCGAGGGCCCCACGCATGAGTGCCCTGCCGAGGAAGGGCAGGGCGAGGGGAGTTCCAGGCGGAGGCCTACTGGGGCCAAGGGGCTCAGCCATGTGGGCAGAGCCAGGTCCCACGGGGCCCTGTAGGCCGAGGTGCATTTGGAATTTATTCGAGGACCAACGGAAATCAGGGTTTGGGCAGGAGAGTGGCAGACTCCAATTTACATTTCTGAAGCTGCCCCTGGGCCAGGTGGCCAGAGGAGGCCTGTCCTCTGGGGAGACCGGGGAACAAGGAAAAGAGTCAAGAGCAACCCCCACCATGGGCGTTCCCACCGCCATTCACAAGCACAGCCGCAGTGCAGCAGGGGGTGTCCTGTAGGGCTTCCCATTTGAGAACAGGGCCGGCAGGCCGGTCCAGTTACACAGGTCCTGTAGGCCATGTTGGGCGCTAAGAATTTGGGAGCCGCTGCCCTCCCAGAGCCTGGCGTGATGCTGTTCTTGGCCCTCCCGAGTGCAGTGTGTGAACGTGTGTGTGCATGTATGTGTATGTGAGTGTGAGTGTGTACTGGGGTGTGTGTTTATGTGTGCACATGTGAGTATATGTGTTTACACGTGTGTGTGTATGTGTATGTGTGTAATGAGTGTGTATGTGTAGTGAGTGTATGTGTGAGTGTATGTGTGAGTGTTGTGTGTGTGTATGTGTATGTGTATGAGTGTGTGTGTATATGAGTGCGTGTATGTGTGTATGACTGTGTATATGTGTATATGAGTGCGTATATAAGTGTATGTGTGTCTGACTTTATAAGTGTGCGTGTATGTGTATGTGTATATGTGTGTATGTGTATATGAGTGTGTTAGTATGAGTGAATGTGTATGTGTGTGTGTATATGAGTGTATGTGTGTATGAGTGAATGTGTATGTGTGTGTCTGAGTGTGTGTGAGTGTGTAGGAGTGTATGTGTGCCTATGAGTGTGTGTATGTGTGAGTGTGTATGTGTATGTGTATGAGTGTGTATGTGTATGAGTGAATGTGTGTCTATGAGTGTGTGTATGTCTGAGTGTATGTGTGCCTGTGAGTGTATGTGTGTATGAGTGTGTATGAGTGTATGTGTATGTGTGTATGAGTGTATGTGTGTATGAGTGTGTATGAGTGTGTGTATATGAGTGTGTATGTGTGTATGAGTGCGTGTGTATGAGTGTGTATGTGTATAAGTGTATGACTGTGTGTATGTATGAGTGTGTATGTGTATGAGTGTGTATGTGTATGAGTGTGTATCTATTTGTGTGTATGCGTGTGTGTGTGTGAGTGTGTGTGTGTACGTGTGTATGAGTGTGTGAGTGCGTGTGTGCGTGCATGTGCCCTGACCTGCCCCCTGCTCTGGGCATCTTGCCTCGCTCCAGGACACCTGTTTTGGGGGTAGGGGACAATGGCTGCCTTGGCCCCCTGAACCTCCTGCCTGGCCAGGACCCTCCTCACGGGATACCCAGCTTTCAGCCAGACCCCAAGCTGCTGGGACGTCCCCTGACTGTCCTCTTGTGTTCTTTCTTAGGCTCAGAGGCGGGCACAGGTTTCCGCACCCGCCCTCCTGCTGGGCTGAGCTGCGGCCAGCACTCCCTGCCACAGCCTCCCCGCTGCTCAGGTGAGCTCCTGCACCGTCTCCGCCAGGCCCCACTCCAGTCCCAGGATTCCGGTCAATGCTCAGGCCCAGGCCCAAGCCCAAGCCCTTCCCTCTCTGGGAGGGCCAGCTCTCAGCCACCCGAGTTGGGGTCCAGGCCTGTGGACCCCACCAGCGTGGCTGCACCTTGCTCCAAAGGCTGGCAGGGGCCCAGCCAGTACACTTCCCTCCTCACGCTGTCCCTGTCCTCTGCCTGTCGCTCAGCCAGCAAGGGACTGGAGCCCCCCTTCTACCTCCCAGCCCAGCCTCAGCCAGCCAGGGGTTTGTCACCGTGGTCCTGGGCTTTTTGCATTTCCTCCCAAATTGGAAGAGATCATAAAACTGTCTTTTGTTTTGTCTTGTTTTTGAGACAGAGTCTCACTCTGTCACCCAGGCTGGAGTGCAGTGGCGCCATCTCAGCTCATTGCAACCTCAGCCTCCCAGGTTCAAGCCATTCTTCTGCCTCAACCTCCCGAGTAGCTGGGACTACAGGCGCCCGCCACTACGCCAGGCTAACTTTTGTGTTTTTAGTAGAGACGGGGTTTCACCATATTGGCCAGGCTGGTCTCGAACTCCTGACCTTGTGATTCGCCCACCTTGGCCTCCCAAAGTGCTGGGATTACAGGCGTGAGCCACCATGCCAGGCCAAAACTGTCATTTTTTTTATTTTGCAAAGCAAGGGCATGAAAAAAATGTTTTTTAAAAAACTACTCACGTTATTTTTATTTATTTATTTATTTATTTATTTATTTATCTATTTATTTTGAGACGGAGTCTCGCTCTGTCGCCCAAGCTGGAGTGCAGTGGCGCAATCTCGCTTACTGCAAGCTCCGCCTCCTGGGCCCACGCCATTCTCCTGCCTCAGCCTCTGGAGTAGCTGTGACTACAGGCGCCCGCCACCACGCCCAGCTAATTTTTTTGGTATTTTTTAGTAGAGACGGGGTTTCACCGTGTTAGCCAGGATGGTCTCGATCTCCTGACCTCGTGATCCGCCTGCCTCGGCCTCCCAAAGTGCTGGGATTACAGGCGTGAGCCACCGCGCCCGGCCCTCACGTTATTAAGAAAAACTTCTGAGCATTATTTCAAACAAGAATGAAAACCTGAATCTGTGTCAGGGAATCCGTTTAGTTCACTGACTAAGTCAGCCCAGCGCCCATCTCTCCTCATTCCCCACAGAGGCCCCGCCAGCCCACGGAGGGGAGGTGGGGAGCCCCGGTCTATCTGCGTGGGTGGGGATTCCAAGGCAGTGGCCGCGGGCTCCCTCTGCCTCCCCGCCCCATCAGGTGCAGGCCCGGAGTGTGGATGAGGCACCTGCAGTCAGAAGCCCTGCACGTGGCCCTGGCAGCCCTCCCCTCCCCTGCCCTCAGGAGCTGGCCCCTCATCCATACAGGAGGACAGGTCTTCCTAGACAAAACCATCTGCCTCCCGAGGCCTCTGGGATGACATGGGACAAGGCCACTGCCACCCCAAGGCCTGCGGGGCCCTAGGGACCAGGGCAGGGGCTGCTAGGGAGAGGTTCCCAGCCTGTCCGGGGCTTAGCTTGGGGCATCGGGAGCCAGGACACATCCTGGAAGACAGGTGGCATCCCGGGGATGCCAGATCCTGGTGCCTTTAAGCCCCAAAGTTGTGACGGGGTGGGAACAGAAAACGCGGTGGAGCCAGTGACTTGAAGGAGTGAAATGGTCCAGGGAGGCGGACGCGTTGGCACCTGCTACCCCCTGGTGGAAGAGGAGGGAATGCCTGCAGAGAGCACTCCTGCACCCGCAGGGAGGGGCCCTTTCCTGGAGGGGTGGCCAGGCCTGCGGGCTCCAGCCTGGAAGATTGTGCCACGGAGCCCAGAGCACTGACTGCCCTCTCTGCCACCGCAGTTCTGCCTTTTCCTTGAGTAGCTCTAAGCACACAGAGACGTTTCCTCCCACCCCAGAGCATCTGAAAGCTGCTCCTGTCTCCTCTCCCCACCTTCCCAAAAAACTCCCAACCTCCTGCACCCCAGAGGGCAGGGATGTGGGCCCCACATGCCCAGCATACTGGGGAGGGACCTGGTGCCAGGAAGGTGGCCATGGGGCCAAACGGCCCTGTGCCTGGGCAGGTGGCTCTGCACCTTTCTGGAGGCTGCCCTGCCCATCTCGCCAGTCATCACGTCCTTCCGCTGACCCTCCCATAGTGTTCCTGTTCACCCCCCTCCTACATGTTCTATTTGGCCGTTAGGAGGCAGGCAATGGGGGAGGCTGGGTGGGTGGAGGCCAGAGCGGGGGCCAGGACCACAGCAGCCCATTCTTCCTTGAGAATCCCAAATTCCTGGGTAAAGAAGAGCATGGACCTGCTCGCGGTGGCTCTTAATGAACTCTGCCTCATTGGCAAGGCCCTGGGGAAGTGTTTGAGGAGTGCTCTGAGCAGAGGGGCACAGGGCCTCGCAGTACTCAGAAGCGCCAGGGAGAGCTGCCAAGGGCTGGGGTTGGGTGGTGTTTTGAAGGCAGGCCCCGTCCCGTGAACAGGAGCCGCAAGCACACCCCAGGCTCCCTGGCCCCTGTGCCGGGATAAGCGGGGTGGGGAGAAATCACGGGATAGACATCTGGTCTAGACCTTGAAAATCCTTCTCTCCAGCCTTCACTTCACAGACAAGAAAACCGAGGCCCCAACTCAGGGCCTTGAAACCAGTCCAACTATCACCAGCCCTGCCCTTGTGGCCAGGGGCAGCACTGCTTTGGCCCTTTATGGACACTGATAGAATCCTTAAAACCACTCTCCACTGTGCGCATTTGATGGATGAGGAGACTGAGATGCATAGAGACCCAGCAACTTGTCCAGGGTCACAGCAAGGTGGGGAGGGCAGCAGGCTGTCCCACGGGGACAGGGCTTTTCACGTGCCTCTGACAACCCTCTACAGTGACCTCATTCTTTTTTATTTTTTTCTTTGAGGCAGGATCTCACTCTGTTACCCAGGCTGGAGTGCAGTGGCACAAACACAGCTCACTGCAGCCTTGACCTCCCGGGTTCAAGCGATCTGCCCATGTTCCCTGCAAGTAGCTAGGACCACAGGTGTGTGTCACCATGTCCGGCTAATTTTTGTATTTTTTGTAGAGATTGGATCTCACTGTGTGCCCAAGCTGGTCTCGAACTCCTGGGCTCAAGCAATCTGCCCACCTCGACCTCCCAAAGTGCTGGGATTACAGGCATGAGCCACTAGGCCTTGCCAACCTCATTATTCTTATGGCCATTTTGCAGATGAGGAAACTGAGGCTCAGAGAGGTTAGAAGCAATTTGCTTCACACAGAGCTATGAGTGGCAGAGATGAGATGCTTAAGAGTAGTGGAAACGTGGCCTGAGGAGAATTGAGTGGCCTTTGAGGTCCCACCAGGCACTGTCTAGCATGGCGGTCAGGGGATCTGACTCTCGGAGGGGCAGAACTAAGCTGCACGATTGATTAGGGCTCCGATGTCTTCCAGGCCTGTAACACAGTTACAGATGCCATGGTTTCCTCTTCCCTCTGGCAGAGGAGATAACCCTGCAGGCAGTGGCCTCACTCACCTGGGTCTTTCTCAGTTTCATATCCCTTCTGTTTAACTGAGCAGTCCTGTCTCTGTGTGCCTTTTGTTCCCACCCTCTCTAAAGAGCCCCGTGTTTCTCTTAAATCAGCTCTGTCGTTCGTTAGTCCCCTCATTAGGGAGTTCAACAGAACCTTGACACGCACTCAATGTCTATTTGCAGAATGGCATTTTTAGTGCGTCAGAATGACGCTGTGTCAATTCAAGCCAGATGTGCCCAATTTTGTGTGTAACTTCTGGTCTCTGCTGCCTCCGTCGGGTGCCCCAGCCCCAGCCCTGACCCCCCTTCTTCCACTGCACCCCAGACTTGTCTCTGGGGCTCCATCCGGGGCGCCTGCCCTGTGATAGGGTGAGTGACCCAGAGCACAGGGCTGACGCTCTCTTGACGTGAACTCCATGCTTATATCTGGTATTAAATGTAACTTTTCCTGTTGAGTTTGAGAGAAGTCCCAACAGCCAGGAACAGCACGAGAGATACAGGACCAGCTCTGCAGGCCACACTAAGGTGCTGCGAAACCGGCTCTGTGACCCACCCCTTCATCCACAGAGGGTGGCGTAGGGAAGGCTGGGGGTGCCGGGGAGGAAAGGGCCTAGACTTCCCTAGGCTTGGGGGACTGGGGAGGGGAGGGCCTAGGGAAGGCTCGGGGGGCAGGGCCAGGGAGGAGAGGCTTGGGGTGTGGGGAGGAGAGGCTGGGGGTGTGGGGAGGAGAGGCTGGGGGTCAGGGAGGAGAGGGCCTAGGAAAGGCTGGGGATGCCAGGGAGGAGAGGCTGGGGAGGGGTGGGGAGGAGAGGGCCTAGGGAAGGCTGGGGGGGCAGGGAGGAGAGGCTGGGTGGGGCCGAGGGGGGCGGGGAGGAGAGGGCCTAGGGAAGGCTGGGTGGAGTGCTGAGCATTTTCCCTCCTTCTCCCACCCTGGGGAGCTTCAGTCCATCCTCCCTCCAATTCAGGGACTTCTGAGAAGGCCATGGTGATCTGAATGTGTCCCCTGGAGTTTGGGGGATGCAGGGCCAGTTGGGTCTGACGTACTCCTGGAGGAGGTCGGGTGGTGACTGTGGCTACACTGGCCAGTGGCCGCCAGGGTGAGGACAGTGAACTGGACACCCACCCAGAGGCCTTCATGGAGCCGGAGGGGATGCTCCCAGGGAATCCATCTTCAAAGTCCCATCCTCCCCACAAGAAAGACCACGGGAGAGGGGCAGGCTCAGCACCTGGGAGACAGGCCGAGGGGTGGCAGGGGCTGCTGAGGGGTGGCGGCCTTGGGCAGGTCTGGGAAGGGCATAGAGACCCGGGACCCGCCCACACCCCACCACACCCTGCCTCCTCCTCCCCGACCCCTCCAGGCTGCCGTGAGTGGCAGGAGGGAGTCCTGAAGCAAAGAAGGGGTGCCGGGCTGGAAAGGATTCCCTGAGTACTTGCTGACACCTGAAAGGTGACCACAGGATCTGCAGAAAATTTAATGCAAATGGCAGGGAAGAGCAGCCACACCGAGTGGACTGAGGGTCAGAGGCCACAGCGCCTCAGGCTCCCTCCGTGTGGTTCCATACCTTGGCAGCAGGCAGTGGTGTTTTCAGCAGCACCCACCTCATTCTCAGCCGCGCCTCCGGGTCCACACCCAGCCAGCTCTAGCCTCCTCACCCCTGCTCCCAGAGAGCACCTCCCTGGCTGGCTGAGAATCCCAGAACCGGCATCGCCAGAGCTGGGAGGAACTCAGAGGTGGACCAGCAAGCCCCAGCCCTCGGTGCCAGGAGAGGCACCTGGGGCCCCGGGCAGAGGCAAACCTGCCGCTCTTGCCCTCCCTCCCTTGTTCTGAGATGGGGCTCAACGGCCACCTTGGGAGCAGCCCTCCTGGCCTCCTAATCCAATACGAGGCTTATGTCTCACTCTCCCTAAGGAAGGCAAGGAACATGGACTGAGACAGACGGCGCAGCGGAGGGAGAGAGAGGGAGCACCATGAGCCCAAGAGCCTGTGAGGCAGGTAAAAGGCATGACACAGGCGCCCGGAGCTCCAGACGATACGGACTCTTGCTTATGGCAACATCATGGCAATAAACTGGCCCTCTGGGCCACCCAGCGGAGGAGGCACTATCGCTCTAGCCCCTCCAGGGAAGATAAGGAGCCAGGCCAAGGGCGGGCAGGAGGGATGCTTGGGGTCACTAGCCAGGAGGAGCAAGGAGGAGCACCCAGCTTGGAGGGTCATGCCCAGCAGCTCAGTGACCTCAGGTACATTCCTCTCCCCCTGGGCCTGGCCCACCAGTGTCTCACCTCACAGAGAAGCGGCCCAGGGTCCACTGTCTTCAAAGTTCTCTCCTTCCCCAAAATAACTTCCTGAGGAAGGGAAGGCTTGGGAGCCTAAGGCACCGCTAAGGGACAGCACATGTAGCCACAGCATTCCCCTCTCTTTTGAAAAACTGGAAGGCCCAGGAACCCTGGGCTCTCCGAGTCCCCACTCAGAGCCACCAAACTTGCCACCTGGGGCTAGACTGAGCCCCCGGCTCCACCAGCCTCCGCACAGCAGGGTCCGCCTTCCTCCTGCAGACTCTGTGCTGCTCTACCGCTCTCCAAGCCCCTGTTATTCTACTTGTTTGGGGATGCGTGAGTGTATGCTCAATCTTACATTTGCATGCTTCTCAAAATGTCATGCATGAATTTGACAGGTATTTTATGTGCCAGGCTCTGTGCAAGGCACTCAGGACAGGGCAGGGACAAGATTGGGGGATGAGCCCCTGGTCCCTGGAGATGCTGTGGCAGCCCAGCCCTGCCGGCGGCTGCAGGTGACCTCTCAGCATGGGGGCAGCATCTTCTGGCAGCATAGGCAGCTTGTGGCACCAGGTCCTGGGATGTACATGTCACATGTCTACACCAGCTCATCTTTGTTTTAGGGACATCATTTTATCTCTCTTTGGAAATCACTTGACTTCTTTAGCCTACTCTCCTCCGCGTCCCCACAGCACTTGCTCAGCACTCCAAGCTGCTGATGCTCACTCCTTTCAGGGTCTGAAGCTCCTGATATCAACCCTTCCCAGCAAATGCCAGGTCCCCCCATGCAGGGCACCACCCCTGTGCCTGCTTCGTAGCCCCGTGGCCGAGACTTGGTCTTGGTCCTGCTCAGCCCCGGGTGCAGGCAGAGGAGGGAGAGCCTGGAGTGGAACTGGCTGGCTGTGGATCACCCACCTCCCGGTTCCCCACAGGCCTGGGCCCACAAGTACCGACTCAGGGAGTCCCCTACATCCCTGCCAAGGCCTCCAGGTTGCTTAGGTTTCATAGGTTTTGGGAGGTGGCTGTCATTAACTGAGCACTTTCTGTATAGAGGTCTTAATACACACCTGCCCATTTTTGTTAATCCTCATCACAGACACCACTTCTGCCTTTGATGGAAGAGGAGAGGGTTTCCAGTGAGGGAAGGAGACGGGGAGGGCCTGGGCGGTCGAGTCAGTGTGCACAGGAGGAGGACTGGCCTGAGAGCCACCCCACTCTCTCCCAGCCCAGGCTTGTCCTGAGTCTGTGTACCCCATGGAGAAGCCAGCGGCTCCCCATCTGCTCTCCCTCCCTGGGCCCATGAGTGGGGGATCCCAGGCTTGGCATTCACTGTCCCCAGGTCACAGTGGGGAGGGGTGGGCTGCAAAGACTGCAGTCCTTCCTGGTCCTGCTCCCAGGGCCACTGCCCACCCCTGCCCCCTGTCACCCCTACCCCAGATAAGGCAGGCCCAATCCTTGACCCGGCCCAAAGCTGTCCCTTCTGTAGCCCCATCCCAGCCCCACCAAAGCAACCCTCACCTCCAGCCAGGTTCCCAGAGATGAAGCGGAAGAAGACGCTGATGATGCCTCCCAGGTGCTTCCCACAGCCATGCTGGCACTCCTGCAGCCTCGGGCCAGGGCCGCACCCTGCCATCCTTGGGCCTGGCTTAATCCGCCCGACTCCTGCCCTCAGCTCTGCCCTGCCTGCCACTGTGCAGGCGGTACCCCCACAAGCCTGCTCCCTGACCTCCTCTGCCAGCCTCTCCTCAGCCTGACACTCAACACCTTTCTTTTTCTAGGACTCCCCACTCCTGGTCTGTCTGTCTGTCTCTGTCTCTCAAAAGCAGCGTCTCTCCTCTTGGTCTCAGCTTGTCCCCAGTGTCTTGGGCGCTCTGGGCCTGTCCTTCTCTCCTCTGCTTTCTGTCCCTGCTTCTGGCTCTCCCAGCCTTTCCGGGGACTGCCTGCCCCTCAGCCCAGAGCCCCGGGGCAGCCAGAGTGCACTCAGTCCTCCTGCCTTGGGTTTGCCTTCTCAGGTAGCCCCTGCCCCTGCCACAGGGCTGGCCCCTTCACCTGGTGCCTGGCCTCAGCCTCCAGGCCCCCGGAGCTCACTGTTCCTGGAGGCAGAAGGGCCCCTGCGGCTTCCTGGGCTGGGAGGCGTGGGGATGGGGTGGGCGTCACTCCTGAGCTCCCAGCACCAACAGAGGAGGTGACACTGGTGTGATTATCAGCTGAGGGTGTGATCTCACTGCAGAGGGGCCTCACCCGGGCCCCAGGGCTTCTCTGCAGCCAGACAGGGAACAGCCTGCTCTCACACAGTCCCCTGCCTAGGAGGCTCAGGGCCAGGGGCCCTGAGTAGGACGGGGGCATAGGTAGGGCCCTAGCCTTAGGCTGTCTCTTGACCTCTGACCTCTATCCACTGGCCTCATCCCTCAGCCCTGCTGTGCCTCTCTAAAATGCAGAAGGGGAAGTGGGAAGCGGTTCCTCTGCTGAGGAGCAGAAGGGAGAGCCAAATTCATGACTGGAGCTGACCAACCCCCTGCCCTCCACATTTTTGAGCACTTAGCAATAAATAAAGGCGATAACAGCCAGGCAGCTTGCTAAGGTCTTTCTGGGTGCCAGTGAGTGCCTTCAGTCATCAAAACAACCCTGCAAGCCACATGTGGCTGAGAATGCCAGTTCTGTATTCATTCTTCCTGAGTTTCACCAGCAGGGTTCAGATGCTGTTGGAGATGGAAATGCGCCCAGCTGAAAACTCCACCATTCCCCTGCCTTCCTCGCAGTGAGGGCAGCTTATCTCTGGCCAGTGGAATGGAAGCATCTGTCTTCCAGAGACTTCTGTGAGTGCTGCCTTCCTGACATGGGGACCACCACTCTCCGCTTCCACCTGGGTTCTCCTTCCTGTTGCCTGAAATGAGGCTGTGTGGGCTGCAAAGCAACCACATTGCCACAGTGAGGGGAACGGTAGAAGAACCCAAGACATTGACACTGACGTCCCCCAGCTGCCAAACTAGTGCCAGCCACCGCCTCACCCCATGTTTCCCATATAGGAGCCGATGCACCTGTCTTGATCAAGCCACTGTTATTTGGGGTTTCTGTTATATGCAAGTTCAGGCAAGCCAAGGGATCCCTTGCAGAGGGAAAGACGAGCTGCTGCGCCTCGCACCCCTGCCAGTAAAGGAAGGTGCGGTGCCCGGCGGGCCTCCTGTGCACCACAGTTAAATGTGCGGCTCAGAGGCTGTTCCGCAGGTGCAGGCCAAGTACAAGCAGTGCTGCCCCTTGGGCCTAATGACCCAGAACATTCAATGACACACGATGAGTCTAAGGCAAGTTGGAATGCTCTACGGGGCCATGGCAGGCCCCCAGAGGGGAAATCTGTGGTCTCTTGGGTTTTGAGCAATGCCAAAAATCTCTCCTGTTGGCATTCAGCTAACTTCCCACTGCTGGGCTGCTGTGGGGGTGGAGCGCCTGATGGTGAGAGAGACAGAGACAGAGAGACAGAGTAGGTGGCCATGAGCCCCGAAACACCCAACAGCAATCGAGTATCAACCTCTCGCCCAGCCCCACTGGTATCTGCATGTGCACACAGTGCTCTGTCGTCATGCCCAGGTGCTGTGGATGGGGCCCGAGGCAGGGCAGGTCTGGAGGGCGCAGGGAGGCTGTACCTGCGGGGGCTGCGACTCCCACAGTACCTGCTGCATTGCCGCTTTCCCCACAGCCCACCCGCCCCCTACGGTCTCGAAGCCGTCTGAGGAGGAAAAACTTTCGGAGGTGACTTATAGACAGAGCTGCAAGAAATGTTGGCCCCAACTCTAGGTGACACTGAGGCCCACCTAGGGGAAGGACGTGGAGAAGGGACATCTTCCTGGTACATGTGTTGCCCACATTGTCTGAAGAAGAGAGGGCCGAAGGCACAGGTTTACACTGATTCATGGATGGCTGTTAACCATTAGTTCAGGGGTCAGGGAGGTGGAGGGGCAGGATCGGGGGAGTAAGGGCTGGGAGGCCTGGGGAGGAACCACCCGGAGTGTGGGACAGCAAGTGCTTCACAAGTGCCCTCCAAGGGGCGCTGGGGCCGAGGAGGCACTGGACGATCAGGTGGGCCAGTGGTCCCCTCTGTGCACCTCACAGCCTCTGTTCCTGGCTCCTCTGGCATTTGCTTGAGAACGAAACACCGTAGATTCAATAAAAGAACTTCTCCCTGGGCCGATCAGGCTGCAGCTGCAGTTCAGTGCCCAGCCAGCCACCAGGTGGCAGGTCAGCCACTCTGCATCCCTGCCATCACTCTGGGGCTCCCATTATCCTCATGGGAGTGATGGTCACTCTGGGTGTGACCTTCCCTCTGGCCTGCCCTGGTGCTGCCAGCACCTCCCCCATCACGGTGCCTCCACGCCATAGATCCCAAGCAACAGACTCATTTCACCACGGAATAGAGCGGTGTGACCAAAGACCAGGGCTCACAGGCTCCCGTCCCCGTCCTGTGCCCACCCCCAGAGGCAGCTGGCCTCACAGAACAGTGATGAGACCCGCTGAAGACTGGTTCTGGCAGCCGTTGCGGGTTCCAGGGCTGCCCTGTCGGGTGCCAGTGACACTGCTGGATGTGCTGCCTCTCCCCCAGCCAGAAGAACAAGCCCGGAGCCCGGGAAAACACGCAAAGGCCCCTCCCTCATCCAGTGCCTGCTCACCGCACCTCTGCTGCTCCTCACCAATACTCCAGGCTCTGGATTAGAGGCTTTAAATTCCCATGGGAGAATGGGTCCCCAGCAGGAGGCAGCAGGGGTTCTGCTAAACTGGAAGCTGGGACGGCCGCCTGGCCATGCTGGGCCCCTCACACCACTCAGACCAACTGGCATCAAGGGCCATCGGCCAGTGAATGACCCTATTATCGAGGGGAGCAGGGAGGACTCTGCTTCAAATCCAGTGAATTCTCCAGGGAGCCTAGCAACACTGCCAGTTACAGTGATGAAAGTCAGTGGGGGCTTCTAGCAACCCCAATGAGGCAGGACCACCCAGGACTCAGATCCCTCAGGAATGGGGGTTTGGATCACTCCACCAAGGACTCAGCCACATCTTTGTGGCTTTAATCCATCTTTAATCCATCTTTGTGGTGGATTAAAGATGGCCACAGATGTCATACTACAACCCCATGGAAAGGGGTTAATTCTCAGAAATCCTTGAAAATTTGCACTGATCTGACATCTCACTTTGATATCATGTATCTTGATGCTTCATGATGTCAATTGTATCCTGTATCTTCAAATACGCGAAAATTCTGTTTATAGATCTTTACGTATTAGAGACGAGTTAACTCACCTTTTGTTCCGATGCCTTTCTGCTACCCCTCTTTCCCAGGAGCACTGGTGGTGGTGTCTTTATGATTTTACGTGGGGTTGCCATGGCACCCCGGGGAGAATGAGCATCTCCCTGGGATGCATCGGCGACTGAGGAGGATGTGGGTCTTCTCTCTGGGGGAGGGGCATGTGCATGCGTGTGTGTAAGTATGCGTGTGTGTGTGCTCATGTGTGTGTGTATGTGTGTGTGCTTGTGTGTGTATGTGTGTGTGTGTGTATGTGTGTGTGTGTGTGTGAGGAATGGCTGCACCGTGTCACACAGAAGCGTGCAGCAGCTGCTAGAGCGTTCCTGCCAGAGTGGTCCAGGATGCCAGGCATCTCCCAAGGCGCTAGGTGGGGCCCTGGCTTCGTCCCATTCAGACCTCGTTCTCTGGTCCTCCGGAGTTTCTGTGAACTTCCTGAGGCCTGGAGCCCACCCTGTTTCGGTTGTCTGCAGCTGGGACCCCAGGTTATTTGTGGGTGACATTATTATTCCAGTTGAAGAAACCCAAGTCCCACAGCCCTTGTGGGCATCAAACTTGAGAAACAGGTCTGTCCAGTTGTGGCACTGGCCATGCCTCTGGAGAGGCATCCTGCAGGGAGAGGCTTTAGATGCAGGGGAGGCATGCAGGGCAGGCCAGAGTCCCAGCTTCCGGGTCATGGAAGAGGGTCCAAGGAGCTTCTAGGCTGAGGATGGGGCGCCTCTCCTGGGTAGGGTGGGGCCAGGCTGCCTGTGCTCTGAGTCTCCTGGGCTCCCCTCTTAGAGGCCCCACTGCTGGCCACCTCCTGACTCCATCCTGGGGTCTTCACACCCAGAATTGGCCACCCAGGGCCCAGCCACAGATGCTCTAGCCCTTGCCCACTGTCTCCAGGACCCTGGGTCCTGTCCACTCCTTGCCGACGTTCTACCTCACCCAAGCCTCCAGGACTCCCAGGCTGGGCCTTGGCTTTCACTCCCAGCTGTTCCCGACATGTGTCTCTGGCCCCACTTCTGCTGAATGGAAAAACCCCAGTACAAGGGCACAGTGTCTGGGCCGCCCCCCTCCCACAGGACCCCAAGGCTCAGGACACCGTGCTGGGCCTCGCAGAGCACACAGTGGGGCTGCACTGAATGGGCCCCATTGTTCTTTGCACCCAGAGCCTGTGCCAGCTCCCAAAGAGGGGGGATGCCTCATCTGCACACCGCGCAGCACTTCACACGTGCACAAAGCCCTCAGTGTGACCACACCAGCCCGGCCTCCTTGCGGGACACACACGGGACGTGTTTGGACTGAAGAGAGGAGACCCGGGAGCTATGGCCAAGGGAGACAAAGGGCACATTGGAGTCCCGGCTCCTCTGTCCGTGAGGTCCCTGGGCTCCCTCGTCCCTCAGCTCCCACCAAAGACGCTCGTCAGGGTGGGCACCGTGGAGCTCTGGGCCCGAGCCTCCCCCACCCCAACCCCCGCTTCTTGTGCCATCTGCTGAGTCACGTGACCTCTCTGAGCTGCCATGGACGCTCTGGTAAATCAGGGTGATGAGCTCCACACTGCCTTCCTTGCACAATCAAATAGGCTCTTGGATGTGTCGTTCACATCTGCTCCCAGTGCCGGCACAAGGTCCGGTAAACACATCCATGCAGGGGAACAAACCCATCGCTGGTGCCCTGGCCCAGCCCTGGCCCTGTCTCCTGTGCGCCTTTGACAAGTTGTTCAGCAAACGTGTCCTGACAGCTGGGTGTGGAAAGGCCCTGCCCTCTAGGAAGCTTCCGTGAGGTGGGATGGGGCATGCAGGGGTGGGCCGTGCAGGGGTGGTCCCCCCCGCCCTGACTTGAACACGCCATGCCGGCCCCTCTGTCACCTTTCTCCCCGTCCACCCCACTCAGCATAGCTGCTGCTGTCACGGGTGTGCAGAAAGCTTCGGCAAAGGATGCACACCAGCCCCACCCGTCCTGAGCCACCTCTGCCTGCCAGAGAGAGACGGGAGGATGAGGCTGAGCATCTGCAGGACCTGAGGGATGGAGGGAGGGTACCACTGCAGCACCCCTTAAATACTTGTTGCCACCAAGAAAACCCTGGAAGACTGAAGTGGAGGAAATCTGAGTCTCGAGCGACCTGAAGCTGTGCCCGTCAGAGTGGACCTGAGCCGCCAGCACATGCGATGGCCACCGTGCTCTCGCCCCCACCCTAAGGGAGAGCAGGCGCATTTTCATTCTGATGCAGAATGAACAGTGCCCTGAAGGCGGTCCTTCCCGGTCGAGCTATGTGCATGTGCTTTTAGTGACCTCATCATGTTTCTGCTACCTGCAAAACCTGCCACCCCCATCCCCGAGAAGTTGGGGGTGCATGTGGAACTCACTCATGCATTCACAGGTGCTAGCGCTTCCATGGGAAGGGGTTGGGGACAAGTCTCAGCCAAGGTGACAGCATCACAGATGGGTAGGGGCTCTGTGGGGAAGCAGAGGTGGTGGTGGCAAAAGGGAGGGGGCTGGAATCGTGCTGGGAGCACCCTGGAGTGGCATTTGTGGGTAAAGGACGGGGATCTGGTGCGTAGCAGCCAGTCCCTTTGTGCACAGGCATGGACCTCTGGCTGTGGCTGTCAGCCACTGTGCCTGCTGTTTGCCCAGACCCCTCAGTTGATCCCCTCCACTCATGACCCCCATCAAGCCTAGGAGGCTGGGACCCCGATCATGCCCATTCTCCTGGCCAGGGGACAAACGCTCCCTGGAAATCACACAGCTAGAGAGGGTCCAAGAGAGCAAACAAGATGCAGCTGTCAAGGGCAAGTCTGCACCTTTTCCTTAAAGTCAGAGGCAGACTCTTATACGCACCATACTCACATGTGTGATCCCATGAGTGTGCATGGTGTGTGGGTGCCTGCATGTGGTGTGTGTATGTGAGTATGCAAGTGTGTATGGTATGCCTACCTATGTGTGCATGATGAGTGTGCAAGCTTGTGTGTGGTAGAGGCACCGGTGTGTGTGCATAGGTGTGAGTGTGAGGTGTCTGAATGTGTGTGTGAGATCGTGGGGGCCGCATGAGGCTGCCATTGTCTGTTCAGCCCTGTTATACTCGGCAAACACCAAATATCACCCATGGCAAGCCCAGGGCAGTGATTTCTGCCCGTTCTCTCGTTAACACACCACCAGAATGCAGCCCAAGGCAAAGAGCCAGCACCAATCCTTGGGGTGCACTGAACAGGACCAAGGAGGGGCTGAGGGTGGGGCCTCCTGATCACCAGGCACTGCACACATTATTTCCCATCTTCAAATGTGCCCTGTGGACAGGTTCCAGCCTGGCTTCTCACGGAAGGCTTAGAAAGGATCAATGAGGTGCCCCGGCTTACTCAGGGCGTGAGCAGTGGGCAGGGTGGAGCCTGGTTTGTTGGACTCTGCAGCCTGGCTCTGTCTTCCTAGCCAACTGGAAAACCGCAGTGTGGTCCCAGCTCTCTGTACCCATGCTCTGTGGGTCCCACTGGGAGCTCAGTGGCCTGTGTGAAGCAGGCACTCAATGAATGGGGAAGGGTGTGAATGAATGAAAACACACCTCCAATAGAGACAGGGGCGATGTAGCCCAGGCTGGGGTCCCAGGCTGGCCTTTGAGCCCTCAGAAAGGACAGTGCTCAGAACAGATCTCCCCACCCCCACCCTTGACCACAGCCCACCCTGGCCCCTACCTGAGCCCTGTGGGGCTGTGCTGGACAGGATCCACTTGACCAGGCAGCATCTCATCAAAGCCTGGCGGCTGAGCCTCGGCCTCTGCCACTTGATACCCTCCTTCTTGCTAAGTGGTGTGTGCCCGAGGTCCCCCAGGAGGCTGCCGTCCGACGCCTTTGTCACTTCCTGCAGTAGGAACAGGCAGAGCAGCCCTGAGCCCCTGCTCAGAGGGGGGACCCCTGGATGGTCCCGAGCTGCCCTGATATCCTAGATGAGGCCAGCCTGAACACAACAGAGGGCTCACCTTCCGGGGCTGCATGCCTAGTGCCCCTTGTCCTGGCCATTCCTGCCAGACCTGGGGAGGTTCCTTTCACTCTACACCCTGGCTATGGTGTAAGATGGGACCCCTGGAAGAGGGGCAGACAGGGGTGCAGAGAGGGGATGTCAGCAGTGATCCCAGACTTACTCATTGGATTCTCCACCTTGGCACAGGCCAGGTTGTCGGAGCTGGACAGCCCCTTAGAAATCACGATCCCAATCCCTCATCTGCCTGAAAACCAGAGAGGCAAGTGGATCTGTACAGGGTCACACAGCCACGTCTGGCTCCCTCACTCCCCCAGCAGGGCCCCTGCTCTGCCTGAGTTTTCATGCTGAGGCAAGCTGAGAATGAATGAAAGGCTGGGTGGTGACCCCAGGAGGGCTGCACTGGTGGAACCGACCACTGAGGCTGGCAGGGATCTGAAGAAACAGCTCCAGCTATGGGCAGGAGAGTCTTGGGAGGAGTGAGTCATGGGTGGTCATTAAGAGGCAGTGGATCAGCCGGGCGTGGTGGTTCACGCCTGTAATCCTAGCACTTTAGGAGGCCGAGGCAGGCGGATCACCTGAGGTCAGGAGTTCGAGACCAGCCTGACCAACATGATGAAACCCTGTCTCTACTAAAAATACAAAAATTAGCCAGACGTGGTGGCATGTGCCTGTAATCCCAGCTACTCAGGAGGTTGAAGCAGGAGAATTGCTTGAGCCCGGGAGACGGAGGTTACAGTGAGCTGAGATCATGCCACTGCACTCCAGCAAGGCCAACAGAGCCAGACTGTCTCAAAAAAAAAAAAAAAGCAGTGGGCCATGTGCCTGAGTCGGTGTGGATCAGAAAACAACCTCCTGGGGTCATGGTGGAGGCCCCAGGGCAGCAGGATTTGCTCTCCTACAACGTATTTCAGGCCCCCCAATCCTGACATCCAAACTGCCCACCATGCTCAGTTCCCATGCTGGCAGCTGGCCCATGAGGCACAGAGGAGGGAGGTGCACCGCAGGCTGCCGCTGGCCACACCTCTGTGCACCTGCTGGGTCTAGTTTGCTGCCTTTGTGCTGTCCTCTCCTGCTCGGGGTGGCAGGGGGACAGGTGTGGTCTGGCCCATTGGACCACAGCCCACCAATGGCCCTCATTTTGTCTGTGACGCACTGCCTGACCTCTAGCTGTGGCAGTGGCACCACCCCCACATGCATATGTGTTCTGAGCAGTTGGGTTCCTTGGCCAGTAAAGAGGGCCACTCAGGGGGTGGGTTGTCCATACCCTTCCCAGGTCACAGGGTCTCGTGTGTGCTACCTTTGCACGGTCCTGAAAAGTATTTGGTTGTTCAAAGTAAATAACAGATGGACGGGGCCGTCAAGCAGCTTCTACAGAGGCAGCCCTGGAAGACAGCCCCTGTGCTAGTTGGACTGTCAGGTGCAAGAGCCAGAGACTGACCCAGGTTGATTTGAACTGGAAGAATTGGCAGCAGGGAGCCCGGGCCAGTCACAGCCTGCAGGGAAGCACAGAGAGCCAGTCCTGGAAAGCAGACGAGATCAGAGAGCAGCGCCGGACACCAGCCCTGGCCATGCCCGTCCACACAGAGCCCAGCGACAGGGCTCTGCTGCTGCTGCAAAGGCTGGCCCCTCTCCCGAGGCATGGGCCTGGCACCCCCACTGGTCTCTGCACACTGCAGGCTCCAGCTGGGGGAGGATTCTCTGGGTGCTTCACTGGCTCATGGTCCCCTGAGGCCTATCCACATTCGGGATGGGCAGCTGGCCCACTAGTCAGTGTTTGATGAAGTGGTCCCCTAGGCAGGGAGATGTCCAGTTCCCTTATCCTGGCTTTTGGGCCTTCCCCAGCTAGGTCCCAACTACCAGTCCTCCAGCTCACAGTCATCATCCACCCTTCCTCCGACACACCCTTGGCAACAACCCCTGCACGTCCCTCCCCTTCTCCAAGGCTCACCAAGCAATGAGGGGGCTCAGTGGTGCCCAGAGCTGCAGCAAGAAGAGGCACTGACCATGCTGATGGAGCAGAAACAGGGGGAGAGCTGGGGGTGGACGGGTGCCTGGGGTGCTGAGGGAAGCTCCCTATGTGCACACGCTATGCACACACACGTGTACAATGCTCACATGCACACACACGCACACACATGCACACAAGTACACATGTTCATATGCACACACAAGCACACATGCATAGGCACACACACGTACACATGCTCATATGCACATGTGCTCACACATACATATGCACACACACGTCCTGTCAGGCTGGGTCAGAAACGCACTTTCTCCATTATTCATGATCTTATTCAGGAGTCTTTATTTTGGTTAAGGAGGGTCGTAGGGGAGAGAGGGGCAGCAGGTGCTTCATTACATCACAAATTCTTTGCTGCAGGCTCTGCGTGGGGGGTGAGCAGAGGACATCAGAAGAAACTGAGGCGGCCTCGGAGCCCCTGGCAGGAGCTCTTCACTGGGACCCCCAGCCCCGTCTGCAGCCCATCTCAGAACAGCACTGGCTTGGCTGGCAAGGCTGCTTCTCGGGGCCCAGGGTTAGTCACAGGGATTCTGTCTTGAAGCCCCAGGCCCAGGTCGTGCGGGAGATCCCATGGGTGTCCTGGGTTCTAGCTCACAGGGCTCAGTCCTCCCGGGAAGGCTGGGTGAGCCCAAAGGGCAGGCTGAGCACCTCCCAAGTGGATGTCTATGTTGAGCTGAAAGTAATCTCGTCACGACAACCCCCTGCAATCGGTAAGACGATCCCCATTTCACAGATGAGGAAACTAATTCCCTGAGAAGTTTTGGGACATGCCAGGGCCACACTACACATATAGTCTTCTGATTCCAAAGTTCACATGGGCTTGACCACAGGCTTTGCTGCTGAGGCTGTTTCTCGGCCTGGGTCCCTGGGGCGGTCTCTGGAGCTGGGTGTGTTCCGAAGCCCCTCAGGCACATCAGCAGCCTTCCAAAAATATCCGTTGAGGAGTGCTGTGATGCCCTCCTGGGCTAGGGGGCCCCAGTGTGTCTTTTCTCCCTGTGGAGAGAGTCTGGGTGGAGTGGTGGTGGGGGTTCCGGGCCAGGCTCCTCCATCTGGCTGAGGGGCCAGAATCCCACCTGTGAGCCCCACAAGGCAGGCCCATGATGGGCACCCCTCTTTGTGAGGCAGGGGGTGGGTTCTGAGAAGAGAAGGGAGGGGAGGGCCAGGGACAGGAGGGCAGGGAGACCCCAGCAGCCGAGCCTGGGAAGCTGGGACTCATCAGGCTGCGGCCTGGGCCCTCAGGCTGCTGGGGAGGCGGGAGGAGGTCATCCTCATGAATATCTGACACTTGTCTGTCTGGAAGAGGGTCTGACTGAGCTGTCAGGGAATGTTAAATAGCAGCCCAGGCACCCTCCTGCTGGCTTGGGAGGCTCACAGCATGGAAGGGAGGGCGTCCTAAGAGGCGGCCCCCTGGCCCCTCACCCCACAGTGCCTTGGTGCTGGGAGAGAAGCTGGGGCAGTGATGAGATGGAACATGAATTAGATGCCCCAACCCTGCCGGGAGCCCCAGTGCCTCCTTGCCAGGCCCTGACAGCCCCACCGTGCCCCTCCAAGTCTGCTCCCACACCACCGCCTTGGCACCTGCTGCTCCTGGCACTGGACACTTCTGCCCCAGGCGTTTAAGGCCTCACTCACGGCTCAGGTCCTAGAAGAGCCCTGCCTGACTACCTAGGCCACCCTCCCCCATGCACCTCCATCTCAGCACTTCTTCACCCAGCCCTTGTGAACTGATCCTATTATTGTGTTTTCTGTCTCTCCCCTTTAGCGCATCAGCTCTGCGAGAGTGGAACCTGATCCTCATGTGACCTGCTTTTCCTCGTGACACAGCCTGGCACCCAAGAGATCCTCACTCCCAAAACTCAACAGTAAAAGAGCAAACCATCAGGTTAGAAAATGTGAAAGACATGCACAGACATTTCACCAGAGAGGACACGTGGATGGCAAAGGCGGCGGGAAGAGATGTTCGCCGTCATTAGCCATTCTGGCAACGCAGAGGAGGACCGCTGTGAGACACCACCATGTGCCTGTCCGAACAGCTAGAACCAAAGATAATGACAACTGAAAGCTGGTGAGGATGTGGAGAAACGGAATCACCCCTCCATTGTCGGTGGAAAGGGAAAACGCCTTAGCCACTCTGGAGAACAGTCTGGCAGCTTCCTATAAAAACTAGGCATGCGCTACCACAGAGCCCGACCACGGTATTTTTGGCCGTTTATCCTGAAGAAACGAAAAGTTATGTTCAAGTGAAAACATGTACACAAATGTTCATGGCAGCTTTACTTGGAACGGCCCCATACTGGAAGCAACCCAATGCCCTTCAATGGGTGAATGATTAAACAAACTCCAGTGCATCCATACCACGGAATTCTGGACAAGTAAAACAAACAAACTGTTGGCGCACACCACACCTGCGTGAACCTCCAGAGAATTACGCTGAATGAAAAAGCCAACCCAAAAGGTCACATTCTGTGTGATTCTATTTATATAACATTGTAAAATGACAAAGTTTTAGAAATGGAGAACAGATTAGAGGGCCAGGGGTTAAGGATGGGGGGAGGCAGGCAGGAGGGAGAGGGGTGTGGCTCTCACAGGGCGGCAGGAGGGGCCTTGAGGGGACAGAGCTGTTTTGCATCTTGATGGTGCTGTTGAGTGCCTGAACCTACACGTGATAAAAATTGTAGCAAAAAATGCACACGGAAATGAGTGCGTGTGAACTGGGAAATCGGACTAGGACTGGTGGGTTGCATCATTGCAGACACTCCAGTTGTGCTATTGTGTTGTAGTTTTGAAATATGCTGTCATTGGGGAAACCAGGTTAAGTGTACATGGGCCCTCTTTGTGAGCTCCTGCAACTGCATGTGAATCTACAACGAGCTCAATAAAGATTTCCATCAAAAAATACTCTCATGCACCCAAAAAGAAGGTGTTAAAAACGCAAGCATGCACAAGGCTCTGAATAAATATTCACGAATGATCAAAAGTCCCCTGTGCTCTTCACAATTCACCTGGGGCTCTCTCCTCCCACTCCTGCTCGATGCCGGCCTCATTTTAATGGGTGACAGAACTGTCATTGTCTACCAGCTTTAGAGGATGGCCAGGGTTGAGTGGCAGAGACGAGTGAAGCCAGAAGATCTGGGCCCTGGGTTCAGGCAGAGTCCCTGGTGGCATACTTGGCAGTGTGGGCATTTAGGGCTGTGTCCCAGAAACGGCCCTAGGCTGGCCCTGGGGACCTGCAGCCTTCTCAAAGGTCACAAGTTTCCCTGAAGGATAGAGGCTGCTGGTGAGCCAGGCAGGCCATTCTCTGCCAGTCACCTGGTGGCCGAGATCTGTAGCTCCTGCCCAGCCAGGCAGGCCAGGACCAGGCCTCAACTTCCTTCTAAGTCCTCCTGGCCTGTGGGGAGCCAGGGAGGGATGGAAAAAGATGGCGTGGGTGATGCCCCTGCTGTGTGCTGGTGCTGAGTTAGTTGTTTGGAGGGGTTATCATATTTAATGGTCACACCAACTTTTTGAGGTTCCTTAGAACCTCAAAATTACCCAAAGCACCCAACTGAGCCCCAAATCCGGTAATGGATTCTAGCTCACCCGTTCTCATGCAGCTTGCCAGGGTCCCTGGGGTATGCGTTCTCCTGTTATTCAACAGGGGTAAACCCAGCCTGTTCTGAGTCAGCTGCGTCCTGGGGGCTTTGGCCTGAGGTCTCTGGCAGTGGGGAGCTGCACCTACGAGGTGCAGGAGATGACTTAGACTCGGGGCCAGCACACTCTCCAGCTCCCCACTGCCATTCTCTTTACAAAGGGAGGGCACGGCCTCAGCTCAGAGCCTCAACAGGCCACAGACCATGGGTGGGAGTTTATCGCTGCTGCCTTATTTCATGGCAATGTGGTGGTTACCTTCCACTTCTGCTCCCGGCTTCCCACTTACAGTACTGATTTAAAGATTCCCTTTTAAATGAATTCACTAAAATTCAATGCATGAGTTAATTTAAAGAAAAATAATAAGAAACAATAGCACAGGTCACAACAGATACAGCAAAACGGTAAAGGCAGGAAGTGTATGTTTCTCTCTGTGGCTGAGGCTGGGGGCTTGCTCGACTCAGCCAGGCGACCCCTCAAGTCTGAGTGACGGCGGCCTCTCGCCAGGCTGCTGAGACTGACATGTGGCTGGTCCACACTGAGACGTGCCCTCGTGTAAACACACACTGGGTTCCAAACATTTACTTACTAGACTATCAAATAGTTCATTAAAAATGCTTTATATCAATTGCAGGTTGAAATGATAATCATTTACACTGGGTTTAATAAAACATATGGTTAAAATAATTTAACCTTTTTTTCTTTCTTTACTGTGCCTACTGGCACATTTTAAGTGACATCTGTGGCTTGCATCATGTCTCTATTGGACAGGACTGATCCGGATGGTTCTCAGACCTGCCAGCCGGCAGGCTTGGGGCAGCATCCTCCTGGCAGGGCACAGCCGCCCCAGCTGCTCTCTGCCACTCAAGTCCAGCTGGACTCGCAGCTGCCTCAGAAGGGTGGCCTGGTGGAATGTGCAGATCAGATTGGGGGTTCGATGAGGCAGGCGGCCATCTGGGGGAGGCGAGGGATGCCCAGGCCCAGGAGAGCGGGGGAAGGCTGAGCCAGGCGGAGGTCATGGCTGGGTGCTGGGGATATTATGGAGACAGGTACTCAGGACCTACTCTAGATGTGGCCAGTGAGGGAGGGGCGGCGACTTCCCAGTGCCTGAGAAAACTGTCACTGCGGGAATGTAGGAGGCAGGGCTGTCCCCCATGCCTTCCTCTCCCCCTGAACACAGTCCAGTCTCTGCCGCAAACACCACACCATCATCCCGAGAGTTTCCACACCACAGACAGAGGCTGAGCACTTGGAACAAACCTCCAGGACCTGGACCGGACATTTTGCCTCGTGGCTCCCTACACTCTAGGTCCCCTGAGAGGCCAGGTGGCCCACGGAGCAGCGTCCCACTCCTTGCCCCATGCCCAGCATGGCACAGCTTCGTCTTGAGGAGGCCCATCTGGCTGAGAAGATGGAGTCAGACTGTCAGGAGTGTGCCAAGGTGAAACCCTCGAGCCGCTAGTTCAGTCTCCATGGTTCTCATCAACTGTGCTCCAGAGAAACTCCCAGAAAGCCTTCCAGAGCAGATGTGGCAGAGGTGACTGGGGGGCACATGACAGCCTGTGAGAAGTGGGGGTCCTGGAAAACCTGCGTTAAAGTATCCAGGCTCCCGGGTGGCGTTCTAGGAGTACATGCATGGGCAAGATGCATCGCTGACTCCTCCCAGATGTCTACAGACTTAACGGATGCAAAACAGAAGTGAGTGGCTTCGTATGTGCCACCAGGGCCCCTGGGTGTGGGCTCAGAGGGCACGGCTAGTTGGGGGCAGGGCAGGAGATCGAAGGCAGGTGGATGTGATTTCCAGCAGCCGAGGACAGTGGGAGGGGTCTGTGGCCAACCAGTTACATGAATCCCGCACCCTCGCTTCCCAGCTCGGTGACCCTGACAGAGAACCTGACAGCTCCGAGCCTCAGTTTACTCATCTGCAAAATGGGGGTGACAATGTGCCCTCACAGGGTTAAGGGGAAGGCAAGGTGACAAAGCCCCCAGTGGGGGAGAGTCAGTGTTCCTCGCCCTTCTGATCCCAGGGAGGGTCTGGCTGTCCAAACCCACAGCCTAGCATGCCTGGCAGGGAGGCCCAATGTGCCGCTCTCAGCTGCCACATGCCAGAATCACGTGGGGAGGCTCTCACCATCTGCCTGCCCAGGAGCTGGATTGTTTGATGCAGAGAGGGCTGGGCTACTCTGTTCTTATAAAGCTCCTCAATAGATCTGAAAATGCAGCTTGGGGAATTTGTTTAGAGTGTCTGTCCCTCCAGATAGAAAATTCTTGGCCTTGCCTGAAAGGCAAAGGGGGTCCCCCGATTCTCACCCCCTTCCTTTCCGGAAGGGCTTCACCGAGGCCAGGGCCAGCATGAGACATCCAGGCTACTCAGATGTGGGGCTCCCCACCCCCCACCCTGTCCACGGCTGCTGCGGTGCAGACTGGCCCACCCAGCACTGCTTGCTGTCACTGGCTCTATTTCCATCACTCGGGACAGATGGCAGGAAGCAGTGGTGGGCGTTGTGTCGTGCAGGCCCCAGGGTATGGAATGGGGAAGCTTTGGGGAGCCTGGATTCTCCACCCACCCCTGGGCACAGACAGACATAGGCAAGGCAGCTCGCCTTGTCGGGGGAGCCGAGGTTGTCATGAGTCCCTGAAGATGCATGTGTGCACATATGCACATACACACACACGTACACATGCCTGCAAACACACCTATGAGCGCGCACACACACACACACACACACACAGCCCTGGGCCCCAGCCCTCTGGCAGCACTGGAGCAGGAGAGCTGGGCTGTCCACCCCTGCTCTGATGGCTGCCACCTTGACAAGGACAAGCTCCCCATGCTGCCTGGCAGTGAGGGTGTCACGTTAACCCAGGGGTGAACTTGAGTTGCCCATGGCCAAATTGCCTCTTGGTGGCCTTCCCAGGCTCTCCTCAACAGTCAGAAGGGATGGCATAGGTATTCCCTTCATGTGTGGAGGCCTCACTCTGTGCCAGGGGCCAGGCCAAGCTGGTTGGTATAGGATCACATTTATCTGGGGGTTCTGTGATATTCATACTTCCCCCAGGAAAATGAGGACACAGTGGCACAGATGAGCTAAGTAACCTGTCAGAGGACACACAGCCAGTGTGTGACAGGGCCTGGACTGAGCCCAGGTCTGCTGGTGCAGTCAGGGCTCACAGCCAACAAGGCACAGCCATGATGCCTCTTGGCCATGCCTGTCTCCTGCCCGGGGTCCTTTAGTCCCGCACAGTGAGGATCAGGGCTCTGCGCAAGACCCATGGACATTTGTGTGCACATGTGGGGCACTGCTGGCAGTGGCCCTGACTTGAGTCAGCCAGGCCCGTGCCTCCCAGCCCTGCACTGCTCATCACAAGGCCTGGCAGATGCTGTGAGCATCTCTCAGACCCAGATGGGAAGACTGAGGCCCTGAGTCAGTGGGGCAGAGGTGGGGCTACAGTTTGGTTCTCTGGAGCACTGTCCAGAGTGCCCATCTTGAGAGAGGATCCCACGACAGAGCTGGGCACAGGGGCATGTGGCACCAGCAGCAGAGGACTGGGATGCAGGGGACTTGTCCCTTGCCTACCCTGGCATCTGCCTACTGTCCATGTGATAAAGGCTGGGGAAGGCTGGGGGCGTTGGGCAGGCTGGGAGGTGAGGCCAGAAAAGACCAGCAGCTGCTTTTCCTGGCTGAGCCTGGCCCAGGCATGGCCAGGCTGATGGAGAGGGCATGCTGGGCAGAGAGCTGAGGTGGCAGGTCAGAGGGGGAGGCTGGGCCGACTCTAGTGTGGGACACGCCACCCCCACGCTGCCCTCCCGTCTCAGCTCAGCTGCTCCCTCTCCAACTCTGCAGGTCCCCTTGCTTCTTTCCCTGCCACAGGGCTGCTCTTTGGCCTTCTAAGGCATGGGCTGATCTCAGATGACAGACGCACCTGCTCAAAGGCAACATCAGTCAGCTGAGGCCGGGAGCCCTGGGCAGGAAGCAGCACGGGACTCGCCCCATGCTGTGCCCTCCCCCGACTCTCAGGCTCCTGCCTGCCCCAGGTCTGGGCACTAGGCCAGAAAGACGTGCTAACTTCTCTCCCCTCTTCTGCTTCACCTTGGAAACTGAGAGTGCTTTCTTCCGTGCAGAAGCCACATTGGCTGCTCCTGGAAGTCACTGGGATGCCCAGGGGTGGGCTGGGGAGGGCAGGGGGGCTCTAAGGCCCCTCTGCTAAGTCAGTAAAGCAGTTCCCTGCCTCACACAGAAGGTCTTGATAAGACAAGGCAGCCTGAATTTAAAATGTTGGGGTCCTTTACTTCCTAGCTCTGGATCCACAGTCCAAAAATGGGAGGCAGCTAGCTCCAGGTCACGTGGCTAACGCAGGGGATGCGGCCAGGTGGAGTCTGGCTTGTGTGCACTCACTGGAGGGCTCAGAGGGCACAACAGACCACCGGCCGCACGGCTGGGATGGGCCCCTCCTCTGCCATCTGGTTAAAGGCATGCCCTTCTCCTCCTGCGTCTTCTTCCGCAACCCCCAAGCCCTAGGGACTTGCTGCGCTCTGGAGTAAGACAGAGCAGGGTTCAAATCTCAGCCACAACTCTTGTAGCCTGCAGTCTGGGGCAGGCCTCTGTTTCCCCATCTGTGAAGTGGGGATGATACCAACAGCTGCCTTGTGGGCTGCGTGAGGGTCCAGGGAGATAATGCGGGAGACAATGTCCTAGATGGGCGTTGGTACCCTCAGGCTTCTGGCTCTCAGCTCTGCCCTTCTCCTGGGCTCTACCTGGAGGGCTGAGGCAGAGCCCCTTTCTTCCCAGTGCAGCCTGGGGTCTTTTGAAATGTGGGAGCAAATTAGGGCCCATCTCGCACAGTGCCCTGCAACAAGGCTGGAAGCCAGGCAAAAGGGGTTCCCAGTGCACGGGCTGAGCTGTGAAGACACCACAGCCTCAACACCGCGACAGCAGCGCCTGTCGCAGAAACTGCGGGTCTTTCGCTCCTTTCTCCTAAGAGCTCATGGGATCAAGCTCATGGAGTCCTGGAGCTGTTCCAGTTTTCTGAGCCTCAGTGTCTAGAATAGGAATGGCAGTGCCTCCCCGCCTCCCCATAGGAGTGAGGTGAGAATTCATGAATGGCTGGGGAGTAGGCTAGGGAGCCGGGCAGTCATGGGGCGTTACTGGGGGACAGCCACTGACCGTGACCCTGAGGAGTCAGAACACCTCCCAACCTGAGCTCTGACTACAGTCCCTGCTGCCACAAGAGAGGAAGGTTATTTTTCACAATCTCCCATTGATCTTGATGAGAAACCTAATGGTGGCTTCTCCTAGGACCACTGTCTCTGCTGGGCCCAGCACCAGGAGGTGTGGGTCCCACTCCCCTCCCTGGCCAGGCCAGCCACAGGAAGGCCACCAGCAGACATAAGGACAGTGAGACCCACTGGGGCCCAGGAGCTGGTTGTGGGAGGGTAGAGCGCAGTGTGGGGTCACAATGGCCAAGGGAAGAACCAGATGTAAGTGCAGGACTCAGGCCACCCACTCTGCCAGTCTGGCAGGGGCAGGAGTGGCCAAGCTCCCAGAGTGACCTTTGGCAGTTAAGGCCCGCAGAGGAAAGGCAAAGGAGGGGAGGACTGTCTTCTGCTGGAGGTCAGAGCTGGCTGTGTGCACATCTGTGTGCAGCCTGACTCTGGAAATTCCCATCTCTGTAGTCATGCAGGGTCGCTCAATGTGTCTCTGCCTATGGGCACGGTTGCACTGTGCACCCTGACGCCGTAGTGTGTGAGCCTGGGGCAAGGCGCTACGTTTCTCCACTCTGCCCTGCCTGCATGGTGGTTGCTGGGGAGACTTGAGGTGACAGGAGAGAAGGCACATTTTCCATGTGTAGTGTTGCCATGCTCAAAGGGCTTCATGCCATCACCTCAGCTGATCCTCTTGGCACCCTGGAAGATGGAGCAGATAGCACAAGGGAGGCCTGGGGTTTGGGGGCAGTGTGGTCCAAGCCAGCCACCCGCCCATGCTTGGATGCTTGTCCTCACAGATGAAAGAGGCAGGAAGCCATCTGTTCAGGGCAGAGACGCTGAGGTGCCAACCCCATATCCCTTCTTTCCTACATTCAAGACCCTGATTGTCTCTGGGTCCTTTTGCCCTTCTTTCTTTCTCCTTCCTGCTCATATGTCAGTATGAGCCCATGTGTGCTGGCTGGAGCTCCAGCAGTTATGTTGCACCTTAAGGTAACCTCAGGGGTGATACAGGGCAGGCCTGAAATGCTGCTGATCAGGCGGCCTCCAAGCCAGCCCTCCACTGCCCCTCTGGACTTCTGCATGAGAGAGAAACCCCGCTAACCTTGTTCCATCCACTGTTATTTGGGGCGTTCTGTTATGAGCAGCCAGACCTGAACTATCCTGAATGTGTGAGCAGCTCACAGGGCATCAGGCCAGACCTTTTGAGAGTCAGCTAGAGGCTGGAGGGCCAGCTTATTTCTCCTTCCCTCATTCCTCCTTTAATTCTTCACCCTTCCCTGTTCCCCACCACTGTTTCTCAAACTCTGTGCCAGGCGTTTTCCTTGCATTCTCTCTCTGACCTCCCCACAGCCCTACTGAAAGGGAATGTGTGGGAAGTGCTCTTGTTAGGGGCTCCTAGCCCTTTCAGAGGAAGTGGGCACTCATTCGTTACTTGATTGCTTGATTAGAAGATGCGTTCATTGACCAACCTCCAAGCACAAGTGACTCCCTCCCAGGCTCACCCCTCCCCCAAACCTGAAGGCTGTGGGGCCCGGGCTCAGTGTCAGCCACGCTGGCACCTGACCCAGGGACCTAACTGAGCAGGATGAGTCGTGGGCTGACCCCAAGCTCCTCCTCTGTCCAGCTTTTCTTCCGCAAACACTTATAAACCTCTCCCATCCAAAGGGAGCCCTAGGAGTTCAGCCTCCCAGCCAGGACACCCCAACACCAGCCAGGACACCCCAACGCCAGCCAGGACACTCCAACACCAGCCAGGACACCCCAGCGCCAGCCAGGACGCCCCAACGCTCACTTTCCCCAAAGGAAAGTGGAACAAGAGGGGACAAGGGTCAAAGAAAAAGGCTTCCTGGTCCAGAGCAACCCCCAGAAGCCTCCATTCCTCCCCCCGACCCCCCTCCAGAGCAAGACCCCATTCCCCCAGCACCTACCTTAGCCGGCTGCATCCTGGGCGCTGAAGAAAACTGTTGCCAGCCTCCCCACTTCACAGCCGAGGCAGACAAGACTGCCCAGGCCGGCTGGCAGCTGCCTCATGTTTGCTTGGACCCAGACGTAATTGTCAACGGCGGCTTCTCGCCCTCCCCCTGCCCACCCCTTCCTCCCTGCCGGCTTCTATCGCTCCACCCCTCTGCCTCCTCGCTCCCTCCCTTTCTCTCTTTCTCTCTCTCTCTCTCTCTCCCCTCTTTCTCTCTCTCTCTCTCCCCTCTTTCTCTCTCTCTCTCCATGGCCCCTAATCCTGGTCTCTCAGAGCCTGTCCAAGCCTCTGTCTGGCTCTCCTGGCCTCTCCCCTACCCTGTCACCAGCGGCTCTCTGTGCCTCCCCTGCCCGCTGCCTCTTTCTCTGCTCCTTGCCCTTTTTGGTCACCAAGGAGGAATGGGGGTAGAGGGTGCAGGGAGCTGGGGCTGGGGAGAGGGGAGTTCAGGGCAGGAGTTTCTGCCCCAAGAAGTGGGGAGGAGCAGCAGTTGAACCCAGAGTGCCCAGGAGGGACTGTGGAAGTGGAAAAGGAAGGGATCATTCCTGGAGGTATTTTCCAGAACAAGCCAGGACACCCCCACTGCCCCAGTCCCGCCTGCCACTCTTCACAGACACAGGACAGTGCCACCCTTATGATGATCTCAGCCCAAGGGGCCCCCAGGACAGCAGGGAGCCACTGCACCCAGCATCTGAAGCGTCCTCTCTCAGGGTCCTGGCCTGAGGTGCTGGTCTGCAAGGTGCTGGTCTGGGGCTCACATCCTAGAAACAGCAACAGCCACCAGGGCTACATCAGCAGGGTGACACTCAGGGTCCTTCCACCTCTTTCATCTGTCCCTTATTAACTACCTCCCATTCACCCATCCGAGGGCCTCGAAGCACGGGTGTCTCCCCAAAGCATGACCTGCTCATGCTCTCCAGCTGTGCTGGGTCCCCTCCCAGCTCCCAAGTCAGGATGCATCCAGGGTGGCTGAGGACCTGACGGGATCTCCTGGGGTGTGAGGGTGAAGGATGGGGCCGAGGGCTCCCAGGCATCCCTGAGAGAGGGGGCTGTGTCCTGTCCCTTGGGCGGGCAGCTCCTGGGCATTTGCTTGGCCCCCAAGCAAACCACTCAGGAGCCAGGTGCCTGAAACCTTTGCCAAGTTTCCCTTTTTGGAGCCCAGAGGAGCCAGCCTGTGCCAGTAGTTCCCATGGAGACGAAGCCCTAGGATGCCTCCCTCCTTTGCAGCCTGCACAATTGTGCTTGCATGCCCTTTTCCTTTTTTTTTTTTTTTTTTTTTGAGCCAACCAATTACCTCCAACTTTCAGATCCTCAGGGGAAGAAAATAGCCTGGAGCTGTCGACCCACCGAGGCAAGGAGGACTGTTTCCAGAGGGGAGGTGGCAGCCCAGGTGTCTGGCCCTGTGCGACTTCAGAACAGGCTGGACTTCACACTGGGGAAGGGGCTCGGCAGAGCCCGGAGGACTCCCTAGCTGCCCCCGCCCCACCCACACTGCACCCTAGGAAGTGGAGGGAGGCAAGCGCCTTCATGGCTGCCAGCTCAGGGCCGGCATCCTGGGAGCTCATCTGCTTTTTTTTTTTTTTTTTTTTTTTTTGAGACAGGGTCTCACTCTCTCACCCAGGCTGGAGTACAGTGGTATGATCATGGCTCACTGCAGCCTTGACCTCCCAGGCTCAAGCAATCCTCCTATTTCAGCCTCCCAAGTAGCTGGGACTACAAGGCTCATGCCACCATGCACGGCTAATTTTTGTATTTTTTCGTAGAGATGGGGTCTCACTATGTTGCCCAGGCTGGTCTCAAAGTCTGGGGCTCAAGTGATCCACCTGCCTCTGCCTCCCAAAGTGCTGGAGTTCCAGGCATGAGCCACCGTGCCCAGCCCCATCCTCCTTTCACTGCCTGAGACAGTCCTGCCCTCCTGACTCTGAGCAAGCCTCGCCTCCGCAAGCAGGGACGCATTGAGCATTTTGAGTCCTCATAGTGACCTTGGGAGAAAAGTGTAATTATCTCACTCTACAGATGATAATGGTGAGACCCAGAAAAGCTAAAAGACTGGCCCAAGTCACAGGCTAGGGAGTGGTAAAGCCAGGTCCCAAAGCCTGTTGCCTTCTTCCTAGAGTGAGCACCGTGGATGCTGAGATCCCGCTGGCGGTTCTATGCCCACGGCTTACACAGCAGCTTGGAAACTTGGTGACTGCACTGCCGTGATGGGCTGGTCTTCCTGACGGCCTGGCCGGAGGAGTCAGGAGCAGAGGAACCCACTCATCACAGCAGCACCCCCAAGAGCTGCTCGCCCCTGCTTGGCACACTCGCTGACATCCCACACTCAGATGCGCTGTCCTCGGAGTTCACCAGCCGTGACACCGCGGGCCTGGGACAACTGCCCTGCTCTGCTGGACCCACCGGCTGTTCGGGCCTTGCGAACCTCCCACTGCAGCTAGCACCTGGGTGGACACCCCTCATACAGATGTGGGGCGTATGTGACCCTGCCACCACACCCCCCTTCCTCAGTGGCCTATCCAGGGCCCCAAGTGCTTCCAGCTGGGTCCCTCCCCTGGGCCTGTGGGGAACACAGGAATGAGAAGGGGAGGAGAAAGGGGGCTGGACTCCCACATGGGCCTCAGAGGCGGACCTGTTGTGGGCACACGGGCATCTGCAGACTTCCCAGAGACGGCCTTGGCAATTCCCAGTATTCTCTGCGGTATATCAGACCCACAGAAGGTTAAGGAGGCTGTGGAAGGACCTGGTCTTGTCCACTAGGAACGCTTCAGCCCTGTGTTTCCCACTGTGGTTTCCTCACATAGGGGCTGTGGGGAGAAACTGAGGCTGGGGGGAGTTTGGAAGTGGGAAAGGAAGGGATGATTTCAAGCCCGGATGAAGGTCGGGTTTTCTCTCGTCACAGTGTTTCAGGAGGCAGTCGTGGGCTGTTTCAGCTGACCAGGGCCTTCATTCTTGTCCTTCCCCGGGCGAGCGGCTCATGGTGCTCATGCCCACAGGTCTTGGGGGCCTCTGCGCCTTCCTCCATTGTTGCTCATGATCCCACATTCCAGGCCCAAATTCAAGTCCCTCCTCCCCAGGCCTCCAAACGCAACTCTGTGGAGCCCCAGCCCAGGGCTCTTTTCCTTAGGCCCTATTTTTTGTTGGGCCCTGGCTGAGGGGTACAGGGGGAGAGAGAGAGAGCTGAGGGGTACAGGGGGGAGAGAGAGAGAGAGACAGAGAGAGAGAGAGAAAGCCTCGCCAGCTGGGTGCATCTTGGTAAGAAAATACAAATGGTCCTCATCACTTCACATCACAAAACACAGGCTCAGCCCCCATCGAAGCCCATGCCATCATCAACTCTCCTGCTCCCCACCCAGCTCAGGCCTGGGGGTGGCAGCTTGGGGCAGGCAGTGGGCATGGCAGCCTCTGGCTGAGCTGCGCTCTGGGTTTGCAGAGGTTGAGAGCTGTCCCTCTTTCTCTGTGGGCTCCTCCAAGGGTCCTAAGAGCCTGGCCCCATGGTCCCCTGACTAGAGTGTTTCACATGGGCCTCAGGGGACCCATAAGCCCCCAATACTTAGTGGCAGCTCTGCCTCCTCTTGGCTGAGGTCGGTTCACTCTCTGGGCAGCCTCCTTCGACTGGACCTAGGAGACTCCATGCTGTCTCTCACAGGAGGCCCTCACCTGGGCCGCCAGCCCTCTCCTTAGCTCCGCCTTCAATGCAGCCAGCCTGACTGCCCTCTAGACTTTGCAGTGGGTGAGGCATCAGTCCAAGGGATTTATTAAACTGCAGGGGACACGGTGAAGCTCTCTGGCGGCTTTCTTTAAAGCCCCTTTCCTTGCAGCTTGAAGTGAAGAGAGGGCGGCCGACCGCACCCCTTGGACTCAGCTCGCCTCTCTGAAACCTCCCTCCTCTAACCTCAGCGCCTGACTCCTTGGCTCCCACTCCAGCCCTTAGTGTGGGTAGGGGCTCAGCCACCTCTTCCCTAAATTCTGCTTCACTCGTGGGCAGAAGCCAAGGGCTCGGACGGGGCCCCACCCTCTGCACACCCCCTCCATCCCTCCTCATCCGAGCTGCAGTTCTCGGTCAGCATTTGTAAGACGGATGAGTGTGGACCACCCCAGGACGGGCACACCCAGCATATGCTAGGAAGGGCTGGGACCACGGAGAAGGAGCTTTATTCCGGCAGCATGTGCTGTGTGCACCAGGTTGGCCACTAGCCTCCTGGTTCAGCTCCTGGCACTCAGGCTAGAAGCGATGGACGACTCTGGCTCAGGGAGAGTAGGGAAGGGGGATGCTGTCCACATCCGCCCAGATCAGGGCCTCAGGCTGATTCCAGAAGACTCAGATGTGGCCTGAGTGGCACTGTTCTCGGCTGATTCATTCGGATGAGCGTTGCCCTTTCCACTCCGCCCACATCCAGTCTGTGTGCCTGAGCTTTCTCAACTGTCAGGCAGGTAAATAACAATGCCTGCCTCCCAGTTAATTCATGGAAAGTGCTTCCTGACTTATGCTCAGAACTCCGTAAATAAATGTTAACTCACATTGTTTGTCCCTTCAGGTAGTTGGGCAGGCTCTTGCCCCAGCCACTTGGCTCTCCCTTTGTACACCTCAAGCCAGCTGGAGCTGCCCTGAGCAGCCACCTGGGACCTTAGACACCTTGGCCCATCTGGCATTTGTTTGGCAGAATCTACCATGAGGCCTTCTGTTGGGTGGCCAGGTTGAAGGGTCTGGAAGAACTCCTAGCACCCCCAATCTGTCATCCCTGCCACAGGGACAGTAAGGACACTTGGTTCAAGTCACCTTGGAGATAGGGCCTCGCTCCCACATGCCCACAGGGAATGGGAACTGGCATTGCCTCCAGGAAGAAACCTCCAGGGCCACCAGGACCAGGGGACCTGCTTCCAAAGCCTGGCTGGGCTTCAACTTCTGAGACCCTGAACCAGCTATGTAACTTCCTGGAGCTTCCTCTGCTCAACCAGATGATAATTTGCTCCCTCAGAGACAGTCATGGGCCAGAAGAGAGAGATTGTGACCTCGAAGGGGCTTTGTTTCACATATAAAGTAGCATTAGCATTTTAGGATTCCAGCATTTTAAAAGCCAGAGAAATCGGTAATTTATTTTTCTCTGTGGCTATTTCTTTCTCTCTGCCAACTGCCGAGTGCCACCCCATCCCCGGGTAACCAGTATTACCGTGCTGCTCTCTAAACAAAACTCCTTTCAAAAGACAATGTTCAATTAGCTGGGCCACAGTTTCTGAACACTAAATTCAAAGAGTGGCAGCCTTTTCCCAATATATAATGGGAACGTCAAAGTCAGTTTTTTAGGACTACTTCTAATAACTGTGGACTGGGTAATTTGGACCAAATTCCCAGTTCAGGACAACTTAAAAAGCTGCTCAAAATTTGCGTGTGTGTGTGGGGCGGGGGAGGACATTTTGAACAGCTTTTAAAGTTATATATATATATATTTAATAAATATATGTACGTATATATATATATTTAATAAATATATGTACGTATATATATATATTTAAGTCTAATTGAGAGTATTGGGCAGGAAACAAAGCAGTGAAGAATTACAAGGCCAAGATCTGGGAAAAGAAGGCAACTCAGAGACATATGCATGGCATCTGGGACTACGTTTTCTGTAGGGGGTCTGCTGATTCTAGAAGACACTGCAAAGCCCACCAACAGGAAGGCTACCTGGCAAATGTTTCATGCTTTGGGTTGGAGCCCCAGTGGGCTTCACCCTATGAATATGAATGAAACAGAAGTAGGTCAGCCCTTAAAGTGACTCAAATCCTCTCATCCCCTACAAGTAGATGAAAGAGATCTGGCTCACTGCATCCCCAGCCACCTGCCAGATGTAAACATAATCCTCATAGAGGAAGATAACTCCATCCTAGACCTGAAATTACTTGTACTCAATTAAAACATTGCCAAGTATGGGAGGAGACAGGACAAAACTAACAAAAAACAAGAGAAACAACAGGCACTAGAAACAGACTCATGGAGGCTCCATATAAGGGACTAACTGAACTTTAAAATAACTATGCTTAATATGTTCAAATATATAAAAGATAAAATAGGTAATTTTGAAAGAGAACTGAAAATATTTTAAAAATGGTTTCTATTCCATTTGTAATGCCATCAATTTTATTTTTGAAATGCAAGGGTGCTACTTCCCCCAGGTAGGTCAACAGATGAGTAACAAGCAAAAAAAAAACCTCTAGGAAAAGCAAAAAGAGGCAGTCATGCTACATTCAAGCATGCTCATCTGACAGTGATAATAATACATTGTGTATGCACCATTCTAATTCCCAGTAGAAAACTTGTTGCTGGTTTATAAGATGCAGTTAAACATAGACACTTCCAGCCTGGGCAACATGGCAAAACCCCGTCTCTACAAAAAATACAAAAATTAGCCAGGCATAGTGGCACACACCTGTAGTCCCAGCTACTCGGGAGGCTGAGGCATGAGAATCGCTTGAGCCCAGGAGGTGGAGGTTGCAGTGAGCCAAGACTGCACCACTACACTCCAGCCTGGGTGACAGAGCGAGACCCTGTCTCAAAACAAACAAACAAACAAAAACAAACAACACAGACACTCCCTGAAACCCAGCAGACCACAATCTTAAAGGAATTTCTGCCTTTGAATAGAGGCCTGCCTCCCTCTTCCCTCGTACATGCCCGGATGCTAGCTCTACCCCCGGCCCAGAGCAGTCATGGCAAACAACAACAACGACAATAATAATAGGCAGCTTCCATCCACTGAGCATTTGTTTTGTGCCAGGCCACTGCTAAGGGCTTTCCACAAATTATCACATTTGATTTTCACAACCCTTTGAGGAGGCTGTGACTATTCTCCCCATCTCATAAATGGAGAAGCTGAGCGAACAAGCATCACAGCCAGGCTGTGAGTCCAGGTCTGCCTGCTCCTGACAGCAGGCTCCCAGGCTGGGACCCACTCCCTACCTGCAGATTGCTGGAATAATCCCTGGATGCCTGCAGCCAGAGGTGACCTTAGAACTCTCCTCTCCATAAACACTCATTAAACACCAACTATGTACAGGGTCCCAGCCTAGGAAACCTGGTTTTAAGGACCCAGAACCAAGTCTCAGGGAAGTGAGAACACTTTAATGGATCTGAGGTCTGTCCATCTCTTCTCTCTCCTCTTCCTCATTTCTGGAACGCAGTGTCCAGCACTCAGGGCTGACACAGGGATGGGCTGGGGATGACCCTAGGCCACATGCGCAGGATAAAAGGGGCCGTGCAAAATCCTGTTCTGGCCACCAGATCACTCCTAAGAAAGTTGGGTGGGGGCTGTGGAAGATGCTTCCTTCTGAAGAGGTAAGGGCAAGCCCCCACTGTGGCCCAGGTCCCAGGTCCCTTCCTTGGGAGCCAGCACTCAGAGAGAAGCTAAGTGCTGGTACCCCCATTTCTAACTTGGGTGCAGGCAGGGAGGCTCGGCCTTCAGACAGGCCTCCCTCACCCCACTGGACACCAATAAATCCTGGATGAGATCTGCAGAGGGCCCAAGGCCCTGGGGCAGTGGAGGGCTCAGAGGCCATGAGGCAGGGCCTGCAGCCAGCCCAGACCTAGGCCATGGTGGCCCCTGCCTGATTAGTGGCGTTACCTGAGTGGTTTGGTTGGGCAGGGTGGTCTCTGGGGCCAGCAAGGTAGCAGTGGAGATATGGTGAAGAGGGGACTAAGGGAGGAAGCAAAGGGCCAGGAAGGGCATAAGAGGGAAGTGGGGGCCAGGGGGGAGGCCAGATGAGGACGGTGTGGGGGGCGAGGGGCTCAGAGAGGGGCAGGGGGAGGCTTGGCAGGGGGAGGCTTGGCAGGGGGAAGACACACGGGAAGGGGAGTGGGGTTGGACGAGGCCTCTGTCCCACCCCAGGGTCCAGGCTCCAGCAGGTGGAGAACAGGCTCTTCCTGTGAGGATGCCACCAGCATGGGGGTAAGGGGTGACACCTGGAGGGACTTGCTGGCTCTGCAGCTGCACAGAAGTCCCATGTGATTCTGAGCGTGAATGATGGGGGTCGTGAGCAGAAAGGGGTGGAAAGGAGCAGGCAAGGTGGGGCCAGGTAAGCCGGAACTGGGGACAGTCCAGGCCTGGATGCCAGCCTGGGCTCTGGGGCAAGAGCTACCGAAGTCCTGTGGCCCAGGCTAAATCAAAGGGGAGGACAGGCAGCCTCAGGGTCACCTCACCCTGTCAGGGATTAAGAAGGAAACGGGTGAAGGGGAGGGAGGGGAGAACAGGGCTGTCAGCCCCACTGCTGGATGGGCCACACCCAATACCCAGACTCCACCATGTCCCCAAGCCTTCCTGCCCTCCTAGGCCCTGGAAACCCCAGACCCCAGCCCCTCCCCACCCCACTCCCTTAATCCCTGGCAGGGAGCAATTAAGCGAGTTGGGGAAAACTCACCCACAAGGCCCTACAGCTTCAGGGAGGTAACCCGGGGGATGTGGAAGAGCTGAGTCTCCTCAGAGCTGGTGGAGCTGCAGTGTCAAAGACAGAGAGTGAGCATACCCTTCCCCCCAGACCCTCAGCCCTGACACAGGGACAAACCCAGAGCCCTGAGGGTTTCTCCTCGGAAGCCCTGTGGGGGATGGGAAGGGTCCCACGAAGCTGCGCCCAAATGGATGCAGCAAGAAGGGTAAGGGGCAGACATACGGGAGAACTTCCTGGCTTTGGAGCTCCTCAGAGTGTGGCTCTTCAGGGCTCGCTCATGAGCCTCCTCTGCCTGGGAGGTCTCAGGAGGGGCTGTGACAGGGGACCCTGGCGGCTGAAAGGACACCTCCCTGGCCCCTGATGCTGCCTGCAGCCCTGGCAGCCCCTCACCTGAGGCGTTTCCGGATAGGACGGAAGTATTTGGAGGTCTTGACGGCAAAGATGATGCTGGGGATCAGGAAGAAGGTGCACCATGCCAGGCAGAACCAGAAGGCATTCTGCAACAAGGCGTGAGGTCGGCTCACCAACCCACGTGGCACCCAGCCTCACCCAGCTGCCTTGTCATCAGAGCCGGGGCAGAGGCCATGCCTGGCTTCACACCCTGCTCACCCGGCCCTCCCTGGAGAGCAGGAAGGCTCCGGGACTTGGTGAACAAGCCCCGATGAGCTGGGGCACTCACCCAGGGGTCAGCCATCATGTCACACAGGATCACACGGCTGTTGTCCAGGGCTCCGGAGAGGGGCTGGCAGGTGGCAATGCGCTGAGTCACCTGTGGCGCCAACATGAGGCAGGTGATGCAGAGACACCTGGACCCACAGGCGCACACCCATATTCAATTCAGGGAGAGTGGTTGACAGGGACACAGAAAGGCCTGGGGACACCATTGGGGCCACCGCACACTTGTATACACATGCAGAGAGGCAGGTACAGACAGATGCGGACATACTCTACAGACTCCTCGCTGGGCCCCTCCCCTTTCCATCTGTTCACCAGCCTGGATTAAGGCCTACTATGACCCAGCACTGTGTGTCAAGCCACAGTGCTTGAAAGCACACATGTGTGTGCATGCATACACACACACTCACACACACATAGACACACAGACACACTCAGGGTAAAACCAGACCACTGTTGCCCTAGTGTGGGCATCCAGACAGCTTGCAGAGGCTGTGTTCAGCAAGGGTCTGCATCGGGAGGTGGGCTTTGAGGATTGGCCTTGGACAAGCTGGGGAAAGGGCCAGCCCAGGGAAGGACCTGCAGGCCAGGTGTGATGAAACATTTTGGAGAACGCCAACCCTGCTCACACTCAGCTCAGGGAAGCGCTGCAGCAGAGGTGGGGTGGACAGAGCTCAGCCAGCAAGCAGGGGTGCAGATGCCAGGTTTGGGAGTTTGGGTTTGATCCTGAAGGCCTGGGTCACCCCCAAGGGGCTCCGGGGGCGGGGGCGGGGCAGAGCAGGGTGAACAGCTGGTCCGATGGAGCAGGGAATCAGTCATTGCTTCTGAGGCCCCACTCACCTCCTCTCTCACCCAGGCCACGTACTGGGAGAAGTAGCCCATCTCCCGGGCCAGGAAACACTCACTCACCTGCAGGAAGGAAAGGAGGTCTGAGCTGTAGGGGTCCCAGAAGCAGCAGTGCCCCCCACCCACGCCACCCCCCATGCCTGGCAACTTGAGGACAGGCCCAGCTTTCCTGGGAGCCACAGTGAGAAGCTGGGACTGGAGAAGCCTGGGGTGGAAGCCCCTTCCCTGTCCCACCCACCACTCACATTCCTCAGGATCCTGGCTGCCCAGGCAGGCAGCTCTCCTTTCAGGTAGGTGACATTGGCTAGGACATCTGAGGTCTCCAGCTGGAGGGGACGAGAGCCTCAACTCAGTGTCCCACATTCACGCATCCATTCATTAATTCAACACACACCACAGCACACTCAGCAGGAGAGGGTTCAGCTCCAACAGACAAGCCAAGGGTGGTGATCCCCCAGGCTCTGCTGCCACCCCCATCTTCCTCCCAACCCCACCTGCAACCTGGGCAGAGCTCTGAGGTGCAGAGTGAGATGGGCTCCTACTTCCTCCCCGCCTCTGCAGCCCCTGTGCTCCACCATACGTCCCCACCAACAGCAGCCACCTGGAGATTCGGGGCAGAGGACTCCAGGGCCCTGACGCTGAGGTTGAGCTTTGCCTGTGGAGAAGAGATCAGGGCTGGTTAGGGGAGTGCAAGGGAAGGGGAGGGAGGAGAGGGGAGGAAAGTGGAGGGGAGTGGAGGGGAGGGGAGGGGAGAGGAGGGGAGAGGAGGGGAGAGGAGGGGAGAGGAGGGGAGGGAAGGGACTCTCAGAACTTCCCTCCCCTTTCACTGTCCCCTCTCCACGTCTCCCCTCCCCCAGGCCCCAGGCTCCCCGGGCCTCCAAACTGACCACAAGGCTCTGCTGGGGGACGACCTTCTCCTGGTGAAGGTTTCTGAGTCCTTGGGCCTCCTCCTGCAGCCGCTGCCCCAGCACAGAATTGTCCTGAAAGGATACAAAAATCAGAACGGCCCCGCCCAGGACCCATCTACCCGTCACCCAGCCTTTCAGTCTGACATACCAAGAGAAAGTGGGAGTGCTGGGCTCAGAGGCAGAAAACTGAGGCCTCCTTAAGCTCCAGGGCCTGATCTTGGTTTGGGGGGCCTAGATCCAAATTCTAGGTTCACTCTAGCTTGCTGGGTGCCCCTAAGTCAGTCACAGAACATGCCTGAGCTGCAGGGGCACCTGCTGAAATTGAGGATGCTTCTGGCTCTGCCCACCCTGTGGGGTTGTTGTGGGGCCTATGGGATGTTTCAAAGAGAACTTTTAAACCCTAAATAGTTATAAATACAAAATGCTATTTTTCCCCTCAAGGGCAACTGCCATGACATCTCATTCATCCCAATGTCCTCACAGCACCTGTCCCAGCAAATCCCACAAGTGGCACACACAGAAACACCTGCCCAACTGCGTGAGGCCAGAGAAGTGATTTCATCTGCTCTGAGATGGAGGACAGTCCACCCAACAGATGAAGAACCTCCGGCTCAGAGATGCTGCATGTCTTGCCCAAGGCCACACAGCCAACGGGTGGCAGAGCTTGAGTCAGAACTGATGCTGCAAAACCCTCCAGCCCAGCCAGGGGTCAGGAGCCTCAGGCCTCACTGGTGGGGGTCCTCAGTTCCCTGCCTTTGCCCTCACATCCTCCCACCCTTTCCCGCCTCCCAAGCCCCCTGTGGCTCCTGCTGCCCAGTCGGGGCCCTGTTTCCCACTCACTTGGGCCTGGGCCAGTCCTTGCAGCTCCTGGGCCAGCTGCTCCATGCTGGTCTTCACCACGGGCCTCTGGATCTGCAGGTGGACAGAAGAGGCCAGGAGGGATGAACCCAGCTCCCCTGGGGCCCACCACCACCTGATCCCAGCCTCCAAATCCCCAGTCTTATCAAATATAACCTACACCAGCTAAGTGTATTGTGACACATCAGTCACAGTGAGTTTTCCCTGGAACTGTGAAATATTTCAGACATTTTCCCAGTGAGATAGAAACAACAAGAACAAATAAGGCACCCTCTGGTGTAACTAAGGAAGAGGCAACTTCCCAATGCGTCCTCGGCAGCAGTGGGTTCAGGACCATGAACAGCAACACATGCTGTTGGGTTGGGGGAGAGGTTGTCCATTCCTGTGTGACCGGGGTGGTGGCAGGAGGACAGGCCCAGGGGCACATGATCTGGGGACACCTCCACAGGAAGAGGCCCCAGGAAATGTGGAAGAGCCAGAGCTGGGACAAGGCAAGATGCACACCCAGCTCCTCTGTGGGCCCCTTCGTTCCATCACCACCTGCTGAGGAAGCCCTGCTGAGGTGCCCACCGCTGACCTGAACGAGGAAGTCGGGGTAGTGGATGCGCTGAAGCCCACTGCTCTGCAGGGCCTCCAGGTCCCGGCGGGCGGCTGAGCTCAGCAGGTCCAGGCTCTGTGTGTCTACTTTCAGGCTCTGCAACTCCTGCCGTAGCTTGTTGGTATACTGGGAGAGCAGGCGCAGGGTGGGAGTCATGCCCAGTTGCTGAGCCAGGACCCCAGAGATGCTCCCCTAAGCACAGGGGTCACCAGGCGATATGGTTTGGATATTTGTCCCCTCCAAATTTCATGTTGCAATGTGATCCCCGGTGTTGGGGGTGAAGGTGGGCCTGGTGGGAGGTACTAGATCACGGGGGCGGATCCCTCACGTATGGCTTAGTGCCATTGCCATGTGATGAGTGAGTTTTGCTCAGTTATTTCACGTGTTTGAAAGAGTGTGGCACCTCTGCGTTGGCTCTCTCGTTCCCTCTCTCCCTATGTGATGTGCTGGCTCCCCTTGGCCTTCGGCCATGAGTGGAAGCTTCCTGAGGCCTCCCCAGAAACGGCTGCCGGTGCCATGCTTCCTGTACAGCCTGCACTTAAACCTCTTTTCTTTATAAATTATGCAGCCTCAGGTATTGCTTTTTTTTTTTTGGTTGGGGAAGCGGACAGGGTCTTGCTCTGTTGCCCAGGCTGGAGGGCAATAGCACAATCACAGCTCACTGAAGCCTAGATCCCCCGGGCTCCAGTGATTCTACCACCTCAGCCTCTCGAGTAGCTGGGACTACAGGTGCAAGAAACCACACCTGGCTTTTAAAAAAAATTGTAGAGGAGGGTCTCCCCATGTTGCCCAGGCTGTTCTTGAACTCCTAGGCTCAAGTAATCCTTCCACCTCAGCTTCCCAAAGTACTGGGATTACAGGCATGAGCCACCATGCCCCAGCCTCAGGTATTCCTTTATAGCAACACAAGAACAGACTCACACAGCAGGCCCTCAGGGCCCCCTGCCCTGGACACCCCAAGCCCCAGACAGGCTCCCAGTAGGCCCCTGCCCCAAATGCCAAGACCTGGCCTTCCTCCAGTGCCCATCTGGCTTCTGGGCAGAGACACAGACCTTCCCTGGCCACCTGAAATAAAATAGCTCTCTCAGCCGCTCTTTATCCCATCAGCTGTGTCGAGGCCTTCAAAGCACTTGTTGCTCTGAAATGATCTTATTTGTGGGTTAATTGTTCAATGCTGTCAGCTCCACAAGAGTGGGACTTTGCCTGCCTATTCAGCCCCAAACCCCCAGCATCTAACTCGGAGGGTCACACATGGTGGGCAGGAGACAAGTTTGTTAGCTGTGTGAATGAATGAATGAATGAATGAATGAATGAATGAATGAAACTGTATTTTCAGGAAAGAGCCTTAGCATTTTCCTACTATCACTGGAAGAGATTTAGAGGTCATAAAAGTCAGCCCAGTGTTTAACAGATAAGAAACTGAGGTCAGAGTGGAGCGTCCACTTGCCGAGGTTACACAGGTGGTTAGAGACTGCAGCCCAGCTTGGCTCTCCTCCCCGCATCCCTCCAGGCTGCCTTCTCCTGGAGGAGAAAAGGCCTGGCCCTCTCGGGTGGGGGCCTTCGGGCCGTGTCTCAGGCATCAGTGGCAGCAGCTTCAGGAGAAGTGGAAAGGTGGCTGGTGCCCTCCCCGTGCTCTGGAAAGCCCTGTGTGTTACTCATGTCTGCCTACCCATCAGTGTCTCCTTTGAGGACGAGGATTCTTACAGCCACATTTGGTACATTGTCAGGTGGCCTCAGAGGACTGCCCAGTGCATCTGAATCCAAAGCCCTATCTATCCAGACTCTCCTGTGAGCTGGACCCTCCCCTGCCAAGGACCAGAGCCCAGGACTCCTCCCCTCGAGAGCCATGGCTTCCTGCCAGTAGAGGATGGGGGCTCCTCTGCCCAGGCCCCTGGTTCATCCCTCCCTGGCCAGGCTTCCTCCACAGGGCAGTGTCTCAGCCTAGCACTGAGATATCGCCTGCTCGGGGAGCTCCTGTCTGGTTAAAGATGCGGAAGGAGGAGTGAGCTGCATAACTGTCCCAGGTTGTGCAGTTCAAGGTACAGAGTTGGGGCTGGGCCATCCGGCTGTGCTGTCCGTGGGCCGAGGCTGGTTGGTGGATCCAGGGGTTGGAAGGGTTTCCCAGAACGATGCAAAATCAGGAGTTAGCATGCTCTGTGTTTGGGGAGGGCGAGGGGAACCAGGGCCAGGGGATGTGGGTTTCCCCAGCATATGCTTAGGAGCGTGGAAGTCGAGGAGTGAATGTCTTCCAGCTGCTGTGCACCATGAGGAGAGCCCCATTCTCAAAGTCCATCCCTCTTGTGAAACAGCCCTTCCTTGCCTTCATTCTAGAACTGTCTCTTTCCAGCATTGGCAAGTGTCTCCAGTTCTACACACCAAGTTCCAGTAACTCCAGAGGTTACAGGAAGAGGCTTGTCAGGCTGGGGATGGAATCCTGCCACCACCACCTCCCACCTGCGTGAGCTTGGCAGGCCCTCCACCAACGTTAGCCAGACTCACCACCATCCTTGTCACTGCCACGTCCTTCCCCAGCCTCCCCCTCCCAAGTGGAGCATCCCAGCCAATGCCTGTCCTCAGTCAGGACACATGGGCCCCCTCATCCTCCTGCTCACTGTCACCAGCCTTTCCTGCTGCCACCTTGGCTGTGCTTGGGGCTGGACATAGCCTTCAGGTGCACACGGACCCACCTACACACCCGGAACCTTCCCCAGAGCTGATAACTGGGCCTCTGCCCTTGGGCACCTTAATCGCTCACACAGACTTCTCAGGTCTCCTAGGTTCAAAGAGACGGTGCCTCCACAGAGGCAAAAAGACCAGAGGAGGGGGATCTGAGGAGGGCTCCTCACAGTTTCCAAAACGTTCTCTCACCTGGTTGATATCCAGGTGCTCCTCCAGGTCGTAGGAGTCGTTGAGCTGCAGGACTGTCCAGAGCGCTGCCCCTTCCTTGCACTGCCTGAGGAGGAGTGAGGGGTGCAGACGATGAGCCTTGGGGGTGGCGGGGGGGCTGATGTCCCCTGAGGGACACCGGCCCTCCTCCTTCCTTCCCCGGTCCCAGCTCTGCCCAGGCTGTCCACTCACTGATAGGCTTGGTGGATGCTGATGTTCTTCCTCAGGCCAAGAAGTTGCGACAGGTTCATGGACGGGGGCAGGTTCCCTGGGGTGTCTGCAAACTGGGGATGGGGCAGTGAGAAATGGGCACAGAGCGGGGTGGGGGCAAGGCCACCCTGGTCCCCTAGGGCCTGGCCCTGTGCTGCTGTGGCACAGCACAGACCAGGGGTAGGAAACATCCCCTCACCCCAGCTCACACCTGGCCTCTAACTCTGGTGACCCCTGGGCCCCAAATCCTTACAGGGGCTCTTCCCATGAATCCCTAGGAGGGTTGCCCAGCCCGATCTTCTGCAGAGAACCCAGTCCAGCATCGCAGCTCACCGGGCACCAGGGTCCCAGCTCCCAGACAGTGTTAGGAGATGAGAGGGAATGGGTCAGGGTGCCATCTCTCAGGGTCCCTGCCCTGGGGCCTGGGCAGCATCTCAGGGACTCATGGGTGCTCTCTCCCTCCACCATCCACTGGCGGGTTTCTGTCTCTTTCCTTGGCCATGTCTGTCTCACTCCTCCCCTCCCTCTCTCCCTTTTACCCCCCGACCCCCACTTTCCCCCAACCCTCCTGCTCTGCTGATACCGCCCCCCACCTCTCTCCCCAGGAGGGCCTGTGAGCAGAGACAGGCCTACCTCAAAGAGCTCGCCGTTCTCCCAGCTCTGGCACACCAGCGTCTGCACGTTGCCACCCACCAGGAAGGTGGCGAACACCAGGAGGATGAGGGGTGCAGCAAAGAGGAAGCTGAGGCCCACACCTCTGGGGTAGGCGAGAGGCAGGACTGAGGGACAGCAGGGACTGGCTGCCCTGACCATACCCTCTGTCCCACCCTCACCCCAGGGCCAGCCTGCTCAGCCAGTTGGCCCCAGCACAGAGCCTTTAGAGGAAAGGAGCTTGGAGGACTTGGCCTCCTGGAGAGGAGGGAGAACCCAGTATTCCTGACTGTCCCGGCCTCACCTTCACCTCATCCCCACCCTGTTCCTGGTTCCCTGGCTGGCCCTGGCAGCCTAGAGGAGAAAACAGCTGTTTTGTTCAAAGAGCCAGGACTATCCGGGCTCACACCTATAATCCCAGCACTTTGGGAGGTTGAGGTGGGAGGACAGGTTGAGGTGGGAGGATAGCTTGAGTCCAGGAGTATGAGACCAGCCAGGGCAATAAGTGAGACCATGTCTCTACAAAATTTTAAAAATTAGCTGGGGGTGGTGGCACACGCCTGTAGTCCCAACTGTTTGGGAGGCTGAGGTGTGAGAATCGCTTGAGCCTGGGAGGGTGAGGCTATAGTGAGCCATGATGGTGTCACTGCACTCCATCCTGGGTGACAGAGCAAGACCCTGTCACAACAACAACAAACAAAACAAAAAACAAACAAAACCCAAAGAGCCAAGACTGCTCACTTCTGTGCCTAGGGCCCATGGAGGTGACCTACTCCAGGACCCAGCACTCAAAAGGGTCACCTGGCATGACCAGGCATGACCTGCCGACAGGGCAGAATCCCAGCAGGTCTGAGGAGTAAAGATCTTAGACCAGGGGGCTCGAAGGGCTTATGAGGCAGGCACAGCCCCATGTCAGGCTGTGAGGCTTGGAAAGTAAAACATGGGGTGGATTTCAGCCCCCACTTACCCCCTTAGCCAGGTACTCTTGTTCAGTGAACAGCCTGTACAACTGTATGTGGCAGCCTTGGCCTTAGAGACCGTCTAGTCTGGGGTTGGCAAACAGATTCCACCTCTGGTGCTGCTGCCTATTGGTGGTGGGGGCCGCCTGGAAGCTGGGGTAGGGACTCTAGGCTGTGTCTGACTCAGGGTAAGGAGTGCCCATTAGGTGCTACAGTTGCCCCTGCTGTAGGAAGGAAGAGCTCCTTGTTGGCCATTCCTGCTCTGGTTCAACCCCTTTATTCAGATGATGACACTGACACTGGCAGCCACACCGGGAGCTATGCTCAGGAGCGAGAGTAATCAGCCAGCCCTATAAGAGGGGACCCTTCCCCTCTCCCAGCCCTTTCTTACGCCATGAGGAAGCGGGCTCCAGCCTCGCCCTTGGCTTCTGGGTGGCTGGGGTCGTCCCTGGCAGACAGGCCCCAGATGCCCAGATTGAGGCCCAGCAGGTTGCAGAGCACCACGAATAGGACCACGGAGCACAGCACGCAGCCCACGATCCACCTGCCACAGAGAGGACATGGGTGTCACTAAGAAAGGAGGTGGCTGGCACCAACATGGACAGGTGCGGGACGTGGCGACCGGGTGTGGCCTCTAACCCCAAGGCTGGGGCTTCAGAAATGCAGATACAGACTCTTCCTGAGGCCCTACTGCTCTTGTGTGGTCTCCAGGCTCAGGTTCCAAGGGCACACAGCCTCATAGGGACTTGGAGGCCTCTGGAGTCAGGGGTCTTGGCTTAAAAATATGCAGAAGCGGCCGGGCGCGGTGGCTAAGGCCTGTAATCCCAGCACTTTGGGAGGCCAAGGCTGGTGGATCACAAGGTCAAGAGATAGAGACAATCCTGGCCAACATGGTGAAACCCTGTCTCTACTAAAAATGCAAAAATTAGCTGGGCGTGGTGGCGCACGCCTGTAGTCCCAGCTACTTGGGAGGCTGAGGCAAGAGAATCGCTTGAACCGGGGAGGCAGAGGTTGCAGTGACCCAAGATCGCCCCACTGCACTCCAGCCTGGTGACAGAGCAAGACACCGTCTCAAAAAAAAAAAAAATGAAAAAAACAAAAACAAACAAACAAACAAAAAACACAGAGGCTCAGTACAGTCAGGGGCTGATAGAGGCTGGGAATGGGGCTCAGGGTGTCAGGGTGGCATAGAGGCTGGGCTGCCCACCCCACCCCACCCCATCCCACCCTGCGGTGCCCAGCACCTGTAGGTCTCGTATCTCTGCACCTCCTGCAGGTAGGGGCGGCTGCTCTCCTCCACCTCCTGCAGTGCCTGGGCCCAGCGGGAAGCTGCCTCCAAGCCCGGGAACCCTTCAGCCAGTGTCCTCACCCCTTCCGGCTGCTGGGCCACTGCCTTCTTCAGCTCTGCCCAAAGTAACAGGGACTTGTGGGATGCGGAGGGCACCCTGGGGCCCAGGAACAAGACAAGCGGGCAGGAAGAACATCTGGGAACCACAGAGGGAAGACAGTCCCCCGCCACCCCAGTCCTCTCTCAACAAGCCTCCCTGGTAGGGGTGGGGTGGGAAGCCATGCCTGGCAGCTGCCTCTGACCCGTGTGGCCTAACCTTGCACCACGCTGGATGTCTGCATGGCAGCCAGGGCTGGAAGGGCGTTGAAGGTGCTGTTCTCCTGCAGGAACCAAGTAGTGCTGGGCCTCCCCATCTCTGCCCAGTGTCCCCTCTTGGGAGACCCCAAAGTCACCAGGCCTAGAGGGAGGGCCCCCCTCAGTGCTCCCAGTTTCCCTCTTTTCTCTTGGTCGCTGCCCTCCTCTCCCATCCCCTGGCCCAGTCTGACTCAACTTCCCAAAACGTTGCTCCTCCCGGACCTCTTCTTCCTACCCCCATCCCTCTCCCACCATTGCAGTGAACTCTCAGCCGCCCTCCACACAACTGCCAGGTCTAGCTCCTGAAGGTCCAGCTCCAGTCCACCCTTCTAGCCTCAGCTCTGACTTCCTTCCTTCTGGAACCTTCCACTCCAGCCACCCAGCATGGCTGACTCATCATTTCCCCAGCTCCAGGTCCTGGGTCCTGGGCGCTGACTCACAACACCGCATCCTCCCCCTTGGCCCATCTCCACCCAGGGGAGCCGCCTGCCCTCTGGGCTCAGACTGAGCACTGCTCCCTTGCCACCCCCAGACGCCTGCCGCCTTGAAGGGCCCAGCTCTCCCATCTGAGCACAGATTGTGTGCACACCAAGGATGGTCGTCGGGAGTCCCCTGCCCAGGGTGCTGTGTGGTGGGTGGGACCCCAAATATTAGGTTCAACTGGGTTCCTGCCCAAAAGGGGGAAACAGAGGCCCTCACTTGGCAGGTGAGGGAGAAATCAGGCAGACCAGGTGGCTCTCACCTCCTGGACCATGCTGGAGAAGTTGGCCTCGGGGACACCTTTTAGCTGGTGCAGGACATGGTCCACAGAGGGCACCTGAAATGGGGGAAGGTGGGTTATGACAAAGTTCATGGAGAGGCCTGAAGGGGATCCCTGAGGGTGGATGAGGGGGGCAGGGGCCTCTGAACCCCAATGTCCTCAAGTGTAAAATGAGGACTGCCATGGCTCTTACTGCCCCTGGTGGCAGCAAGAACTCAAGGAGCTCACACACATGAAGTTCACGTACAGGGCGTGGCCTGGGGAGCACTCCACCCACTGCCAGGATGACCCGCATTAACCCTGGGTGGGTGGAGCAAGGGAGGAACATTGGGGCAAGGGGACTGGGAATTTGCCAGATCCCAGGAGCAGCAGGCAGCTAGCCCTCCGTGGCTTTAAGAGGACTCTGTCCTGGGTCTGCACCTGGCTGAAGTCAGCACCCAGCTCCAGGGTGCGGGCCCAGCTCAGGGCCCCTGCACAATCTCCCTGGCACCTGGCCTCCTGCAGCAGCTCAAGGAGGCGGTCCCGGTGTTCCCGGATGGCTGGCTCCAGGTCCTGCTGCCCGGCCTGCAGCTCTACCACTGTAGCATTCAAGGTTTGCAGGTGGTGCACGGAGACCTGCAGGACTGAGAGACCCACACCCAGCCTGAGCAGGGTCCACCATATGCATCCCCAGACGCCTTGCAGGAGGCAGAACTCCCCTCCCCCAGCCAAAGGGACCTGCAAATCATTGACCTCCTGCCTACAGTGGAAACTGCCCCAGGGCACATTAAGCCAGGGGAGGGGGGCTGGATCCTGGGGTACAGCGATGGGGAAGTCACAGGTGGGGCAGAGGTGGCTCAGGAAATCCAGGGCTAGGTGCAGGTGGGATCGCCCCAGGAGGACACCCGCTGGGCTCCACACTATCCAGGATGCGGCTCCAGCTCACCCTGGCCCAAACTGCCCACGGCCGCCAGCAAGGGGTACACGGAGCTCCTGAGCTGAGTGTGGATCGCGCTCCCAATGCTCACACCAACACCTGCAGAGCACAGGGCAGTCTGCAGGGTGGGACCCCAAGAGTGGAGGGGCCCTCCCCATTCCCATCCTGCCTCCCCAGGCCCCACCGGGCTCTGCAGGAGCCGGGGGGTGGAGGGGAGTGAAGGAGCGGGGACACGGCTTCTTCCTCCAGCAGCTGAGTGGCGGCCACTCTTGCTCTCCAGCCGGCCTGATCCCCACCTCTACCAGCCTGTTCCCGGGGGTGTCCAGAATGAGGGAGTGAGAGGCCCCCACCGAGGCACCCGAGCAGGGGCCCTGGAAGGAGCCAGCCCACCTGCCAGTCCCCGAGACCCTCACCATCCAGCTCCTCTGAGACTTGCTCCTGGGGCAGGGAGAATTGCTGTGCCACGGCCTGCAGCTCCTAGGCAAACACAAGGCCCTGAGGCTGCCCTTCCTGGTCACCCACAGTCCTTACGCCCTTCTCTCCCTGGCCCCTTCCCTGCCCCTATGGCATCCACCCTGAGGGTGGTCGACTCTCAGGCAAGGGCGGGAGAGGAGGCGGCTTTCAGATGCGCTGGTTATGGGCCATCGAGGGCCCACTCGGCTCTGTCCTGCCCGGGCCCAGTGCTCACAGGGGCACATGAGGGTGAGGGGTAACAGTGCTCACTTGGGGGACATCAGAGACCAGGCCCCAGAGGCTGAGCAGGGTCTCAGGCATGGCCTCGATGCTGGGGCCCATCTGTTCATGCGTGCGCTGGTTGGTGACAAAGGCACAGACCACACCAATCCTGTGGGAATGGAGGGAGGAGGAAGGTGCTTGCTGGGTAAGAGGGAGCCTGGGGGCCACAGCCCGCCCTACCCGGGCCCTGGGCAGCGCCTTACAGCAGCAAGAGGGTGGTCAGCAGCAGGAAGACCATGAGGGCCGCGCGCTCACAGGCCAGCGCCTTGTGCTCTGTCTTCACTCGTCCCCCGCAGCGCCGGTGGCAGCGGCAGCAGCAGAAGCAAAGCCCGGCAGTGGGCACCAGCAGCAGGTAGAGGCCCGCGATCACAGCGCATACCACGTAGCCCGCCTCGTACCGCACCACCTGGGCAGGCAGCAGGGCATGAGGGGTGACCCGACCCCCACTGCCCAGCCCTGGCTTCTGCCTGAGTCCAGAGGGAAACCAGAAGGGGCGGGAGTGCCGTCAGGGGCATGGCCTGCATCTCATGGAACCCGTCCCAGAGGTGACCGCATTCTTACTGCTCATCACCATCTTACACAGGAGGAAGCTGAAGTTCAGGAAGTTCCAGCTCCCTGCAAACCTCACTGCCAGTAAATGGCAGAGCTGTGGTTTGCACCCAGGTCTACGGACTGCAGCGCCCACAGAGGAGGGGAGAGGATGCCTGAGCCCCTGCCTAGTGGACACCCAGCGAGGTGGGCTAAGGGGAGCCAAGGCTTTTCTGCTCCCACCCTGCTGCTCACCCCAGAACTCCCTCCCCCAGCACCTTTCCCCAGCTTGCTCACCTCATTCACCTTCACGGAGGCCAGCTCATTCAGTAGGGCCTTTACCAACTCTATGGGAAAGAGCCAAGCTGAGGATTTGGGGACAGCCACTGCCCTGCCCCTGTGTCCCTCCTCTCCCCACTGCCAGGGCAAAGTGGCTCTGAGGCAGGGCTCCTGCCACCACCATGGCACCCTCGCAGAAGGCTGCATCACCGCAGCCCTGTGCCATCCTGCCCTGACCTCAGCACTGCTACAGGAGGGCGAGCAGAGAGGAGGCTGCAGACCTCTCCTCCTGGACCCTACAGGTCAGTCCTGAGCCTGGGCAAAGGCAGAGAAGGGGTCTGGCCTGGCAGTTCTTCCCCTCAAGCAGCAAGGGACAGGACTGGGAGGGTCCTTCAGACACTCCTGGACCACCCAACCCAAGCACCGATAGACTAAGAGGATGTCTGAGTCAGGTCTAATGTATTTCCAATGTAACCTCCTCACTTTACAGACAGAGCACCTGAGGCTCAGAGAGGAAGTGAGGCTTACCCACAGTCACACAGCAGGTTCTGGAGCCCTCCCCAGATCCTCCGCCTTCTACCCCAGGAAGATGGCAAGTGCCTGCTTGTAGGTTGGGCACATCCCATGGTAGAGTGGGACAGAGGAAGCCGGGCTGGGGACCCAAATGCTGAGGCCCTCATGGGGGAGGGGCACACTCACCTGAAGGGAAAGGATTGAGCTGCACCACCGAGAGGAAGCGGCGCACGGTGCCATAGAGGGAGTCCAGGAGTCCTGGCGCACGAACTCGAGGGGCCAGCCACCGGGCCCTGGCTGCTGGGGTGAATGTCAGGTGCTCTGCCGGGCCAAGGAACTTGCAGTCTGTGGCCCCTGCAGCCAGCTGACTCAGGGCCAGCCCCAGGCCCAGGCCCAGCAGGGGAGCCAGCAGAGCCAGTGTGTGCTTCATGGGGTCAGGAAGGTAAGGGGCTCAGGCTCAGGAGGGAACAGACAAGCCCAGGGCAGGCCATACATCCTTCTCCAGCCTCTGTCCCTCTCTCCACAGCTCTCAAAACCTGCCCGACAGGTTTGGGTTCCTGAGCTACCTGGCCTCCCGCCTCCCTGCCTGCCTTGGAGCATAGGAAGGGCAGGGGTGGAGGCACAGGGTAGGGGGCAGGGCCAGGCTGGGACCGCCCTTGGTGGCCTCGGGTGGAAGCCTGGGCTCCCCACCACCTAGATCCTTGCAGGCAACGGCTGCCACCAGCTGGGTCCGAAAGGCACCTCAGCAGCTTGGGATCACCTAGAATGGCCCCATTTCAAATATTCTGTTCCATGCCCAGCCCCAGCAGCCCAGTCTAGGAGCTGGGAAAACAGCTGCTTGGTGAAGCCCTGGTCAAAATGGTCATAAAACCAGAGACACAGGGCCAGGACCCAGGCTTGCTCTCCCTGCTTCATCTGGAACCTGCTCTGTCCCTGCAGGTCATGCCCGGTGCCCACTGCCAGGCCAATCCTGAACAGAGGCCCACCCTGACACGCACAGGCCTTTGGGAGGGCAAATCCCAGAGGTATGCCCTTTGGCCTGGCCATACCTCATCCAGTCAGCAGTTGAAAGAACTGATAGGATATGACCAGAAACGTGTCTGCACAGGTCTCTGTTTTGTGAACAGCTGTATGCCCAATGCCCAGAAAGTCGCCTGTAGCTGAGCAGGTCATGGGGAAATTCACTGAAGGGCTGGAGGATATCAGAAACAGTCCTGAAAGCCACCACTGAGGAACCAGCAAAATGAGCCTCTTACATCACACACTGGGCAGTTGCTAAAGAACATGCCGTGGAAATGTCTCTTGTGACTGAAAAATATTCACATGCACTCATAAGTGCAAATAGCAGATTACAGACTAGCACACGCAGTGAAGGTGTAAAACGGTGATCATTTCCGCCAATAGCAGATTACAGACCAGCACACGCAGCGAAGGTGTAAAATGGTGATCATTTCCTCAAACAGAAGATTACTCCGTCTCTACTAAAAATACAAAAAAAAAAATGAGCCGGGCGTGGTGGCGAGCGCCTGTAGTCCCAGCTACTGGGGAGGCTGAGGCAGGAGAATGGCATGAACCCGGGAGGCGGAGCTTGCAGTGAGCTGAGATCGTGCCACTGCACTCCAGCCTGGGTGACAGAGCGAGAATCTGTCTCAAAAAAAAAAAAAGAAGATTACAGATCAGTACACACAGTGAAGGTGTAAAACAGCAATCATTTTGCAGTGGAGTTGCCGGCAATTTTTCATTCTCCTTTGCTCACGTGTACTTCCTCATTTCTGTGCACTAAACGCGTGTTACTCGTATTTAAATAAGTAATCAAAGTTTGTGAGATTCCATGGCAGCTCCCTGCCCCTGACTGGGAGCCTTGGAGAGAAGGGCTGGCTCCATGGCTCCCAGGACCCCCAAGCTCAGCCCAGGGCAGTAGTTCAGGATGGTCTGCAGGGTGGGTGAGAGGCTCAGGGATGTCCTGCTGTCCCTGGTAGGGTTATCAGGCAATTAGGGCCTTACGTGTGAATCAGGGCTGGGCCCACAGTAGAGCTCTTACCCTCCCCATTGCTGCCTCTGTGACTTTCTCAGAGCCAGGGGATGAGAGAACACAATGGTAGAAGGCATAGTCCAGTTACAGTGGGGTGAGACAGGAAGTGGGGCTTCATCAAAGGGTGATTCAGAGATGAGGATCAGGGATGCAGTGAAGAATAGTCTAGGGGTGTCCTGGCACCCTAGGTCTGGTGGGAGCTGGCCATGGACCCCAGGGAGGGTCCAGGGCCAGCTCCTCCTGTAGGGGTCCAACCCCAGGGTGTGCAGAGAGGCCCCTAGCCACACTGCCTATGACTGTGTTGTGAAGCTCAGTGCAGGCTGTGCCTAGGCCCTCCCACAGCCCTTCCTCCCGACTCACCTGAACCCAGCATCTATGTTGGGGGCTCCTGGTTCCACAGAGGCTGCATTGAGGAAGGGCTGGTCTCTCCAGGGCCTCACTGCTTCTCCCTTCTCCTTCTCCCTCCAATTTAGGCTGTTAGAAAGAATGCCTTCCCCTGGGATGGCTTTCTAACCACCCCATCAGCAGCAAGATGGACACAGCCCTCACCCGAGCACCTGCCGCTTAGGCGATTTTGTGTCTTCTGACTCGGGTGCACTAGTGGTGGGGGAATTCAGGTCCCAGCTTCCTGGTTAGTAGTAAAAGCCCTTGGAGACTTGGGAAATAAGCAGCTTTGGCCCCACGTGCTCCACTCCCACCCCCTCTCTCTTCTCAATTATTGTCATAATTAAGCCAATCATTGGCTACTGCTATTGTTTTTATTTGTGTGTATGGTGAAAACACTGTAGTTTGAAGATAATAATTCCCCTAGGAAAAACAAAAACATACCAAGCCTCTTCTTCAGCCCAGGGCGGGATGAAGATGCTGAATCTGCCTGTTGAACAGATGGAGAAATAGATGCATGGAAGAAAGGACTATTCTGAGTCAGCAGCCAAGCCAGGAGTGGACAGGACAGTTCCCCTTCCCCCCAGCAGGATCCCAATAAACAATTTATCATCGGATCCACCAGTCAGCCCCTGCCTCCACCCATCCCCAGCCCTGTGTGGGAGAGCAGGTGGGGTTCAGGATCCAGCCCTGGAGTTGGGCAGAGGAGGCAAGGAAGCCACTGCCCTAATTGAATTCCCTGGAAAAGCCCAGCAAGCAGGCAGGTGGGGGCTGCTCACAAGCATGGGTGCCCTTGGGGCAGCCACTAAGGGGCTTGGGGGGCAGGGCAGGCCACCCAGCTGCAGGGCTTCTGGAAGTGGGGATGGGAGGCCAAGGGGGGTCCTGGCCCCTCCTTTCCCTCACATCTTTCTGGGCATACCTGCACTTTCTCTGCTCCTGTTGACCCCTGGCACCCTCTGACCTCCGTGGGGAATTCTTTGGTTGACCAGGAGAAGCTTCTCCTGGTTGCCCTGGAAACACCTCCTGGGGCCACGTGCTCACCCTGACTCACGCATCTCCAGAAGATCGATGTTCCCCAAACCCCACAGCCCCAAGGTGCGGAAGAGGCGGGGAGAGATGGAGACCTCAGCAAGGGAAGGGACTCTGCCCTCCAGAAAGCCCCAGGGCCCCTCTGGCTGCCTCACACAGCCATGCTGGGAATAGACCAGCAAGATGCTCAGACACTCTCAAGGAAACAGCAGGCAAGAAGACAGGTTCCTCTTCTTTCTTGCCTCTGCTATCCATGCCATACACTGGGAATGAGTTTTAAACCAATTCAAGGGGACAAAGACCCACTTACCAGATCATCAAGGCTACGCACGGCCACTGTCTTAGTCAACATTTTTGATGGCAACAATGAAAAACCCACTTAGGTCAGCTGAAGAATTTGAAACATGAGGATTTATTATAGAGATACAAGGGCACTTTTGGAGTCCAAGGTCCTTCAGGAGGGCTCAGATCCCGGAAAAGGAAATCCATCAAGTGCCCCCATGTCTGTCTCAGACCCTCTCTCTGGGACGGGGCCTCTCCCCAGTGCACGCTGGCCTCCTCTGCAGAATAGATTCTCCTCATCCAACATGGCAGAGAGGGCTGCCCTGCCGATCTGAGTCTATGTGTTCTCCCAGGTGGTCTACTATGAGTCCCACCAGCACCACAGGCCACACTCTTCATCCTAGTGGGAGGAAACTGATGGTCCCAACCGGAGGCAGGGTCTCCCAGTCCACCAGGGCCCTCTGGCTACAACAGCCTTATATGGAGTAAGCATAGCGGCTGGGCCCAAGCTTGTGGCACATGGTGGCCATGGGGGAACAGGCCTCTGGGATGCCTTTCTGGGAATATTTTGGAGCATTTTGACCACCACGCTCCCAAAATGTGGGTCCCTGCCTGACTTCTTGTCCCTCATTCTGGCATGCAGCCAGACATCCAGCCTTCCAGCACCCCTCCTAAGTATTGCTTCAGAAAGGACCATCGTGAATGCAGATGGACCCCAGGCTCCCCTGCTTCAAACCTCCTAGCGGCTCCTACACTGGACTCCTTAATTTGTCTCCAGGGCCCTCCAACATTGGAGCCCTTCTCCGTTCCCCTGGCTAGATCCTGCAGTCCTCGGCTCACCCTACCACACTCCCCTCCATCCTGGCCCTGCTCATGATTTCCCTTCTTTATCCCCAGCCTCCACGTTCACTCAATTTCTGCTCATCCTTTAAGCTTGGTTCAGTGGTCACCTTCTCTAGGACCCCTAGGCTGAGTGAGGGGTCCTTTCAAGGCATCCCTTAATATGAAACCTGCCCCCATATTACCCGTTTACCTGTCTGTCTCCCCCACATAGACAGGACTGAGTTTTACTCACCGTCACATCCTCTTCAGCCCTGAACACAGAACCCAGCATATTCTCAGCATATTCTCCAGTCTCGAAACTTTGGAAAAGCACATCTGAATACATTTAAAGATAAGATCTGTTCCCCATAAGGGCCATGAAAATAAACAAACCAAAACCCCTGGCCGGGTGCAGTGGCTCACGCCTATAGTCCCAGCACTTTGGGAGGCCAAGCCGGGTGGATCACTTGAGGCCAGGAGTTCCAGCCCAGCCTGGCCAACATAGTGAAACCCCATCTCTACTAAAAATACAAACATTAGCTGGGTTGGTGGCAGGCACCTGTAATCCCAGCACTATGGGGGCCGGGGTGGATGGATCGCTTGAGCCCAGGAGTTCAAGACCAGCTTGGCCAACATGGTGAAACCTTGTCTCTACCAAAAATACAAAAAAAAAAAAAAAAAAAAAATTAGCCAGTCTCATAACCTGGTCTTCAAATAAATAAATAAATAAATAGATTTTTTAAAAAGAAGAAGAATGAATGGGTGAATCCCCAAACTAAAACTCTGTGCCGCTGTGATGAGTGAGCCTGGTGAGGAAGGGCGAGGTGGGTCGGGTGGGAAAGGGAGGAGGCTCTTCAGTGAGCCCTGGGACCTTCTTCATGAGCCTCTCCAGGCAGTAAGGATGGGATGCAACCCAAACAGAGGCTGCCCAAGTGTGGAAGTGTGTGAGGGTTTCAGCAAAGTGTCGAGAGTCCCCATGACGGCGACGGCAGGCCAGTAAGGCACTAGAAGGCCACGGGACATCAGGGCCTCAGGGAGCTTTGTTAGAAGTGGTCAGATTGGGAGGGCAGGGGCCTGCAGGCAGGGATGGCTGTGCTCTGGTTCCCTGTGGCAGGGTGAGTTTCTAGAAAAAGCAGGCCACAATCAAACAGATCCTCCAGAAAGACCTGCTGTAGGAAGGCTTCCGGTCAACTAAAAACTTCAGTCCTTGCAGCCCAGGCCCACGGGATAGGCTATGCCTCCTCTCAATGGCCAGGTGGGTCCCCTCAATGAGTACCCTCTGCTCCCTCTCCATGGTCCATGGCCAGGTGAGTGCTCTTCCCCCATCTCCATGGTCAGGTGAGTCCCCTCTGCCCCCTCTCCATGGCCTCTGTGTCAAATGGGAAAGCAGCATCTTCCAGCCTGACCCAGATCTCCTCATTGCCCAGAGCCTCCTCGGCTGCCCTCTCTCTCCAAGATCAGCAGGGGACTTGTCTCAAGGTTAGGCTCAGGCCACATCTGACACTGGCATCAGCTGCCCCTCTCCCTGGGGCCCTGGAGCCCTGACCCCTGGGGAGGAGACAGAGACAGAAGTCTGGTGTGCAGAACCTCGAGGCTGCTGAAGCCATGTGTGGTCTGGTAGCATCACGGAGCCCCCCTAGAACTGGACTTAGAAAGACAGTGGACACACGTTGGCCAAAAGCCGCTGGGCCTAACCTGACACCTTCTCCCCTTCAGTCTCTTCCCCCACATCAGTGGAAGGAGAGGTCATTGGTGTTCCCCCTTTGGAGGGGCCATGTGTCTGTTTCTGCCTCTTGGGGGCTCACAACAGCACTGTCCATCAAACTCTCCCGAGCACTGTGGGGCCCCCGGAGTCTCCTGATGTGACCTGCTCAGGTCCTCAGGAGCTCTGCACTAACAAGCTGAAATAGACAGACTTTCTATTGCATCCTTTGTCCCTGAGATAGTTCTGGGAGTCCAGGGTGGAAGAGCAGAGGCTTCTCATCAGTGGGGCCCGGGAAGAGGTAGGGCTAGGCCTAAAGATGAGCCTGCCCAACCATAGCCCGGAGCCTGGGATGGGGGTGCCACGCTGGGGTGAAACGTGAGACCCAAAGCCTGAAGGAAGTTTCTGGCGGCCCATTACCTACTCTGATCACAGCCTGCCCTGCTCAGCACCTGGAAACCAGTCTCATCAGAGCACCTACTGCACAGAACCATGGGGAAAGTGTGTGGTCCCGATGGCAGGAGGAGGCCTGGAAGGGATCTGGAGAGACTGGAATGGGGCTCATACCCACTGCCCGAAAGGGAGGATGAAACGGCCAACTCAAGGATTCTCAGACTCACAACTGTTTGTGGAAACAGAAAGACCATAAAGGATTAGCTGACCGCAAGTTATTGTGAGTTAATAATGTGGCGAGATGCCCAGGATGCTTTTGTAAGGCTAGATGGCCCTGGAGGTCAAAGGTCTGGCAGCTGGGGCCTGTGCTGTCGTCCTGCACTGCCCAGCCCTGCTCTGCAGCTTGGACTCCCTCTCAGGACAGTGACAGTGAGATGAGGCAGGGCCAGGAGCACTGAGCCAGGACAAGAGCCGCCCCCAAGGGTAAGGAGGCAGAATGGGAAGGTCAGGGGAAAGCGGCATTGGCTTCCCATCTTCCACACTGAGAGGAGCCAGAGATCTGACCCTACCCTGCCTTCTCCCCCACTTCTTACTTACATTCTCTGCCTTACAGACCTGGCCACCCACACCTGGTTCAAGGCATGGAAGGACGAGCGCAGGCACTTTGGCGCAGGCCTCCAGGGTCCCACTCCCAGCAGCATTTCCCTTTCCTACGCAGCTGGTGCACTCTGCAGACCAAAAGTGCATGCTCTCCCCAGACCATGGGAGAGGACATAGGACACCTGACACCCAAGAGCCCCAGGTGCTCCCACACCCACTGCACAGACCCCTCAGAAGTAGAGCCATGTGGCATCTCCCAGGAAGCAGGAAGGACCTGGACCATTGCTTTCTGAGGCTCTTTGAAAGGAAAGGCCTTTCCTCTCTGGGTGGGCTGCAAAGAAAACTCATCTCTCACCCCCATGTCTCCACCTGGCTGCCTGTCAGAATCACCTGCAGATCTCTGGCTCATGCCCCAGAGCTCCCAAATTCGAATCTCTAGAAGTGGAGTTCAGTGTTTGTGAGTTTTGTGAGCTTGCCAGGACGTTCTGGTGGGCCAGGAGGCCCAAGAGCCACTGCCAGGGCAGCCCCAGGCCCCCCTCACAGGAAACAGCTCTTATCCTGTAGGGCAGGGGCACCCCCACCTCATAAGCTCCTGACCTTTCTATGTGGGCTGGTGAGGGGGCATCAGGATCCCTTTCCTGCCTCTGGCCGTCTCTCCCCCCACCTTCCACGTCCACCGCAGCCTGCACCCTAAATATAAGGAGCCTTTGCACCAAGCCTCAGGGACCAATACACACAAGTAAGGAATAGGCATGAGAAAGGAGGGTGGGAGACGGTGGGTGCCCTCCACGCTGTCACAAGGGGTGGGGCAGGAAGCAGCTGGGTGGCCGGGAGGAGCCTAGGCTGCAGATGGGCCCAGAACATATCTCAGGAAGCCTTCAGCTAGTTGGGGGGCAGCTGCAGTTTAGGGTGTAACACCCACTGTCGGCATGTGTAGAGATGCAGACGCTCCCTGCCAAGGTCTGGGCAGCCTATGGGGTGCTCTGGGGGACCACTGGGGACCAGCAAGGCTACATGGAGCTCTTAGGGATGGACTACCAAGCTGGCAGGAAAATAGATGAAGTCAGTGACCAAAGCAGTTCCGCTGCAGCGAATGCCTGCCTCACTCCAGCTGATCATTCCAAATGCAGAGGACAGCAGAGAAAGGACCTCAAAATCAAGACGGCAGTGGAGCAGTGACATCCAAGTGCAGAGGACAGTGGGGCAGGGCCCCCCAAATGCACAGGAGAGTGGATTATCAATGCATTAGAAAGACAGGGAGTGTTGGAGCCATTCCTTCCAGAAGCACAGGACTCACTTGGGAAGTGGAAGGATTGTTTGAGTTCAGGAGTTCGAGGTTACAGTGAGCTATGATTGAATGTGCCACTGCACTGCAGCCTCAGTGACAGAGTAAGACCTTGTCTCAAAAAAATAAAGAAGCATATGATGTGGAACAGCAGCTCCAAATGCAGACGACATTGGATCAGTGACATCCACATAAACTCAGAGGACAAGAGCTCCAATGTCTCCAAATGTGGAGGGCTGTGGGCAGAGCCTCTGACACAGGTTATGTTAGGCTGTTTTCGCATTGCCATAAAGGCATACCTGAGACTGAGCAATTTATAAAGAAAAGAGGCTGGGCACGGTGGCTCACGCCTGTAATCCCAGCACTTTGGGAGGACAATCACTTAAGGTCAGGAGTTCGAGACCAGCCTGGCCAACATGGTGAAACCCCGTCTCTACTAAAAATACAAAAATTAGCCAGGCATCGTGTTTCACACCTGTAGTCCCAGCTACTCGGGAGGCTAAGGCAGGAGAATCATTTGAGCCCAGGAAGTTGAGGTTGCAGTGAGCTGAGATCACACCACTGCACTCCAGCCTGGGTGACAGAGTGAGACTTTGCCTCAAAAACAGAAAGAAAGAAAAGAGATGTAACTTGCCCACGGTTCTGTGGGCTGTACACAAAGCTGGGTGCCAGCATTTGCTCAACTTCTGGGGAGGACTCAGAGAGCTTTCACTCCTGGCGGAAGGTAAAGGGGGAGCAGGCAGGTCACATGGCGAGAGTGGGAGCAAGAGAGAGAAGGGGAAGGTGCCAGACACCTTTAAACAACCAGATCTCGCGTGAACTCACAGCAAAAACTCACTCATTACCAAGGGGACGGCACTAAGCCATCCATGAAGGATATGTCCCCATGATCCAGTCCTCCCATCAGGCCCCACCTCCAACATTGGGGATTACATTTCAATATGCGATTTGGAAGGGACATAGATCCAAACCAAACCACAGGGTAAATGGAGTGGTGTCCCCAAAGGCAGATCACAGTGAAATGCCTCCAAATGTAGAGGAGAGTGGAGCCGTGCCTTCCACATGCAGGGGACAAGGGGCAGGCCCATGGAAGCGCACAGTGGAGTGAGGCAGTTCCACCGAAGGCAGAGGACAGGGCAGCTGTGCCTTCCAAATGCACTGGGCAGGGAAGCAGTGACTCCAGATGAAAGTGAGAGAGCAGCAGAGACAGCCAAGTGCAAGGGGCATGGGAGCCCTGCCTCCCAATACAACAGTGTGGGTTGTGAGCCTTCCCACATACAGAGCAAAGAGGGAATGCTGTCTCTTTAAATACATAAGACTGCCAAGCAGTCCCAGGTCAGTGAAGATGACAGGGGAGCATTGACTCCAAAGGGAAGCAGTAGTTGTGGAGCAGTGCCTCAGCCTGCAAAGGGCAGGGAGGCAGTGGCTCTGCAGCAGAAGACAGGGTTTGTGCCTGCAGATGAAGATGATGGTAAAGAAGAGAGCAGCAGAACAGTGTCCCCCAAACACACAAGCAGAGCAGTGCCTTCCACATCCACAGAAGAATGGAAAAAGGGCTTCCCACTGCAGAAAACACTGGAATGTTTCCTTCCAAATGCAGAGAATGTTGGAGCCGTGCCTCCAGCTGGAGTACAGTGAGCAGTAACATCCAAATGCCGAGTACAGCAGAACAGTGCCCCCAAATGCAGAGACGGCAGAGCAGTGCCTTCCTAATATGTCAGACGGTGCATAAGCGACTTCCCAGTGCAGAAGACAGTGCAGCAGCGCTTCCAAATGCAGAACAGTGTGGATCAAGGGCCTCCAAATGCACAGGCCACATGATCTTCCCTCAGACTGTTATAACCAGCCAAATTACCATTTCAGTGGCATAAAGATGGCAATATTAGACCTAAAGAACCTAAAACATTAATATATCCTGCATTCTTTTTTGTAGAACTTCCTAGAGGATGTATTCCTCAAAAATGGTGGCACAAGCCAAGAATAAGAAAGATACAGGAATCAGGAAACAGTGAATCAATGCCAAAAGAGAGGCAGAGACACCTCAGGATGACAACCACCTGTTTACGTAACTTGGAGACCACCCAGACCAGATTAGAGTGGGAGAGGAGCAGTGTGTGTGTGTGTGTGTGTGTGTGTGGATGGAAGGGAAAGAGGGATACCTGGGGATAGGGATTCTAGAATAAAGGAAAACTCTGTAGAAGGTGCCTGATGGAGTATTGGAAATAAAGATATGTGTCTAGTAAATTATGCAAGTTACCAAACAGGGAAATTTTATAACATGGACTAAGAAAAGAGATGCAATCATAGTACACCTGCAAGAGTTAGGCCAACACTGGAGGTGGAATTCATTCATATTATAGCAATTGTGGCCGGGTGCGGTGGCTCACACCTGTAACACACCCTAGCACTTTGGGAGGCCGAGGCGGGCAGATCACCTGAGGTCAGGTGTTGGAGACCAACCTGACCAATGTGGGGAAATCCCACCTCTAGTAAAAATACAAAAATTAGCTGGGTGTGGTGGTGCATGCCTGTATTCCCAGCTACTCAGGAGGTTGAGGCACAATAATCGCTTGAACCTGGGAGGCAGAGGTTGCGGTGAGCCAAGATGGCACCACTACACCCCAGCCTGGGCAACAGAGCGAGACTTTCTCAAAAAAAAAAAAAAAAAAAAAAAAAAAACCAAAGAAACAAAAAATAAAAACAAACATATTAAAGCAATTGTAGTGTGATGAAAAAGGATGAAGGAGCTACATTTGATTCTCTCATAATAGAAAGTTAATACGCAATGTCTGTGTTCACAAATCTAGATACAGCAACATTTTTTAGAGATATGGAGGTAATATCAGAAAAAATAATTAAGAGAAGAAAGTTGGATTGCAGGCAGCAAGGGCAGGGCAGGGTTTTGCTGATTTTGCAGTATAGTTCTTTTTGTACTGTTTTATTTTTTACCAAATGTATGTGTTATTTTGCCAAAAATTTAATATTTTATGTGAAAGTGATCAGGTTTCTGTATTCATTTTCTATTATTTCTGAAAGAAATCCCCACAAGCTTAGTGGCTTCAAGCCATGCAAATGTATGATCTAATTGTTCTGTAGGTAGGAAGTTGGGTAGCTCGGCTGGTTCCTCTGCTCTGAGTCTCACAAGACTAAAATCAAGGTGTGGGTTGATGGCTTGGGCTCTGATCTGGAGGCTCTGTGGTAGAATCTAGGCTGTTGGAAGTATCCAGGTCCTTGTAGCTGTAGGACTGAGGCCCCTGTTTCCTTGCTGGCTGTTAGCCATGGGTGCATCCAATCCTCCTCACCTTTGGAATCTCTCTGACTCCTGAATCTGCCATATTCTCTCATCTTTTCTGCCTTATCTCTCTGACTGACTCATCTGCTTCCTAATCTGTATTTAATGACTCACACTGGAACCAATTACATATTTCAGGATGATCCCCTACCTTAAAGTCTGCTGGTTAGTAACCATAATTACATCTGCAAAGTCGTGTCACAGCCATACCTTGAATGACATTTGATTGAATAGCCAAGGGACAGGAGTCCTCCAGGGACATCTTTAGAATTCTGCCTATAATAGGTTTGTTGATTATAAAGCTCCTTATTGTCTTTATTTGCTACTATAACTTCTGAGTCTCCCAGAAGGGGGATTTCTGTGTCAAGTATCTCTTGGATTAGGTTCAGTTGAATACGTCAGAAAACTCCAAATAACAGTGGGGAAACCTAAGCCGAAATATATTTCCTCTCACATAAAATGAGACTGGAGGTTGAAAATCTAGGGCTGTCCCGGCAGCACCATAAATGTCAACAACCCCTGCTCCTTCTCTCTTTCTACTCTATCATCCTAAGGCAGTCTCTAACCTTGTGGTTACTTCAAGGAACAAAATGGCTGCAGAAGGTCTAGTCATCCCTTCCACATCCCAGGCTCAGAGATGGCTGAGAGGAGGTGTATCCCTCCTGGTCTCAACTTCCTTTAAACAGCCTTCCCAGAGGTCATCCCCAGACCTTGAACTCACATCTTATTAGTCAGAACTTGGTCATAAGGCCACACATAGCTACAGGTAGGGTGGGAAACATGAACTTTCGGCCGGGCACTCTGCTGCCTGGAATAAAGACACAGCTCTGTGGCTCAGGGAGAAGGGAGTGTAGACACTGTGTGGATGAAGCCTTCAATGCCATCCTCTGTGTCTCGAGGTTATCTGACTGTAGATGCATTTTGTTCTGAGTGTACCAAGCAAATTCTCCCTGTCAGAGCACAGCTCAGAAAGTGTGGCTGTTCTCCCTCACTTCTCCCTCACTTGCATTCTTGCTGCCTAATACATTTAAGTTTTACTCTCCTAGTCCCCAATTAGTAAAAGTATTTTAGAAGCAAATGACATAGTACTGAAGAAAATAAAAATACATATCCATAAGTTGTGTTGTATTAAAATAGGATCCTGTACTTGTCAAGCGTAAACGAAATAATTCATGTCTTCTCTTTTCCCTTTCATTCTTGTTTTACTCTGCTGGTACTTAAATACGTTAGAGCGTGCACTGACTGGCACCACACCTCCATGTAGCTCTGAAGGAGAAGGGGAGCCCCCAATGCCTGCACGGGGCCCATTCCTACCAGCCTTGGCCCTGGAACTTGATGCATGACCAGTCGCAAATGAGGAACTCCCGGGACTTCTGCCTGGAGGTCCCCAGGCCCTCTCCTTTCATATTCAACTAGATGGCTCAGCCCATCCCACAGCATCCCTCCCACCTCCTTGCAAGGCAACTTCCTCTATCGAAGACCTCAGCACAGTAGAGGATTCTGTAGTGTCCCTTTGCTCACTTTGCTACTGGTCACAACCTGGAATCTGGGAGCCAGTCCCTGTCCTTTGTCCTTGAATCTCCACTAAAAGAATTGTGGAGGCCAGTCGTGGTGGCTCACGCCTGTAATCCCAGCACTTTGGGAGGCTGAGGCAGGCAAATCACCTGAGGTCAGGAGTTCGAGACCAACCTGGTCAACATGGTGAAACCCCGTCTCTACTAAAACTATAAAAATTAGTTGGGCATGGTGGCGGGTGCCTGTAATCCCAGCTACTCAAGAGGCTGAGGCAGGAGAATCACTTGAACCCAGGGGGCGAAGGTTGCAGTGGGCTGAGATAACCCCATTGCACTGCAGCCTGGGCAAAAAGAGCAAAACCGTGTCTCAAAAAAAAAAAAAAAGAATTGTGTAAGGGTCTTTGACAAATGGTTGGAGGTAAGGAAGGTAAGTGCCACAGAGGAAGGAATGTCAGTCATCACGTTCCTCCTGATGCCCTCACAGGTGTCCGTGGTGGGGAATCTCTCTGGGCTCTGCCTGCCTGCAGGGCCTCCCTCTTCTGGGTTGTCATGAGTCTCCTCCTGTCTCAGATCCTGGCACTGAAAACTCAAACTTGTAGCCTGATGATAACATCATATGGGGTTCTGTCTGGGGCTGGAATGTGAGCCCTCTCCATGTACACAACCCTTTGCAGGTCACTGTTGGAGGGATGCCTAGAGGACACTGCACACTAAGAGAGAACCACCTGGGCTGCAGGCCGCCCTCACCTTCTCATTTGGGATTCATGAGCCACTGAGGACTCCAGTCTTCCATGTGCCAAAGCGGGGTTTGGCCTTGCTGACCTCTGAGATTGACCCCCGGCTTCACCAATCAGCTGCTGGTGATCCCACCTCCCATCATGCAGGAAGCAGGCACTTCCTGAGCAGCATTCTTGCAGATGAGGCAGGGCCCAAGACAGCAGAGGCAGAGGCAGCAGTTTGCCTGGGCCCAGGGAGACAGAAATGGGCCCTTTACTCTTGCAGTCAGTCTTCTTGTCCCCAGAGGGAGAGAGGATGAGAACCCAGGAGACTGGCTTTGTTGTCAAGGTTTCCATGGAGACTGGCAATGTCCTAGGGGGACCTGTGGTGTAAATTACAACCTGGTGAAGTAGGCTGCTCTAGGATGTCCAGGAATGCACTTTGGTGAGGGAGGCAGTGCCCCCAAATGAAGATTGGGCCTTTGATAAGAAGGGGAGACAAAGAAGGAATTATGAGTGTCAGCAGAATGGAGCCCAGGAGGAAGAGCTGAGGGGGATGGCTGGCATTCAGGATCTAGGCTAGATCAGGGAGAAGGCGGGTAACACGGAGGCCAGACACTGTTTCAAAGTCAGTGTGAAGCAAGGAGGTGGCAAACCCAGGAAGGGACAGAAGGTCAGCAAAAAAGGGTGGGTGTGTGTTTGGCGCCCAGGAGGAACTAGATGAGCTGGTGAGTACAGATGCAGAAATGAAGTGTGGCATGTGAGCACATGTTGCAACAGGCAGCAGGCTGCTGGGAGAAGCACCAGAAGCATAAAGCAGAAACTCAGACATGGGCCAGCTGGAAAAAGGAGCCTTGGTTCTGTGATATGTTGGGAGCCACGCAGCAGCCGGACCTGGGTGTGAATCTTGGAGACAGAAGCTTCCCAGGGCACCTCCAGGATCCAGGTTTCACCTAACCAAAGCTCTGACAAGAAGCCCCAGGGTTAAGTGCGGCTCCTCCCTGGTGGTGTCAGGCTCCCCAGGAGCACTCCTGTGGGAATAATAGCCTTTGCTTCAGGTGGGGTGGGGAACAGCTGGAATCCCCTCCTAGGACTCTCTCTCCAGGAAAATCACTGTGATTCAGCAGTGCTGCTCCTCTACAGAGAAGCCCAGCACCTCTGCACTTAAAAATTAGTCAAAGGCAGCAGACTGCCTGTCCTGGAGCCCAGGGCTCAGGTTTAGCCTATATTATCATGAAGAATAGATCACAAGTGAAGCCATCGGATCATAACACTCGCCTCCCACTGGTGCCCCTACAATCAAGTTCTGTCCCAATGTTTGTTGGCCACCACAGCCAAGACAATGCTCCATGTTCACTTTCCTCTCCCAGATGCTGGGGAAGATTGCATATTCCAGGCTCCATTGTAGTTGGCTCAGGGACATGTGGCTAATTCTGATGAGCAGGCTGTAAGTTAAAATCAAGTGGGTTACTTCTTGGCTGAAGCACAGCAAAGTAGGTGTGAGGTCACCTGGCTTTCTTCTCCATGGGGGAGACCCTGAAGCAGCATGCTGAGATGGTGATGTAATAAGATGGTGGTGCCTCCATCTGCCTGGATCTCTGGGGTCTTGTCAGAGCCGCCAAACTCAAGCCTCCAATCTCCCCCAAATACACACATACACACTCCAATCCCAGTGAAGAGTGGCAGAACATTCAACCCCAAAATAGGCCACTTTGACATAAGGATTACCTCAAGCTAAGGCAACTTGAAAACAGCAGATGCAACGAGGGCACTCTGATCTTCCTTCTTTCCCGGAAAACAGGAGACAAAAACTCCCACGTGAAAGGTGCCCTCCTTTCTCCAGAAGAAAGGAACATTCTTCAATGGGGAGTTGTCGCCAAGAGAATTCCCTGCAAACAGACCTTGTTAAAGTAATTCTCTCCCTTGCACCTCGCCACATATCCAGTTATTCTCTGCAATCGCTTCTCCTTGTCTAACCTGATACACATGCAGGCAGTTCTTGCCATTTCTTTCCGCCTTTGATCCCTTATGAGAATTCCCATGTTATGTAAAACTTACATAAATGTGTTTGTTTTTCTCCTGTTAATCTGTCTGATGTCAATCTCATTCTCAGGCCCAGCAGAAATCCTAACAGGTGGAGGAAAAGGTTTGCCCTCCCTACAGTTTCTGGTGATGAGGATGGGACCCTAAAAGGTTAAGATGCCCCATTTGCTCTAGAACCTATGGACGGGGCCCTGGGAGAGGTAGGAATTCTTACGGAGTCAGGCATTGTGTCTGTTGTGCCTAGTCAAGGGATCCAGGTGTTGGATACAGTGAATTCCTCTTCAAAGGTTCCACTTTTTCAACTCCCTCGTTCTTTGTCCTCTATTTTCAAAGCCTAACTTCTTTGCCTCCTTGCCCCTAGTTATGGTAAACAACCTTCCAGCCATTGCCAATCTGTAACCCACATCTGTTCCCAATCTGTAACCCACGTCCATTCCCAATTTATAACAATCCACATCTGTTCCTTATTTGGCACCCTTAGTTTCAAAACTGCTCTTCCTGCTGCTGTAGCCCCCAACCCTTGCTCCATTAGAAGTAGCCAATCAGGATCAGCTTAGATTGTGCCATCCAACTCCAGGCAGTGGGGACTGGACAACAGTAGCAGGGACTGACTGCATTAGGGATAAAAACCCCTTCCCTCCTTTGTTTGGTGTGCTCTCACAGTGACAAGAGTGAGCAGCACCCTTCTGCAGAAGTAAATTTGCCTCGAGTGGAGCCAAGATGGCCAAATAGGAACAGCTCCAGTCTACAGCTCCCAGCGTGAGCGACGCAGAAGATGGGTGATTTCTGCATTTCCAACTGAGGTACCAGGTTCATCTCACTGGGGATTGTTGGACAGTGGGTGCAGGAGAGTGGGTGCAGCACACCGAGCGTGAGCCAAAGCAGGGCGAGGCATCACCTCACCCGGGAAGCGCAAGGGGTCAGGGAATTCCCTTTCCTAGCCAAGGAAAGGGGTGACAGACGGCACCTGGAAAATAGGGTCACTCCCACCCTAATACTGCGCTTTTCCAATGGTCTTAGCAAATGGCACACCAGGAGATTATATCCCGTGCATGGCTTGGAGGGTCCTACGCCCACGGAGCCTCGCTCATTGCTAGCACAGCAGTCTGAGATAAAACTGCAAGGTGGTAGTGAGGCTGGGGGAGGGGCGCCCGCCACTGCCGAGGCTTGAGTAGGTAAACAAAGCAGCAGGGAAGCTCGAACTAGGTGGAGCCCACCACAGCTCAAGGAGGCCTGCCTGCCTCTGTAGACTCCATCTCTAGGGGCAGGGCATAGCCAAACAAAAGGCAGCAGAAACCTCTGCACTTAAATGTCCCTGTCTGACAGCTTTGAAGAGAGCAGTGGTTCTCCCAGCATGCAGCTGGAGATCCGAGAATGCACAGACTGCCTCCTCAAGTGGGTCCGTGACCCCCGAGTAGCCTAACTGGGAGTCACCCCCCAGTAGGGGCAGAATGACACCTCACATGGCCGGGTACTCCTCTGAGACAAAACGTCCAGAGGAATGATCAGGCAGCAACATTTGCTGTTTACCACTATCTGCTGTTCTGCAGCCTCCACTGCTGATACTCAGGCAAACAGGGTCTGGAGTAGACCTCCAGCAAACTCCAACAGACCTGCAGCTGAGGGTCCTGACTGTTAGAAGGAAAACTAACAAACAGAAAAGACATCCACACCAAAACCCCATCTGTACGTCACCATCATCAAAGACCAAAGGTAGATAAAACCACAAATATGGGGAAAAAACAGCAGAAAAACTGAAAATTCTAAAATCAGAGCGCCTCTCCTCCTCCAAAGGAATGCAGCCCCTCACCAGCAATGGAACAAAGCTGGTCACAGAATGACTTTGACAAATTGAGAGAAGAAGGCTTCAGATGATCAAACTACTCTGAGCTAAAGGAGGAAGTTCAAACCCATGGCAAAGAAGTTAAAAACCTTGAAAAAAGATTAGACGAATGGCTAACTAGAATAACCAATGCAGAGAAGTCCTTAAAGGACCTGATGGAGCTGAAAACCACGGCACAAGAACTACATGATGAATGCACAAGCCTCAGTAGCCAATTCCATCAACTGGAAGAAAGGGTATCAGTGATGGAAGATAAAATGAATGAAATGAAGCGAGAAGAGAAGGTTTAGAGAAAAAATAATAAAAAGAAATGAACAAAGCCTCCAAGAAATATGGGACTATGTGAAAAGACCAAATCTATGTCTGATTGGTGTATCTGAAAGTGACAGGGAGAATGGAACCAAGTTGGAAAACACTCTGCAGGATATTATCCAGGAGAACTTCCCCAGTCTAGCAAGGCAGGCCAACATTCAAATTCAAGAAATACAGAGAACACGACAAAGATACTCCTCAAGAAGAGCAACTCCAAGACACATAATTGTCAGATTCACCAAAGTTGAAATGAAGGAAAAAATGTTAAGGGCAGCCAGAGAGAAAAGTCGGGTTACCCACAAAGGGAAGCCCATCAGACTAAGAGCTGATCTCTCGGCAGAAACTCTACAAGCCAGAAAAGAGTGGGGGCCAATATTCAACATTCTTAAAGAAAAGAATTTTCAACCCAGAATTTCATACCCAGCCAAACTAAGCTTCATAAGTGAAGGAGAAATAAAATCCTTTACAGACAAGCAAATGCTGAGAGATTTTGTCATCACCAGGCCTGCCCTAAAAGAGCTCCTGAAGGAAGCACTAAACATGGAAAGGAACAACCAGTACCAGCCACTGCAAAAACATCCCAAATTGTAAAGACCATCAAGGCTAGGAAGAAACTGCATCAACTAATGAGCAAAATAACCAGCTAACATCATAATGACAGGATCAAATTCACACATAACAATATTAACCTTAAATGATAAATGCTCCAATTAAAAGACACAGACTGGCAAATTGGATAAAGAGTCAAGACCCATCAGCGTGCTGTATTCAGGAAACCAATCTCAAGTGCAGAGACACACATAGGCTCAAAATAAAGGGATGGAGGAAGAGCTACCAAGCAAATGGCAAACAAAAAAAGGCAGGGGTTGCAATCCTAGTCTCTGATAAAAAAGACTTTAAACCAACAAAGATCAAAAGAGACAAAGGAGGCCATTACATAATGGTAAAGGGATCAATTCAACAAGAAGAGCTAACTATCCTAAATATATATGCACCCAATACAGGAGCACCTGGATTCATAAAGCAAGTCCTTAGAGACCTACAAAGAGACTTAGACTCCCACACAATAATAATGGGAGACTTTAACACCCCACTGTCAACATTAGACAGATCAATGAGACAGAAAGTTAACAAGGATATCCAGGAATTGAACTCAGCTCTGCACCAAGCAGACCTAATAGACATCTGCAGAACTCTCCACCCCAAATCAACAGAATATACATTCTTTTCAGCACCACACCACACCTATTCCAAAATTGACCACATAGTTGGAAGTAAAGCACTCCTCAGCAAATGTAAAAGAACAGAAATTATAACAAACTTTCTCTCAGACCACAGTGCAATCAAACTAGAAGTCAGGATTAATAAACTCACTCAAAACTGCTCAACTACATGGAAACTGAACAACCTGCTCCTGAATGACTACTGGGTATGTAACGAAATGAAGGCAGAAATAAAGATGTTCTTTGAAACCAACGAGAACAAAGACACAACATACCAGAATCTATGGGACACATTCAAAGCAGTGTGTAGAGGGAAATTTATAGCACTAAATGCCCACAAGAGAAAGCAGGAAAGATCTAAAATTGACACCCTAACATCATAATTAAAAGAACTAGAGAAGCAAGAGCAAACACATTCAAAAGCTAGCAGAAGGCAAGAAATAACTAAGATCAGAGCAGAACTGAAGGATATAGAGACACAAAAAACCCTTCAAAAAATCCATGAATCCAGGAGCTGGTTTTCTGAAAAGATCAACAAAATTGATAGACCGCTAGCAAGACTAATAAAGAAGAAAGAGAAGAATCAAATAGATGCAATACAAAATGATAAAGGGGATATCACCACCGATCCCACAGAAATACAAACCACCATCAGAGAATACTATAAACACCTCTATGCAAATAAACTAGAAAATCTAGAAGAAATGGATACATTCTTCGACACATACACCCTCCCAAGTCTAAACCAGGAAGAAGTTGAATCTCTGAATAGACCAACAACAGGCTCTGAAATTGAGGCAATAATTAATAGCTTACCAACCAAAAAAAGTCCAGGACCAGATGGATTCACAGCCGAATTCTACCAGAGGTACAAGGAGGAGCTGGTACCATTCCTTCTGAAACTATTCCAATCAATAGAAAAAGAGGGAATCCTCCCTAACACATTTTATGAGGCCAGCATCATCCTGATACTAAAGCCTGGCAGAGACACAACAAAAAAAGAGAATTTTAGACCAATATCCCTGATGAACATCGACGCAAAAATCCTCAATAAAATACTGGCAAACTGAATCCAGCAGCATATCAAAAAGCTTATCCACCATGATCAAGTGGGCTTCATCCCTGGGATGCAAGCCTGGTTCAACATATGCAAATCAATAAACGTAATCCAGCATATAAACAGAACCAACAACAAAAACCACATGATTATCTCAATAGATGCAGAAAAGACCTTTGACAAAATTCAACAACGCTTCATGCTAAAAACTCTCAATAAATTAGGTATTGATGGGACGTATCTCAAAATAATAAGAGCTATCTATGACAAAACCACAGCCAATATCATACTGAATGGGCAAAAACTGGAAGCATTCCCTTTGAAAACTGGCACAAGACAGAGATGCCCTTTCTCACCACTCCTATTCAACATAGTGTTGGAAGTTCTGGCCAGGGCAATCAGGCAGGAGAAAGAAATAAAGGGTATTCAATTAGGAAAAGAGGAAGTCAGACTGTCCCTGTTTGCAGATGACATGATTGTATATCTAGAAAATCCCATCGTCTCAGCCCAAAATCTCCTTAAGCTGATAAGCAACTTCAGCAAAGTCTCAGGATACAAAATCAATGTGCAAAAATCACAAGCATTCTTATACACCAATAACAGACAGATAGCCAAATCATGAGTGAACTCCCATTCACAATTGCTTGAAAGAGAATAAAATACCTAGGAATGCAACTTACAAGGGACGTGAAGGACCTCTTCAAGGAGAACTACAAACCACTGCACAATGAAATAAAAGAGGATACAAACAAATGGAAGAACATTCCATGTTCATGGGCAGGAAGAATCAATATTGTGAAAATGCCCATACTGCCCAAGGTAATTTATAGATTCAATGCCATCCCCATCAAGCTACCAATGACTTTTTTCACAGAATTGGAAAAAACTACTTTAAAGTGCATATGGAACCAAAAAAGAGCCCACATTGCCAAGTCAATCCTAAGCCAAAAGGACAAAGATGGAGGCATCTCGCGACCTGACTTCAAACTATACTACAAGGCTACAGTAACCAAAACAGCATGGTACTGGTACCAAAACAGATATATAGACCAATGGAACAGAACAGAACCCTCAGAAATAATGCCACATATCTACAACTATCTGATCTTTGACAAACCTGACAGAAACAAGAAATGGGGAAAGGATTCCTTATTTAATAAATGGTGCTGGAAAAACTGGCTAGTCATATGTAGAAAGCTGAAACTGGATCCCTTCCTTACACCTTATACAAAAATTAATTCAAGATGGATTAAAGACTAAATGTTAGACCTAAAACCATAAAAACCCTAGAAGAAAACCTAGGCAATACCATTCAGGACATAGGCATGGGCAAGGACTTCATGTCTAAAACACCAAGCAATGGCAACAAAAGCCAAAGTTGACAAATGGGATCTAATTAAACTAAAGAGCTTCTGCACAGCAAAAGAAACTACCATCAGAGTGAACAGGCAACCTATAGAATGGGAGAAAATTTTTGCAATCTACTCATCTGACAAAGGGCTAATATCCAGAATCTACAATGAACTCAAACAAATTTACAAGAAAAAAACAAACAACCCCATCAACAAGTGGGCGAAGGATATGAGCAGACACTTCTCAAAAGGAAACATTTACACAGCCAAAAGACACATGAAAAAATGCTCATCATCTCTGGCCATCAGAGAAATGCAGATCAAAACCACAATGAGATACCATCTCACACCAGTTAGAATAGTGATCATTAAAAAGTCAGGAAACAACAGGTGCTGGAGAGGATGTGGAGAAATAGGAACACTTTCACACTGTTGGTGGGGCTGTAAACTAGTTCAACCATTGTAGAAGTCAGTGTGGCGATTCCTCAGGGATCTAGAACTAGAAATACCATTTGACCCAGCAATCCCATTACTGGGTATATACCCAAAGCATTATAAATCATGCTGCTATAAAGAAACATGCACACGTATGTTTATTGTGGCACTATTCACAATAGCAAAGACTTGGAACCAACCCAAATGTCCAACAATGATAGACTGGATTAAGAAAATGTGGCACATATACACCGTGGAATACTATGCAGCCATAAAAAATGATGAGTTCATGTCCTTTGTAGGGACATGGATGAAGCTGGAAACCATCATTCTCAGCAAACTCTCACAAGGACAAAAAACCAAACACCGCATGTTCTCACTCATAGGTGGGAATTGAACAATGAGAACACATGGACACGGGAAAGGGAACATCACACACTGGGGCCTGCTGTGTGGTGGGGGGAGGGGGGAGGGATAGCATTAGGAGATATACCTAATATTAAATGATGAGTTAATGGCTGCAGCACACCAACATGGCACATGTATACATATGTAACAAACCTGCACATTGTGCACATGTACCCTAAAACTTAAAGTATAATAAAAAAAGAAAAGAAGTAAATTTGCCTCACTGAGAAATCCTTTGAGTGCTCATTTTCTTTGCGACTCCGAACTCTTATTTCCAACACAGGCCAAGGTTTTTCCTTGTCCCTTCCTTTCCAAATTTGGATTGGAAGGAGGAAAACATTTGTAAGAATTAGATATTTTAATTGCAACACTTGTGAATTTGGTTCTGGGTACCCACTGGTCATTGATCCACAGCCTCCCTAAAGAGTCTTCGTTTTCTTGTCTCTGACCTTTGAAAGTGTGATTTGTCACAGGGGGAAAATCCTAAGAAGAGATTCTCCTTTCATCTTGTTTCATGTCCTAAGAGTTTTGCTTTGTAACCAGCAAAAATATTCTCTGGTCTCTGTCAGATAGGGACGCAAGTGGTCAGGCTTCCATCAGGCGCCAGCCTGTGGCTAGCAGTCCAGAAGCTCTTGGGGAAGCTCATCCTAAAATCGGGGTCACAGTCCACAGGGGTCATTGCCGTCTCAGCCTTCCTTGCCTTGTTAACAATGAGGGTCTCTGCTTTCCTAGGCTCTCATGGGGACAGTCTTTGATTGGGGAGTTCCACATCCTTTGCACACTCTTTGGGGATGTCTCTGCCTCTATAGGTAGTCCAAGAAAGGCTAACTAATGTTAAGCCTAAAAAGGCTTATTGGCTTTGAGTCATAATTAAAGTAGGTGTACCTTGGAAGATTTGGATTTTTATATCTGAAAGGATTGTTTTAGAAAGTTCTCATCCTCAACAAATGTCTTATTGTTACCTACAGGAAGATCAGACTGAAAGGAAAAAGTGAATAAGGCCAAGGTGAGAATCAATGTTTATATAAATTAGTAAGTTTGTATTCCTGTATTTATACCTAACTCATGGCTAAGATTTAAGATGAAAACTGTAAGATCTCTGTTTGCATTTGTATGTTCATATCTACATATGTATGTTATGTATAGGTGATTTTTTTACCACCAAATGGTGATTGCCAAAATTAATTTGTAAAAGAGCTCTACTGAACTGGCTTAAAGAATAATAAGCATTTATTAATATGTAATATTTATTATTTAAGCATTTATTACATAAATAATAAATATTTATGTAATATTTATATAAGCATTTATTTTTTTATATAAGCATTTATTTACATAAGCATTTATAAATACATAAATGCTTATATAAATAAGTATTGACGTCAATGTTTATTTAAGCATTTATTAATATGTAATATTTATTTATTATTTAAGCATTTATTACATAAATAATAAATAACTGTGAATATTTATAATTATTTATAATTTATGAATATTTTATATTTATAAATTTATAATTTATGATAAATTTATAATTTATGGATATTTTATATTGATAAATTTATAATTTATGAATATTTTATATTTATAAATTTATAATTTATGAATAGTTTATATTTATAAATTTATAATTTATGAATAGTTTATATTTATAAATTTATAATTTATGAATAGTTTATATTTATAAATTTATAATTTATGAATAGCTTATATTTATAAATTTATAAATAATTTATGACTATTTTAAATTTATAAATTTATAAGTAATTTATAAATATAAACAAATAATAAACATTTATTACATAAATGCTTATTATTATAAGTATTCTTAAAACTCTCAGACATATAGAAACTAACCCAAATGTTTTTCATGTTCATATGATCTGAGATAATGTTCCATAAATAAAAGCTAGTTTAAGTTTGTTGGTTTAATTAAATCAGGCGTGTCTTGAGAGTTGTCAACATTAACTGTACTGCAGACATACAACTTATTCTACCTGGGTTTACTAATCAAGTAAACTTATATTATCTTTACTAGATGTTCAAGATTATAAAATTATAAATTCAACCTAACAATAAAATACACAATAAAAATAGATTGCTTGACATATGCCAACTGCTGCAATAAAAAGAAAAACGAAGAAAACATTGGAAAGAACTTATTTTAACCTTTATATTCTTACTTCCATGATTTTTAAAATATTGCCTGATTTATCTACAAAATAAGATTACTAGCTTTAATGTCTCATGAAATTTTCACAAACAATTCAAACATAATTGTTAAAAGCAAGTAAATTAAGTGACATAAAAGTTTATAAATGGACTTTTTAACAATGGTTATGTTTTATATGTCTGTTTAAAAATAAGTTCCAAAATCTTTTTGGAAATTTGAAACTTTAAAGTTCTACTAAGTTAAAAGATGAATATTCATTGACTATCTAGATCATTTCCAAATAAGATAAAATACTGAAACACTATTACGCGTGTTTAAGTTTCTCTAGTTTTTGGCTTCCTGCTTTTTGTAGAGAGACAAAGGCTATTTCATTCTATTAATAAATATGTTATTTTTGTCACATCCAAAAATTACATTACGAAAAAGAACACACCTAAAAAATGATGAGATGGTATATTGGTAAAATGTGCTGGTATACTACAGGATGTTAATATTGAGATGATTCAAATATTGTTTACTTTCTAGGTTGCTCTGTAAAAGAAAGGTTATTAATGATTAAAAATTATAATCAAGGCCGGGCACTGTGACTCACGCCTGTAATCTCAGCACTTTGGGAGGCTAAGGCGGGCGGATCACAAGGTCAGGAGTTCAAGACCAGCCTGACCAACATGGTGAAACCCCGTCTCTACTAAATATACAAAAAAAAAAAAAATAGCCAGGAGTGGTGGCGGGCGCCTGTAATCCCAGCTACTGGGGAGGCTGAGGCAGGAGAAACGCTTGAACCCAGGAAGCAGAGGTTGCAGTGAGCCGAGATCGTGCCACTGCACTCCAGCCTGGGTGACAGAGCAAGGCTCTGTCTCAGAAAAAAAAAAAAAAAAAAAAAAAAATATATATATATATATATATATACATACATATATACATATAAAATCAATATATGTAAATGAAACTATTAGAAACCAAAAGGGTGAAGGGTAAAAACCCTGTGTTCAAAGTATGGGAGAAAAACAGGATGTGTTTTTATATTAAAAGTCTGCAGTCGGATGCTGTGACAGGTCCCTGCAGTCCCAGCTACTTGGGAGGCTGAGGCAGGAGGATTACTTGAGCCCAGGAGTTCACATTCAGCCTGGGCTATGTAGTGAGACCCCCAATTCAATCAATCAATCAATCAATCAATAAGGTATGCAAAAAAGTAGAATGTGTTTTTGATTTTAAAAAGAATGAAGGGCATGTTTCCATTAGGTGAAAGTAGAGTAATTTTGTCCTAAAATAAAATGACCGGTTATTCCAAAATAAAAGAAAAAGATGAAACCTAAATGAATATAGAAAGTTGCAGAAGTTCTGAGGAAAAGAAATTTTGTGTTGCAAGGTCAAAGCTGGCTAGGATTAAATAGATTTACTTATAAATATTTTTAAAATGTGCTGATATAAAATTAGAGATTAGTTTTTTTTTTCTCTCTGTTAAAATAACCAGGTTTCTTAGGTTATTGGTCTATTCCTAATAAGAGATTATGAAGGGTTTTTCTTTACTTTTTTAGGGATCTGCCTGGGAAACAAAAAGTCTATATCCTATCAAAATAATTTGTTGTGCTTCGTGTTCTTTTTAAAATATAATTTCATCTGTTGTTTTAGATTCAGGAGGTACATGTGCTGGTTTGTTACCTGGGTATGTTCCATGATGCTGAGGTTTGGAGTATGATTGATCCTGTCACCAAGGTGCTGAGCATAGTGCTCAATAGTTAGTTTTTCAACCCTTGCCTCTCTCTCCCCACTTACTCCTCCCTCTAGTAGTCCCCAACATCTATTGTTTTCATCTGTGTGTCCATGAGTACCCAGTGTTTAACTCCCACTTATAAGTGAGAACATGTGGTATTTGGTTTTCTGTTCCTGTGTTAATTTGCTTAAGATAATGGCCTCAGCTGCATCTATGTTGCTGCGAAGGACATAATTTTATTCTTTTTTACAGCTGCATAGAATTCCATGGTATATGTTCCACATTTTCTTTATCCAATCCACTGTTGATAGGCACCTAGTCTGATTCTGTGTCTTTGTTATTGTGAATAGTGTTGCAATGAACATATGAGTGTGTGTGTCTTTTTGGTGGAATGATTTATTTTCTTCTGGATATACACTCAGTAATGGGATTGCTGAATTGAATAGTAGCTCTGTTTTAAGTTCTCCAAGAAATCGCCAAACTGCTTTCCATAATGGCTGAACTAATTTACATTCCCACCAGCAGTGTATAAGCATTCCCTTTTCTACATAGCCTTCCCAGCATGTTATTTTTTGTTTTTAATAATAGCCATTCTTACTGGTGTAAGATGGTATCTCATTATAGTATTGATTTGCATTTCCCTGATGATTACTGATGTTGGGCATTTTTTCATATGTTTGTTGGCCACTTGTATGTCTTTTTTTGAGAAGTGTCTGTTCTTTTGCCCACTTTTTAATGGGGTTGTTTTTAATTGTTTAAGTTCCTTATAGATTATAAATATTAGACCTTTGTCAGATGCATAGTTTGTTAATATTTTCTCCCATTCTGTGGGTTGTCTGTTTACTCTGTTGATGGTCTCTTTTGCTATGCATAAGCTCTTTAGTTTAATTAGGTCCCACTTGTCAAGTTTTGCTTTTGGCACAATTGCTTTTAAGAACTTAATCATATATTCTTTCCTGAGGCCAATGTCCAGAATGGTGTCTTCTAGGTTTTCTTCTAGGATTCTTATACTTTGAGGTCTTACATGTACATCTTTAATCCATCTTGAGTTAATATTTGTATATAGTGAAAGGTAGGGGTCCAGTTTCAATTTTCTGCATATGGCTTGCTGGCTATTCCAGCACTGTTTATTGAATAGGGAGTCCTTTCCCCATTGCTTATTTTTGTCAACTTTGTTGAAGCTCAGATGGCTGTAGGTATGCAACTTTATGTCTGGGTTCTCTATTCTGTTCCATTGGTCTATGTGTCTGTTTTTGTACCAGTATCATACTGTTTTGGTTACTGCAGCCTAGTAGTATAGTTTGAAGTTGGGTAGTGTGATGCTTCCAGCTTTGTGCTTTTTGCTTAGGATTGTCTTGGCTATTTGGGCTCTGTTTTGGTTCCATATGAATTTTAAAATAGTTTTTTTCTAATTCTGTAAAGAATGTTGATGGTAGTTTAATGGGAATGCCATTCAATCTATAAATTACTTTGGGCAGTATGGCCATTTTTATGATATTGATTCTTCCTATCCATGAGCATGGAATGTTTTTCCATTTGTCTGTGTCCTCTCTAATTTCTTTGAACAGTGGTTTGTAGTTCTTGAAGAGGACCTTCACTTCCCTTGTTAGCTGTATTCCTAGGTATTTCATTCTTTTTATAGCCATTATGAATAGAAGTTCATTCATGATTTGGCTCTCTGCTAGTCTGTTGTTGGTGTATATGAATGCTAGAGATATTTGCACATTGATTTTGTATCCTGAGACTTTGCTGAAGTTGCTTATCAGCTTAAGAAACTTTTGGGCCAAGATGATGGGGTTTTCTAGATATAGGATCATGTCATCTCCAAAGACAATTTGACTTCCTCTCTTCCTATTTGAATACCCTTTATTTCTTTCTCTTGCCTGATTTCCCTGGCCAGAACTTCCAATACTATGTTGAATAGAAGTGGTGAGAGAGAGCATCCTTGTTTTGTGCTGGTTTTCAAGGGGAGTGCTTCCAGCTTTTGCCCATTCAGTATGATATGGCTGTGAGTTTGTCATATATGGCTCTTATTATTTTGGGGTATGTTCCTTCAATACCTAGTTTATTGAGAATTTTTAACATGAAGTGATGTTGAATTTTATCGAAGGCCTTTTCTGCATATTGAGATAATCACGTGGTTTTTGTCTTTAGTTCTGTTTATGTGATTAATCACATTTACTGATTTGCATATGTTGAACCAACCTTGCATCCTGGAGATTAAGCCAACTTGATTGTCGTGGATAACCTTTTTGATGTGCTGCTGGATTCAGTTTGCCAGTATTTTATTGAGGATTTTTGCATCAATGATCATCAAGGAAATTGGCTTGAAATTTCTTTTTTTGTTGTATCTCTGCCAGGTTTTGGTATCAGGACAATGCTGGCCTCATAGAATGAGTTAGGGAGGAGTCCCTCCTTTTCGATTTTTTTGAATACTTTCAGTAGAAATAGTACCAGCTCTTCTTTGTACTTTTGGTGGAATTCAGCTGTGAATATGTCTGGTCCTGGGCTTTTTTTCATTGGTAGGCTACTTATTACTGCCTCAATTTCAGGACTTGTTATTGGTCTATTCAGGGATTTAATTTCTTCCTGATTCAGTCTTGAGAGGGTGTATGTGTCCAGTATTTTATTCATTTCTTCCAGATTTTCTAGTTTATGTGCATAGAACTGTTTAAAGTATTCTTGATCGTTGTTTGTATTTCTTTAAGGTCAGTGAAGATATCCCCCTTATCATTTCTGATTGTGTTTATTTGATTCTTCTCTCTTTTCTTCTTTATAGTCTAGCTAGTAGCCTATTTTATTAATTTTTTTTTTTTTTTTCAAAAAACCAGCTCCAGGCTGGGCACGGTGGCTCATGCCTGTAATCCCAGCACTTTGGGAGGCCGAGGTGGGCGGATCACGAGGTCAGGAGATCGAGACCACCCTGGCTAACATGGTGAAACCCCCCCCCCCCCGCCGTCTCTACTAAAAAATACTAAAAAATACAAAAAATTAGCCGGGTGTGGTGGTGGGCGCCTGTAGTCCCACTTGGGAGGCAGAGGCAGGAGAATGGCATGAACCCGTGAGGCGGAGCTTGCAGTGAGCCAAGATCATGCCACTGCACTCCAGCCTGGGCAACAAAGTGAGACTCTGTCTCAAAAAAAAAAAAAAAAAAAAAAATCAGCTCCAGGATTCATTGATTTTTTAAGGCTTTTTCATGTCTCTTTCTCCTTCGGTTTCCCTCTGAGCTTGGTTATTTCTTGTCTTCTGCAGTTTGTTTGCTCTTGGTTCTCTAGTTCTTTTAGCTACGATGTTAGGATGTCAATTTCAGATCTTTCTAGCTTTTTCATGTGGGCATTTAGTGTTATAAATTTCCCTCTTAACATTGCTTTAGCTGTGTCCCAGATATTCTGGTATGTTGTCTCTTTGTTCTCATTAGTTTCAAAGAACTTCTTGATTTCTGCCTTCATTTCATGATTTACCCAAGAGTCATTCAGGAGCAGGTTGTTCAGCTTCCATGTAGTTGTGTGGTTTTGAGTGAATTTCTTAATCTTGAGTTCTAATTTGATTGTGCTGTGATCTGAGAGACTGTTTGTTATTATTTCAGTCCTTTGCATTTGCTGAGGAGTGTTTTACTTCCAAATATGTGATCAATTTTAGAGTATATGCCACGTGGTAATGAGAAGAATGTATATTCTGTTGTTTTGGGGTGGAGGGTTCTGTAGATATCTATCAAGTCCACTTGATCCAGACCTGAGTTCAGGTCCTGAATATCTTTTTAAATTTTCTGTCTCAATGATCTGTCTAATATTGTCAGTGGTGTTAAGGTCTTGCACTATTATTGTGTGGGAGTCTAAGTTTCTTTGTAGGTCTCTAAGAACTTGCTTTATGAATATGGGTGTTCCTGTATTAGGAATATATATTTATAATAGCTCTTTTGGTTTAATTGAATGCGTTACCATTACGTAATGCCCTTGTCTTTTTTTTAATCTTTGTTGGTTTAAAGTCTGTTTTGTCAGCAACTAGGATTGCAACCCCTGCTTTTTTCTGTTTTCCACAGGTTTGATAAATTTTTTTTTTTTTTTTAATTGATCATTCTTGGGTGTTTCTCGCAGAGGGGGATTTGGCAGGGTCACAGGACAATAGTGGAGGGAAGGTCAGCAGATAAACAAGTGAACAAAGGTCTCTGGTTTTCCTAGGCAGAGGACCCTGCGGCCTTCCGCAGTGTTTGTGTCCCTGGGTACTTGAGATTAGGGAGTGGTGATGACTCTTAACGAGCATGCTGCCTTCAAGCATCTGTTTAACAAAGCACATCTTGCACCGCCCTTAATCCATTCAACCCTGAGTGGATACAGCACATGTTTCAGAGAGCACAGGGTTGGGGGTAAGGTCACAGATCAACAGGATCCCAAGGCAGAAGAATTTTTCTTAGTACAGAACAAAATGAAAAGTCTCCCATGTCTACCTCTTTCTACAGAGACACGGCAACCATCCGATTTCTCAATCTTTTCCCCACCTTCCCCCCTTTCTATTCCACAAAACCGCCATTGTCATCATGGCCCGTTCTCAATGAGCTGTTGGGTACACCTCCCAGACGGGGTGGTGGCCGGGCAGAGGGGCTCCTCACTTCCCAGTAGGGGCGGCCGGGCTGAGGCGCCCCTCACCTCCCGGACGGGGCGGCTGGCCGGGCGGGGTGCTGACCCCCGCACCTCCCTCCCGGACAGGGTGGCTGCCGGGCGGAGACGCTCCTCACTTCCCAGACGGGGTGGCTGCCAGGCGGAGGGGCTCCTCACTTCTCAGACGGGGCGGCTGCTGGGCTGAGGGGCTCCTCACTTCTCAGACGGGGCGGTTGCCAGGCAGAGGGTCTCCTCACTTCTCAGACGGGGCGGCCGGGCAGAGACGCTCCTCACATCCCGGACGGGGCGGCAGGGCAGAGGCGCTCCCCACATCTCAGACGATGGGCGGCCGGGCAGAGATGCTCCTCACTTCCTAGATGGGATGGCGGCCGGGAAGAGGCGCTCCTCACTTCCTAGATGGGATGGCGGCCGGGCAGAAACGCTCCTCACTTTCCAGACTGGGCAGCCAGGCAGAGGGGCTCCTCACATCCCAGACGATGGGCAGCCAGGCAGAGACGCTCCTCACTTCCCAGACGGGGTGGCGGCCGGGCAGAGGCTACAATCTCGGCACTTTGGGAGGCCAAGGCAGGCTGCTGGGAGGTGGAGGTTGTAGCGAGCCGAGATCACGCCACTGCACTCCAGCCTGGGCACCACTGAGCACTGAGTGAACGAGACTCCGTCTGCAATCCTGGCACCTCAGGAGGCCGAGGCTGGCGGATCACTCGCGGTTAGGAGCTGGAGACCAGCCTGGCCAACACATCGAAACCCCGTCTCCACCAAAAAAATACGAAAACCAGTCAGGCGTGGCGGCGCGCGCCTGCAATCGCAGACACTCGGCAGGCTGAGGCAGGAGAATCAGGCAGGGAGGTTGCAGTGAGCCGAGATGGCAGGGGTACAGTCCAGGTTCGGCTGGGCATCAGAGGGAGACCGTGGAAAGAGAGTGAGAGGGAGACCGTGGGGAGAGGGAGACCGTGGGGAGAGGGAGAGGGAGAGGGACTCCAGGTTTGGTAAATTTTCTTCCATCCCTTTATTTTGAGCCCATGTGTGTCTTTGCACATGAGATGGATCTCTTGACAGCATACTGATGGGTCTTGGCTCTTTATTCAGCTTGCTAGTCTGTGTCTTTTAATTGGAAGCATTTAGCCCATTTACATTTAAGGTTAGTATTGTTATTTGTGACTTTGATCCTGTCATCATGATGCTAGCTGGTTATATTGCAGACTTGTTTATGCAATTGCTTCATAGTGTCACTGGTCTGTGTACTTCAGTGTGTTTTTGTAGTGGCCGGTAACAGTTTTTCCTTTCCATATTTAGTGCTTCCCTCAGAAGCTCTTGCAAGGCAGGCCTGGTGGTGATGAATTCCTTCAGCATTTGTTTGTCTGAAAAGGATCTTATTTCTCCTTTGCTTATGAAGCTTAGTTTGGCTGGATATGTAATTCTGGGTTGGAAATTCTTTTCTTTAAGAATGTTGAATATTGGTCCCCAATTGCTTCTGGCCAGTAAGGTTTCTGCTGAGAGGTCGGCTGTTAGTCTAATAGGCTTCCCTTTGTAAGTGGCCTGGCCTTTCTCTCTGGCTGCTCTTAACATTTTTTCTTTCACTTTGACCTTGGAGAATCTGATGATTATATGTCTTAGAGTTGATTTTCTCATGGAGTATCTTACTGGGGTTCTCTGCATTTCCTGAATGTTGGCCTATCTTGCTAGGTTGGGGAAGTTCTCCTGGATGATATCCTGAAGTATGTTTTCCAACTTGGTTCCATTCTCTCTATCTCTTTCAGGTACCCCAATCAGTCGTAACTTCAGTCTCTTTACATAACCTCATGTTTCTCAGAGGTTTTGTTCATTCCTTTTCATTATTTTTTTCTCTATTCTTGTCTGCCTGTCTCATTTCAGAAAGATAGCCTTTGAGCTCTGAGATTCTTTCCTCTGCTTGGTCTATTCTGTTATTGATACTTGTAACTGTATTGTGAAGTCCTCATGTTGTGTTTTTAGCTCCATCAAGTCAGTTATGTTCCTCTCTAAACTGGCTATTTTGGCTGTCAGCTCCTGTATCATTTTATAATGATTTTTAGCTTCTTTGCATTGGGTTACAATATGCTCCTTTAGCTCAGCAAAGTTTGTTATTACCCACTTTCTGAAGCCTACTTCTGTCTCTTCAGCCATCTCAGCCTCAGCCCAATTCTGTGCCCTTGCTGGAGAGGTGTTGTGGTCATTTGGAGGAGACAAAGCACTCTGGCTTTTTGAGTTTTCAGCACTTTTGCATTGATTTTTTTCTCATCTTTGTGGGCTTAGCTACCTTCGATCTTTGAGGTTGCTGACCTTTGAATGGGATTTTTGTGGGGTCTTTTTTGTTGATGTTGTTTTGTTTTCTGTTTGTTTGTTTTTCTTTTAATAATCAGGCCAGTATTCTTTAGGGCTGCTGCGGTTTGCTGGGGTCCACTCCAAACCCTAGTTGCCTCAGTTTTTCTTGTGCCTGGAGATATCACCAGTGAAGGCTATGAAACAGCAAAGATGGCAGCCTGCTCTTTACTCTGGAAGCTCCATCCCAGGGGGGTGCTGACCTGTTGCCGGCCCAAACATGCTTGTTGGGGGGGTTTCACCCAGTCAGGAGAAATGGGATTAGGGATCCACTTAAAGAAGCAGTCTGGCTGCTTTTTGGTAGAGCAGGTGTGCTGCTTTGGGGGCAGTGGGGTGGGGACACTTCCAGGTCTGGACAGTTTGGACTCTCCAAAGCCAACAGGCTGGAATGGCTGAGTCGACCAAATCACAGAGATAGCTGTCCCTCCCCTTGGGAGCTCCATCCCTGGGAGAGATCAGAGCTCTGTTCGTATAACCCTGGCTGGAGTGGCTAAAGCCCCTGCAGGGAGGTCCCACCCAGTGAGGAGGAATGGATCAAGGTGCTGCTTAAAACAGTCTGGCCATGATCTGGCAAAGCAGCTATGCTGCATTGTGGGGGACACTTCCTCTTCCGCACCATTTGGACAGGCTGGAACGGCTGAGTTGACTGAACCACAGAGGTGGTTCAGCTGCCCCGCCCCTGGGAACTCTGTCCTGTCTCAGGCAGACTCCAGCCAGTTGCTGTTGGCTGGCTGGAATTCCAAACCAGTGGGTCTTATCTTAAGAGATGCCATGGAAGTGGGGCCTGCAGAATGATACTGCTTGGCTCCCTGGATTCAGCACCCTTTCTAGAGGTATGTACGAGTGGACCTCCCGCCTTGCTGGGGATCCCAGGGCTGGAGTATGTAAAACTCCTGGGTCTCTGTGTATGCCTGAGTTGCTGCTTTGCTGAGACTCCACACAGCTTTGTGTATTGGACCCTAGGCCCTGGTAGTGTGGGCTCACGAGGGGATCTCCTGATCCACAAGTTGCAAAGATCCATGGGAGAAGCATGGTTTCCCGAGTGGGGTCACACAATTACTCACCGCTTCCCTTGGCTGGGGGTGGGGGTTCCTTTGGCTCTGTGCTGCTCCTGTGTGGGCCATTGCCCCACCCTGCTTTTCTTCATTCTTCATGGGTCAAGTCATTTGCCTAGTCACTCCCAATGTGAGAACCTGGATATTTCAGTTGAAGGTGCTGTATTAACTTGCTCCTTTCATTCCTCTCCATGAGTGCTGCAAACCGCAGCTGCTTCTAACTGGACATCTTTGCTCCTCCCCAAAACCAAATTCTAAATAAAGTCTTTTTTTTTTTTCAACCTTGAACTAACTTCGGAATTTCCCAGAGAACCCCTGGAAGATCTTAAAGGATTTGTTTCTCATCTTATAAAAGTAGATCTACTAGACTACTTAAGCTTATTTGATATGTTAAATATTGCAATAAAGCAAGTGACACAAATTTTTTGTTTCCTAGTGCATATAAGTTATGTTTAAACTATCCCGTAGGTCAGACACAGTGGCTCATACCCGTAATCCCAGTACTTTGGGAGGCCGAGGTGGGTGGATCACCTGAGGTCAGGAGTTCAAGACAAGCCTGGCCAACATAGTGAAACCCTGTTTCTACTAAAAATACAAAAAAAGTAGCTGGGTGTGGTGGCAGATGCCTGTAATCCCAGCTACTAGGGAGGCTGAGGCAGGAGAATTGCTTGAACCCAGGAGGCTGAGGTTGCAGTGAGCCAAGATTGCACTATCGCACTCCAGCCTGGGTGACAGAGCTAGACGTGCTCCAGCCTGGGCGACAGAGTGAGACTCCATCTAAAAAAAAAAACAAAAAACTATCTTTTTGCTGGTGGAGGGTCTTGCCTCAATGATGATGGCTGCTGACTAATCAGGTCGGTGGTTTCTGAAGGTTGGGGTGGCTGTGACAATTTCTTAAAATAAGACAACAGTGAAGTTTGCCACATCAATTGGCTCTTTCTTTCACAAAATATCTGTGTAGCATGCTGTCTGATAGTGTTTTACTCACAGTAGAACTTCATTCAAAATTGGAGTCCCTCCTCTTAAACCCTGCTGCAGCTTTGTCAACTAAGTTTATGTAACATTCTAAATCCTTTGTTGTCATTTCAACAGTGTTCACAGCATCTTCACCAGGAGTAGTAGATTCCATCTCAAGAAGCTACTTCCTTTGCTCATCCACAAGAAGCAACTGTCTGTTCAGGCTTTACCATGAGATTGGCAACAATTCCAATTCAGTCACATCTTCAGGCTCCACTTTTTTTTTTTTTTTTTTCCTTTGAGACGGAGTTTTGCTCTTGTCACCCAGGCTGGAGTGCAGTGGTGTGATCTCGGCTCACTGCAACCTCCACCTCCTGGGTTCAAGCGATTCTCCTGCCTCAGCCTCCTGAGTAGCTGGGATTACAGGCACGCGCCACCACGCCCTGCTAATTTTTGTATTTTTAGTAGAGACGGGGTTTTACCATGTTGGCCAGGCTGGTCTCGAACTCCTGAGCTCAGGTGATCCACCCACCTCTGCCTCCCAAAGTGCTGGGATTACAGGCGTGAGCCACCGCGCCTGGCCCAGGCTCCACTTCTAATTCTAGTTCTCTTTCTCTCTCTGCCATATCATCAATTACTTCCTTCACTGAAGGCTTGAACCCTGCAAAGTCATCCATGAGAGCTGAAATCAGCTTCTTCCAAACTCCCAGTAATGTGGATATTTGATCTCCTCTCATGAATCACGAATGTTCTTGATGGCATCTAGAATGGTGACTCCTTTCCAGAGGCTTTCAATTTACTTTGTTCAGATCCATCAGAGGAATTACTGTGGCAGCTATAGCCTTACGAAATGTGTTTCTTAAATAATAGTAAGGCTTGAAAGTTGAAATCACTCCTTGATCCATGGGCTTCAGAGTGGATGTTGTATTTGCAGGCATGAAAATATTAATCTCCTTGTGCATCTCTATCAGAGCTCTGAGGTGTTTAGGTGCACTGTCAATGAGCAGTAACATTTTTCTAAGCAGTAGGTCTCAGCCCTGGGCTTAAAATACTCAGTAAACCATGCTATAAACAGATGTGCTGTCATTCAGGCTTTGTTGTTCCATTTATAGAGCACAGACAGAGTAGATTTCACACAATGCTTAAGGGCCCTAGGATTTTCAGAATGACAAATGAGCACTGGCTTCAATTTAAAGTCACCAGCTGCATTAGCCCTAACAAGAGAGTCAGGCTGTCCCATGAAGTTTTGAAGCCACACATTGACTTCTCTCTAGCTATGAAAGTCCTAGATGGCATCTTCTTCCAATAAAAAGCTGTTTTGTCTACATTGCAAATCTGTTGTTGCGTGTAGCCCCCTTCATCAATGATCTTAAATATCCTGGATAACTTGCTGCATTTTCTCTGTCAGCACTGGCTGCTTTCATCTTGCACTTAATTTATGTGATGGAGCTGGCTTCTTTCCTTAAACCTCAGGAACCAACCTCTGGTAGCTTCAAACTTTTCTTCTACAGCTTCCTTACCACTCTAAGCCTTCATAGAATTC